>NC_000016.10:66986742-67289772 GCF_000001405.40 Homo sapiens | reverse complement strand
TCCCTGCCCCAATGGGAGAACCCCACCCACATGGAGCTAGAGTAGACAACTGGCCAGGAAATCAGGGATAAGACTGGCCTTTCCTTCCAGCTTACACTGCCCTTCGCCAGGAAATATGGCCGATGCATGGACCTGCTCATCCAGAGGGGCCTGTCTAGGTCTGTCTCTTACTCCATCCTGGGAAAGTACCTACAAGAGGACTAGGGTGCCCAGAGATGCAGCCCCTCATGCCCCACCCGCCAAGTCTCATTTTAATTGGAGATAGCCCAGAATGCATGTGCCCATCAGAGGGTACATATCAGTCTATTTTTTATTATAAACAAATAAAAGATTAAATCACACATCAAAGACCTAGACTCCTTCTCTGAGACACCAAAGGCCTAACAACCAGTAAGATAATTTTAGACAATTCTATTGAAAGTTATTCAAAAGGCATCAAGTCAAAATAACGAAACTGCCCCAGTAAAAAGGGGCTGGGCCTGGGGGCCAGGAAAGGCAAGCATGAGGGCCCAGTAGAGGTGGACCTGTCCCTATGGTAACTGAGCTCGGCTTTAAGGCCAGGCATTGGGGATCAGCTGCTAGGAGCCCACCTGTGTTCTTCCTGAGGGGTGGGGGCACCCTAGTCACTGCCTAGAGGCACATGGTCCCCCACCAGCCTACAGCATGGAAACACCCAATGTCTGCTCTAGCCTATTCTTAACCCACAACTGGGATGGGAGCTGGGGACAGGAGAAGGGGTCATGGGGCCAGGAGCCTATTCAGGCTCTACAACCAGACTTCCCTAGAGAGGCCCCGTGCCAGTTAGTCCAATGGCCACACACATCAGAAAGGGTAGTCAACAGCGTTGCACATGTAGGTTGGAGGTAGCCCAGGTGTCAGCCACACCCTGGTCACAGCAGATCCAGAGAGGCAATGTTCCTTGGAGCTGCAGGCTGCTGGATCTACTGCTCGTCCAGTCCCGGGCTCAGACCTGCAGGGCCAGGCCAGGCATGAATGCCTGCTTCCCTGACTCTGGACCCAGGAGGTGTCTGGGGAATGGCTCTGGCCCACCCACCCCAAGCTCTACCCAAAGTAAAGGCCTAGCCTGGGCTGGGGAGGGGCTGGTCACAGTCACAGGCTCAGCTTGGGCTGGGGAAGGGCTGGTGGGTATAGGGCAAATGGCACTCACACAGGGTAAGTCCTCCAGGCCCCTACCCAGGGCCTGCCCTGACACACAGCTGCTGTCAGAGCCACTGGAGCCACTGGCTGATGGGCATTGGGACGAGATCTCTGAGTCCTCAGCAGCTAGGGAGGGAGACTGGGTGAACTGTCAGCACGGGAAGCCCCAGACCCCAAGCCATGCCCTCCTGCCTCTGGCTAGGCCCAGACATACTCAAAGAGGGCTGGCCGCCCAGCTCTGCCTCAGCCTCCAGTGCTGCTTCCTCTGGGAAGCTGGGATACAGGGGACAGCGGAGACCCAGAAGAGCTGGGTCTCTGTACAGGTGCAGGTTGAGGGACCCCAGAACAGAGCAAGAGGCAGGGTCTCCAGGAAGGGAGTTCGAGGCCCCCAGGTAGAGGCTGTCATGGTCAAACGGGGCTACGGCAATGGACGCCCGAGAGCGAACTTCTGCATAAGAGAGAGGGTCAGGTTGGGACAGGCCAGAGCCTAGCCTGGCCCCAGATCCCAAGGAAAGTGCGGGCCAGCACTAATGGAGGGCCACAGTGCTTCCCGCACAGCTTTCCTACTCCCACCCCCACACCCTGTAGCCTGCCTGCTACCTCGGCACTTCAGGACATAGTTGACGGTGCGGTCGTTGATGGCTTCCTCGCTGGGAGCAATGTCTCGGAAGGCCTTGTTCCCCACACCCATGGACACCATCTCAGCCATGCGCACCTCTGGGTGGAGAGTGGACATAAGTGGGATGCTTCTGGACATAAGCCTGTCCTTGGGCCTCTACCACCCCCCAGATAAGTCTTTCCTGTACACCTCCATCCAGCACATTAACTGTCCTGTGAGCTGAGCCTTTCTAGTGCCAGGTGCTCTCCTCCCAACAATCCTGTGGGGCAGGTGCCATATTCCCCTTTTAAAGATGAGGCCCCTGGCTGGGCGCAGTGGCTCACGCCTGTAATCCCAACACTTTGGGAGGCCGAGGTAGGAGGATTGTTTGAGCCCAGGAGTTCAAGACCAGTCTGGGCAATATAATGAGACCTCTATGAAAAAATTTTACAAATTAGGCATGGTGGCACATGCCTGTAGTCTCAGCTACTTGGGAGGCTTAGGTGGGAAGAATGCTTGAGCTCAGGAGGCAGAGGCTACAATGAGCAAAGATCATGCCACTGCACGCCATCCTGGGCGACAGAGCGAGACCCTGTCTCCAAAAATAAAGAGAGAGAGAGCCATGATGCCCCTTATATTCAGAGAAGTTCACGTTGTGTCCAAAGTCAGAGGCAGTGACAGCAAGGCTGCCTGGCTTTGAAATCCTTTCTCCTGCACTGGTGGCTGTCGCTGGGCCTTCTCCCCACTTCCCGAGCTTTTCCCAGGTCTCTGGGCTCCTGTGGGTCAATGTAAGCTCTCCAGTGAGGGGAGTGTGGCGTGAAGGAGGGGCATGGACCCACCCTTGTTGTGGACGGCCTGCCTCCAAAGCAGGTGGGAGATGTCAGCTGTCCAGGCCTGCTTGATAGCCAGGCTGGAGGCCTGCAGCACAAAGGTGTCCCTGGCCTTGCGGCGGCGGAACCAGATCTCGAAGCGCAGGTTGCTGTTCCCACAGCACTCAGTGAGACCAAGGTCTGCCATCTGTGGCCAGCGGGAGAGAGGGGCTTGGTAAGGCATGGGGCGGGAAAACAAGTGGTGGGGCCTGGGGTGGGCAGGCCTACCTTGAAGGAGCGCTTGTAGGCAAATGTGTCAACCCCTGTGGGCCCATGGCGAGGCTTGCTGAAGAGCAGCAGCTCCTCAAAAAGGAAGATGCGGCGCACGGACTTGTGGCGCCCAGTGCGCACCACAAACTCATCCTGTCGCACCAGCTGCCCCTGTTCCTTGAGGTTAACCTGCAGAGTTGGGGGCTGGTGGGTGGCCAGCCTCTTCTGCCTTCTTCTTCACACCCACTGCCCTTGCCCTGGGATGACTCACATCACAGCCCTGGATGGCGTCCATGGCCAGCAGGTCGTTTCCGTGCCGCAGCTGGAAGTGCACAAGGCTCTGGGCCTCCCGCAGCGCACTGAGCTCCTGCGTGGGGCCCCCGCAGGCCCGTGCCAGCTCCTGCAGCAGCAGTGCGTACTTGCCCATGCGCTGGATGGGCTTTAGCAGGTAGGAGGCCAGGTCCAGGTGGTCCCCCAGTGCTTGCTGCTTGTCCTGTGGGCGGATGGGAGGCCACTGAGTGGTTTGGGGGCACTCCCCGCATCCCCTACTCCTCCTAATCTCAGGTTCACTTACCTTGAAGAAGGTGTGCCCATAGCTTGACATCAGGGCATCGGAGCGAGGCTTATTCTTGCTGTAGAGCGCGTACATCCCAAACTGCACCCTCTACAAGGACATGTGGCTCAGCCCCAGTGCAAAGGGGCCAGCTCCCTAAGGCTGGCACAGGCTAGACCACCCTCAGCTTGAGAGGACCAAAATGCCAGTAGATGCCTCTTAGGGAGGCCTCCCCTACAGACCCAGTCTTCCCTGCTTTGAACAAGGGGTGATTTGGCAAGAACAGTACTGGGCAAAGGGGGTGTGCCCACAGGCCCCCAAGGAAGAAGCCCCTTGCCCTCAGACTGAGCTCCTGCCTTCAGCTCTGCTCCTCCCACGGCTCTAAGAGCTCACCTCACCTGGGACTGTCCTGCTCACTACACTCAGCCACCTCCTTGGCAGGCCCCCTTTCCTCCACACGACCTTGTACTTGCTCTTTCCTCTGGGTGGGACACTCACTCCAGCCCCTCCCCTATTCCTCAGCTTAAACATCAGCCTCTCAAAGACTTCCTCTTGTACCAGGTGTCCTGGCACCGCACTCAGGCCCTCTAAAGTGGAGCCCCTGCCCCGCCAGTAATTCACAAGCATCTATCCTGCTTATTTTCCTCCTAGCCCCAACTATAATCTACAAGTATCGTTCTTGCTTCTATGTCTCCTCTACTGGACTAAGAGCACCCTCAGGTGCAGGAGCCTGCCAGTCTTGCTCATAGCTATACTCATAGCACAGGGACTGGCACCAAGCATGTGCCCAGCAGCAACTTCGGGAGTGTGGCAGAACGAGCTGATACCACATGGCCTGTCGGGCTTACATGGCGCAGGAAGGCATAGGCCACTCGTGGTGGGTGCCGGGTGCAAGCCTCCAGCTCACGCAGGAAGAAGTGGCAGTGGAAGTCCCGCAGCTTCTCCAGGTTGCCAAAGAGGTGGGCACGCTGACCGCGGAGGCCCTGGGGCACATCGGGGCGATCCAGCTCGGGGAAATAGTTCTCCATAGTGTACTCTAGAGCCCGGACATACTCCCGCTCCGTGGCCACCATCTCTGCCAGCACCAGCTGTAGCCTACCAGGTATGGGGAGTCAGGACCCAAGACATCTCTCCTTTACTGCCCTCCCCGCCCTGCCTACTGCCCATACCTGTTGAGGCTCCTGGGGTCAGAGCTGCCTGGTGGAGGCACAGTAGGGGATGCCTGGGGCAGGGCACCTCCTCCAGCCTCTGGTCTGCGGCAGGCAGCAATAGTGGCCGCATGGTGGCAGTGGCAGGCAGGTTCACTGAGACTCTGCCCCAGATTCCGATCGAAGCTGTAGGCCTTCCTCAGGGGAGGGTGGGCAGGTGCAGCGGGGACCTGGCTGACACACAGGCTAGCTGTGCTGCCCACCGGTGGTAGCTTCAGTGAAGCCTCAAGCTTTTGGTCCAGGGCCAGCCAGGTGTCCTGGCACCGCGCCCAGGCCCAGCGGCACTCCTGGCGGATGGCCTCTGAGCCCAGCCCCGTGGCCAGAGCCCACATCTTTCGGAAGTGGGCAGGAGGCAAGTCAGGGTGCCTGGTCCAGTGCAGCTGCAGCTGCTGCAACACAACCCCCGGGCGTTCCTGCTCCAGCTCTGCCAACACTCGCTGCCCCTCCTCAGCCCACGTCAAGGCCTGCAACACCAGGGCCGGACAAGCATTAGAGGAAGATCCTGCCAAGCCTGCTGGGCACTCTGCTCCTCTACCCACTCCCCATCCCCACAGGATGCTGTCCAGGACACAGCCCCAGTGACTGGGTTTTAGGGTCAAACTGAAGACCAGGGAAGAGAACAGGCAGCATGACCAAGAAAAGCTCAGGCTCTGCTGAAGCTGGGGCTGCCATCCCTCCGGCCTCATGGATCACTTGGAGCTGGGGAGACTCTCACCCACCTCCCTGAAGAGCTGAAACAGCCTCTCAGCATCCGCCAGCCGCTGGCACCGCTGGGCCAAAGCCCTAGAGAATTCAGTCAGCTGGGCTCGCAGGGCCAGAAAGCGTGCCCCAGGGGGGTCCAGTTCAGCCGCCTCCCAGCCAGTCAGCGGCTGCAGAAACTTCTCCCCTTGCCTGACCTGCTCCTGCAGAGACAGAGACTAGGCTCAGCCAGCCCAGGCCTGGCGGTCTAGCCCCCAGACTCAGATACTTCCTGCTGACATATCGACATGTCCCCATCAAGTCTGTCCTGTGGTGGAACATCTACCCGTATCTCCTACTCCCCACCCACATCCACTCCCCTTCTCCACAGCCAAAGTTCCTAGAGGAATCATCTGTCCTCACCGTCTCGTCTCGCCCTCCGCACCAGCCCTCTCCAGCTCCACTCTGCCCCGTCCCCAGCGCTTCTCAGGCCTCACTGACTCCAACTCTCAGCGTCATTCAGCCCACTCTCTACTGGGCTCCCCCAGCTCCTCCCCACGCTCCTGATTCTCCTCACTCTTCTCTGGTGGCTCGTCCTGCTCCCCTTCCCTCACCTAGGCCATTAAACACTGGGGATCCTGAGGACAGTGCACTCGCTCTCCCAGGCACTCTTGTGTGACCAACTTCAAATGTCATCCAAACACCTGGACCCACCAAGTGATCCTCTCCAGCTAGACCTCTCCTCTGAGCTCCAGGCCCAAGACCCAAGGGCCCTCCTCTCATCCCTCACAGCCATCTCGAGCATGCCCAAGACCGGACTCTTGAATGCCCTTCCCCCAAGATGACCTCATCTCCTAGTCTCTCAGGGAACAGCACCCATTCATCCTTGCAACATCCTTGTCCCTTACCCTCCCACATGGGTACATAGCAAATCCCATCAACTTCTCCAACCCGTCTCCCCTGCCACTATCCTGGCCAGAGGAGGCACTATTTCCCACCTAGACTACTGCAATTGCCTCTTCACTGCACTCCCCATGCCCATCCTCCAAGTCACTGTCTACTCGGAAACGAAGGCAATCTTCCTAGAATATGGATCTGATTACATGGCCTTCCTGATTAAACTCCACACTGACTGCTACAGGGCCCAGTGATGTGGCCACTGACCAGGCTTGTCCCACCGCAACTCCCCCAACTCTTTCTTCCTCTCTGCTCTGCATTTCAACCTCACTGGCCTTATGATTCCTCAGGCACACCGTCCTCCATCCTGCCACAGGACCTTTGCACATGCTATCTTCCAAGCCTGGAATGTGCCCCCATCCTCAACCCTCTTCTGCCTGGTTGACCTCAACTTATCTTTCAACTCTCAGCTCAAAAATCACCCAAAAAAAGCTTGCCTGACACTCCTGCTGGGTAAAGTCTTGGTTATACCCTCAGGCAGAATCACCTGCACTGATTCTCTCCAGAGATCTTGCCTGGGTTTACAGGCACATATATGACTGTGATTAATTACAACTGATATCTTCTATGGGACTATAAGGTCTAAGAAAGCAAAGGATTGAATTGCTTTCACACAGTTCTGCATTCCTAGTTCCTGGCATTGCATCCCAATACCCGTGGCATGAACAAGTGACCACATATACCTGGGCAACCTGGTACAGCTCCTGAAAAGAGCCTTGGGCCTGGAGCAGCATGTCCAGCGAGGGCTCCCCAGCCTCCTCCAGTGCTGGCCAGCCCACCTGCTGCAGCCACACTTCAATCTGGAGGAGCACAAGCAGGGAAAAGTGAAGAGAGCTGCTATGGACTGGGGGCTCACGTCTGAGATCGGGGCAGGGCCCACTCTGGGCAAGTAGTTCCGACCTGGTGCAGTCCGCTTTCCCGGGCCTCCAGTGTTTGGACCAACTCTAGGGCCTGTATTCGCTGGTTGCTCTGCAGGGTCAGTTGGTGCAGCAATCCATCCACCCGGTCATATAGCTCGTCAGCCTTGTCCATTGCCGTCCTGGTGTAGGGTATACCATCTTAGACCCCCTGCCTTGCACCACTCCACCCTGTCCTGGCACCACAGTCCTACCAGGTTCTGAGCTAGCCAGATGAGTCCTGGCATAGAATATGGTGGGCTGGGGCAAGATCTGGGGGCCGGGCTTGCACTCACCTGTAGTCTGGGCTCAGGGTCACCTCTGGGACCTCTTGCTTCAGCCATGTCAGCTCCCGGCCCCCCTGGCATTGTAGCCATGCCAGCCATGGCGAGTCTAGCACCTGCTGCATCAGGACCTCTGTCTGCTGTAGCAGCTGACCGACCTCCTGTGATTGAGGGCAATAAGCTGTGGAGGTGGCCATGGGAGAGAAGGAGGGAGACAGGGAGCATTCATGGAGGGACTGGGAGGGGACACTCACCCCAGGCTCCATGGGCTGGGGCACAGCCTTCACACTTTCGATGGCCCCCTGGAGCAGGGCACAAGCTGCCTGGCAGTTCTGTAGTAGAGCTTCCAGCCGCTGTAAGCAGGGGCAGGCATGACCGGAGCAGCATGCAGTGTTGGTCCTGGGCTTCCTGGGTTCCAGGCCACTGCAGCCAGCTTTGTCTGGTTCAAGCCAGCCCCAGAGAGGCTCCTCCATGATCCCAAGTTGCCTATATGACTGCCCCCATGCCCCACCCAGTGTACTGACCCTTCGGAAATCCAGCCAGGCCTGGTGGCAGTAAGGCAGGCCTCCTCCTAGCGAAGTGGGCAGCCCCGCCGTTGGGATGTGGGTCAGCAGGCTCTGAGAAGGCAACTGCTCCAGCTACAGGAGAAGAAGGTGTTGTGACCCAGGCCTGGGGGGAGGCACCCCACCTCTACCCCTAGCCAACTGGGCTTAGTACCTGCAGCCCGGAAGGCACTTCCTTCAGCAGCGTGCTTCCCACTAGCAGCACCTGGTACACGGCCCCTGGGGCTGCTTCCTGCAAGGAACCTGAGCTCAGCACTATCCCCAACTCTACAGAAAAGGGCATGGTGGCTCACGCCTGTAATTGCGGCACTCTGGGAGGCGAGGCGGGAGGATCACCTGAGTTCAGGAGTTCGAGATCAGCCTGGGCAACACATGGTGAAACCCCCTCTCTACTAAAAAATACAAAAATCAGCTGGGCATGGTGGCAGGTGCCTGTAATCTCAGCTAATTGGGAGGCTGAGGCAGGAGGATCACTTGAATCGGGGAGATAGAGTTTGCAGTGAGCCAAGATTGCGCCACTGCACTCCAGCCTGGGCGACAAAGGCAAGACTCCGTCTCAAAAAAAAAAAAAAAGAAAAGAAAAGGAATGAGGGGAGCTACAATCCTGTACTCACTTGTAGTTGGCTGAGCCCAGAGAAGAGGGAAGAACTTGGAGCACAAATTCGGGCATCAACTAGCACTGTCAGTCCCAGTGCCTGTACTTCGGGCCTAAAGGGGTGAGCTTCAGTTCAGTACCTGACTCCCAGTCCTCACAGCTGGCTCAGGCTCAGTCTCCCAACCCCCTCCCTCAAACCTGGGGATGCTTCGCAGGTACAGCAGGAGGCGGATGAGTTCCTGGCTGCTGCACTCAGACTGAAGCCAGGCTGGGCTGTGGGCACACAGAAGCAGCACTGCCCGGCCTTGGACATCCCGAGTCCCTGTGGGGAGGAAGCAGTGAACTCCTGCCGTATTGGGCCACTCCACCTCCACCGCCTCTAGGCCCGCCTGGCTACCTGGCAAGGTGGCCATACCACTGGCCAGCAGCTCCCAACAGAGGTCTTGGGCCAGGAGGCAGTCAGCAGGCTTAGGGAGGCCGGATCCACTGGGGGCTTGGGAAGGGAAATGACTTGGGTCTGCCTTGGACCACCTATCCAGAGACCCCTACTTGGACCCGGGCTTCAGCCTGAGTAGGGTCAGAGACCTCCAAAGTCTTGACACTCATCTCTCCAGGCATCCCCATTCCCTTCCCAGACTTCCCTAGCCCAGCCTTCCTTACCTGCCTCCAGCAGCTTTGATATTTCTGATAAAGGGTCTCCAAGGCCCACAGGGTCGCTGTCCAATGCCCCAGGGCTCAAGCCAGATGGCATCGCCCTGCTTGGACCTGGGTCCCCTACCAACCCTACCCCTGGGGTGTCACTCTCACCCTGTGCCAAGCTGAGGTGGGAGGACATGGGGCATAGGAGACTCTCCACTCCAGAGGGGCCTGGCCCTTCTGACAGGACTGAGGAGCTTTCTACTGTGCCCCTCTGGGCATCCCCCGACTCATCTGCAGCTGGGGGTAACTGGAATTTCCTGGACAAGGGGCTGCCCTGTAGCTCCTCATCCTGGGTGGCCCCGGCTGGTGGTCTTGGAGGACCTGGGTCCTTAACGTGCATCTGGGAAGCAGGTTCCTCCTCTTCCCAGGCATCCCTGAAACTGCACACAGCAAATCTCCAGTCGGTGGCATGGCCCTGAGAGTCTGGGGACTCATCCCCATTCTCCAGGGGCCTTTCCATCACGCCCTCCTAAAGGTGGGCCTGCTCGGGGCCAGCGGGAGAGGGCTGGGTCTCAGTGTGAACCGCGCTGAAGACAGTCGAGTGGGACTCAGTGGGCAATGCAGGCGAAGGGCATGGGCCGCAGGAGGTGCCAGTCTTAGTGCCAGGGCACAGGAACTGCAATTCAGGCCTGGGAAGAGGGAATAACGTTAAGGGTGTCCCTCTGTCCAGGTCCCCCGTCGGACGCCCGTGGGCCTCTGCTCCGTGCGCGCCCACCCTCAGCGTCCTCACGGCCACGCTCTGCAGGCCCATGCCCGTGGGGGCGGCCCCGCCATGGCACCACGATGCCTCGGGTTCGCTCTCCTGCCGGCCCCCCCAGGCCCTGGCCTTGTTGCAGGGCCTACCGCGCGCCCCCCCGTCGCCCGCTGGCGACACTCACGCCCCCGGGCCGAGCCGCGGGGAACCGTGAAGTCGGACAGCCTTCGAACAGACGGCGGCCTCGACGGCCACTACAGCGCGGCCGCGCGGCGTCACGGGACACCGCCTCCTGGCCGCTGGGAAGGGAGGGCAGTGCCGCCGGGGCGCCGCGCAGCGCCGCGCCGCCCCCTGGAGGCCGGAGGACGGAGCCACAGCCCGAGCAGGTCTCGACGGGGCACAGCCCTGCCGGCGCGGAAGACAAGGTGCGGGCCCTGCAGCAACCCCCGCCCGCCGCCGTCCTCTCCGTGGGCCCGGACAGCCCGCCAGCCCCGCCCCGCCGCACCCCCGGGCCCCGCAGACCGCGCGCCTCACCCGCGGCGTCGCAGTGCGTGGGTTGGGGCAGCGACCAACGGTCGGCAGCTCCACCGTGCCCACTCCCCGGGCCTGGCGAGGACGCCGGAAGCGCTCTCCCGCCAGGAAGGCCGCGTGGGTGAGCGAGGGTGAGTGCGCGGGGGGCACCGCGGGACGGGGCGGGGCGGGGTCTCCCAGGGGCTTCCGCGGCTGAATGAGCCGACGGGAGGGGAAGGCCTTCTGTGTAGGGAAGCGGGGTGCTGCCTCGCCGCGGGCACCCAGAGACAGGTCGCATGATCCCACGTGGGATGGGGCTGCCATCCGGGTGGGAGTGAGACCAATGGGTGGAGCTGACCCAGGCCTGCCAGAGTCCACCAGATCCTCTACCCCTTTGCCATCCCTGGCACCCCCTTACCCCCTTCTCCACAAAGTCCGGTGCAGGAGGCTGGTGCTGAGGTGGGGTTCTGGAGCCAGAGCCCCCAGCCCAGGCCTGGCTTCTCCACTTACCTGCTGGGGGCGCTCCAGGAACTCTGCTCTTTGAGCCTCACCCTCCTCACCTGTAAAAATGGAAAGTCATTTTTCTCCTGGGGTTGCCGTGAGGACTGGGGAAGACTCCCTGTGTTATACGTTCACCCGCTGCCAGCACTCGGGCTGTGTTGGTGCCCTGCCCCCTCATTTCACCCGCAGTCAGGGAATCCTGAACTGATGAAAGCTACCCAAGTGGGTAGCTGTGCGATTTGAGGTCCCTTTAGGGCATGTGGGCCTGGCCCGACACTCCCCAGAATTTGTGGGAAGATTGTGGGAAGGTCAGCTCTGCGACCAGGAGAAGACCCTGAGCCCCACAGTGTGCCCAGGCCCATGGTCCCTGGGGAGAGGGGGCACCGGGTGCAACGGCTTCCCTGGCTCTAAGGCAGGCACCTCTTTCATGAACCTGGGGATTACAACAGGCACAGTGGGACCAACAGCAATCTCCCCACCCAGCCCAGCCCAGCCCCCAGAGTCCAGACTTTCAGGCAGCTACCGAGGAGCCTTCTTCATGAGCAGGTCTGGCTGCCAGAGGGGAGCCTTGGAGTTGTCCTGCTCCATCCCTAACTCCCAGCCAGACCTCTCTTCCCACCCTCCTGGCTTCAGGAAGCATCATCCAACCTTGGCTTCCTCCCCAGTTCTGTCCCAGGGCCACCCCCACTGAGTCACTGCCTTCTGCTCCCTCCCTCCCCTTCTGCTGCCCACCAGCACCCACCAGCCAAGTCCCCCAGGAGCCCTAAGAGCCGGGGGGGACCTGCTGGCGGGCACACATACCCCTGTGAATGCCAGAGGCAAAGAAGAGCCTCAAGCCACAGGCTATAGCTGACCTGGCACCCTGGGCACAGCAGGCAGATTCAGGGGAGGTACAGCCATACTGAGATAGAGGCAGGGCTGGGCCCTGGTTTCTCCACTCCACAGAGAATGTGCATTGTAGGCTTCATGGAAACAGAGACTGTATGTTATCCACTTCCGTACTTTCAGCATCCAGCACAGGGCCTGGCACAGAATAAATGCTTTGGGGCGCCTGACACTGATCACACTACCCCTGCCCTCCTGAGGCTCCACATCTATGTATCCCATGGAAACCAGAGTCACAAATGGAGACAGATTCAGAGACTCAGCCTGAAAGGAGACAGAAGAGGCCGAGAGCTACAGGTTGCATGGCCCAGGATGGCAAAGGTACAGATAGAAATGAGGACACACTGAGGCCTAGTGGGGAATATTGGGGAGCTGGGCCTGGAGCCAGCCAGGGGTGGCTGACCACAGCAGGCTTTGTGGGCTGAGCTTGCAGGACTGAGCAGTGACTCATGGGGCCCATCTCTGTGGCTCTCCTGGCAGCAGAATCAACTCACAGCAGCCTTTTCCACTGAGATCATAAAATGGGAATGGGCCTCCCTCCCCTGGCCCTTCCCCAACTCTCCCTCAGCCTCCCATTTCTTGCCAACATGACTCAATCAAAAATAAAATGGGCCGGGCACTGTGGCTTATGCCACAAAATCCCAGCACTTTGGGTGGCCAAGTCAGGCAGATCACCTGAGGTCGGGAGTTCCAGACTAGCTTGGCCAACATGGCAAAACCCCATCTCTACTAAAAATACAAAAACTAGCCAGATGTGGTGGCACATGCCTGTAATCCCAGCTACTTGAGAGGCTGAGGCAAGAGAATCACATGAACCTGGAAAGCAGGGGTTCCAGTGAGGCAAGATCACACCACTGCACTCCAGCCTGGGTGACAAAGCGAGACTCTGTCTCAAAAATAAATAAATAAATAAAAAGGAGGGGAGGGCTCTGGGCCTCACTGGGTCTAGTGACAACAGACCCACAGTCATTCACCTTGCACACCCCTCTTCAGTACTACCCCAAATACTGAGGGCAACAAATACCCCAGAACTTCCAGACCTCTCTTGCCTTTGGCCTAAATAAACTCCAAACTCCTTGGTATGACAGTCAAGGCCACTTAGAGGCATCACAGCCTTCCCATCTACCTCCCAGACTGGCCTGGAAAACAAATCTGATTACTAGTCTAGTCTCACACTGGCTCCTCTTCCTGAAGGCCCATGCCCATCTCCCCTAATCAAAATCCTTCCTCATTTGAGGCCTGGGTGCAGCATCTCCTTCACGAAGACTACCCCAGCCAAGTTCTCTCAGCTCAGGCCACCCTGCCCAGTCACATGGCAAGGACCCATGGATGAGCGCTTGACGCACTTGCTCTCCTGCATCCAAGTCACCTGCCTGCCTCCCTGTCAAACCCACCATGTTCATCTGCCCCCACCACTGCAACCTCCATCTCCTGGGCTCAAGTGATTCTCCTGCCTCAGCCTCCAGAGTAGCTGGGATTACAGGCATGCACCACCATGCCCAGCTAGTTTTTGTATTTTCAGTAGAGATGGAGTTTCAGCATGTTGGCCAGGCTGATCTCAAACTCCTGACCTCAAGGGATCCACCCGCCTTGGCCTACCAAAGTGCTGGGATTACAACCATGAGCCACCGCACCCGGCCCGACAAATAATGACATTTATGATCCCTTACCTTGAGCCAGGCCCTGGGTAGATTCTTCCCATTAAATTTTGTCATTTAATCCTGACAGCAGCCTTATGAAGTGAGTATGATTATCTCATTTGAGAGATGAGGACACTGAGGCTCAGAGAGAGCATGTAACACACCCAGAATGACACTTGTGAGTGACAGCTGGGGCTGTTGACTCTAAACTGTTGACTACGGCCGGGCGCAGTGGCTCATGCCTGTAATCCCAGCACTTTGGGAGGCCGAGGCGGGTGGATCACCTGAGGTCAGAAGTTCGAGACCAGCCTGGCCAACATAGCAAAACCCTGTCTCTACTAAAAATACAAAAAATTAGCCGGGCATGGTGGTGGGCACCTGTAATTCCAACTACTTGGGAGGCTGAAGCAGGAGAATTGCTTGAACCTGGGAGGCAGAGGTTATGAGCCAAGATCATACCATTGCACTCCAGCCTGAGTGACCTGACTGAGACTGTCTCAAAAAGAGTAAAAAATAAAAATTAAAAAAATAAACTGTTGACGACTAGTTAACTACGAGGCCTTATCACTGTGGCCTGTAAACAACCTAAGGGCAAAGCCCAAGTCACTCTTCCTTCTCATCACACCTTCCCTGCGCATAATGCAGAAAAAGTAAAGGTAAGTTGGCTAAAAGTATAACCTTCCAAGTGTGTCAAAAGTCCTTCAGATCCAGACAGCCAGAAAGTAGGTTAGTTATTACCTAGGGCTGAGGAGGGCCAGGGATGAGGACTGACTGCTAATGAGTACAGGGTTTTTTGGGGGATGATGAAAATGTTCTAAACTTAGATTGTGGTAAGGGCTGCACAACCCTATGGGTATATTCAAAACACTGAACTGTACACTTAAAATGGGTGAATTTTTATGGTATGTGACTTATATCTCAAATATATCTCAGCTACTCAGGAAGGCTGAGGTGGGAGAATCAGGAGAATAGCTTGAACCCAGAAGGCAGCGGTTGCAGTGAGCCGAGATTGCACCATTGCACTCCAGCCTGGGCAACAAGAGCGAAACTCCATCTCAAAAAAAAGAAAAAAAAAAAAAAAGAAATCCCTAGATAAGAGCAGTCCCAAATCCAATTCCCCTGGTGTCTAAAGGACTTAAAACAAAAACAAAAACTTTGGCCCAGCACAGTGGCTCACGCCTGTAATCCCAGCACTGTGGGAGGCCGAGGCAGGTGGATCACCTAAGGTCAAGAGTTCAAGACCAGCCTGGCCAACATGGTGAAACCCCATCTCTACTAAAAATAACAAAAATTAGCCAGGCATGGTGGCGCTCACCTGTAATCCCACCTACTCGGGAGGCTGAGGCAGGAGAATGGCTGGAACCCGGGAGGCAGAGGTTGCAGTGAGCCGAGATCGCACCACTGCACTCTAGTCAGTGCAGTGCAGTATATGTGTGTGTATATATATATATATATGTGTATATATATGTGTATATATGTATATATATGTGTGTATATATGTATATATGTGTGTATATATGTATATGTGTGTGTATGTGTGTGTATATATGTGTATATATGTGTGTGTATATATGTGTATATGTGTGTGTATATGTGTATATATGTGTGTATATGTGTATATACATGTGTGTGTATATATATGCGTATATATATGCGTGTGTATATATGTGTGTGTATGTGTGTGTGTGTATATATATATATATGGGGTTTTTTTGGTGTGTGTGTGTGTGTGTGTGTGTGTGTGTGTGTGTGTGTGTTTTGAGATGGAGTCTTGCTCTGTCACCCAGACTAGAGTGCAGTGGTGCGATCTTGGCTCACTGAAACCTCCGCCTCCCGGGTTGAAGCTATTCTTGTGCCTCAGCCTCCTGGGTAGCTGGGACTAAAGTTGCGAGTCATCACGCCCAGCTAATTTTTTGGATTTTTGGTAGAGACAGGGTCTTGCTATGCTGCCCGGGCTAGTCTTGAACTCCTGGCCTTAAGCGAACCGCCTGCCTTGGCCTCCCAAAGTGCTGGGATTATAGGTATGAGCCACTGTGCCCAGCTCTCAAAGATTTTTTTTTTTTAAGATGGAGTCTCTCTCTGCCCCCCAGGCTGGAGTACAGTGGCACGATCTCAGCTCACTGCAACCTCTGCCTCCCGGGTTCCAGCCATTCTCCTGCCTCAGCCTCCCGAGTAGGTGGGATTACAGGTGAGCGCCACCATGCCTGGCTAATTTTTGTTATTTTTAGTAGAGATGGGGTTTCACCATGTTGGCCAGGCTGGTCTTGAACTCTTGACCTTAGGTGATCCACCTGCCTCGGCCTCCCACAGTGCTGGGATTACAGGCGTGAGCCACTGTGCTGGGCCAAAGTTTTTGTTTTTGTTTTAAGTCCTTTAGACACCAGGGGAATTGGATTTGGGACTGCTCTTATCTAGGGATTTCTTTTTTTTCTTTTTTTTTCTTTTTTTTGAGATGGAGTTTTGCTCTTGTTGCCCAGGCTGGAGTGCAATGGTGCAATCTCGGCTCACTGCAACCGCTGCCTTCTGGGTTCAAGCTATTCTCCTGAGTTCAGGTGATTCTCCCACCTCAGCCTTCCTGAGTAGCTGGGATTACAGGCGTGTGTCACCACACCCAGCTAATTTTGTATTTTTAGTAGAGACTGGGTTTCTCCATGTTGGTCAGGCTGGTCTCGAACTCCCAACCTCAGGTGATCCACTCACCTTGGCCTCCCAAAATGCTGGGATTACAGGCATGAGCCACTGTGCCCGGCCATCTAGGGATTTCTATTCATGTTTCTGGACCCCACACTATCTGATTTGCATCATAAACACTCAGAGATGGCCAGGTGAGGTGGCTCACACCTGTAATTCCAACACTTGAGGAGGTCAAAGCAGGAGGATTATTTGAGGTCAGGAGTTCAAGAACAGCCTGAGCAACATTGTGAGGCCCTACCTCCAGGAAAAAAAAATATATATATTATATAATATATATAATATATATTATATAATATATAATTATATAATATTATATATTTATTATATATAATATATATTATATATTATATATTTATTATATATAATATATATTATATATATTATATATTATATTAATATATAATATATAATATATATTATTATATATATTATATATAATTATATATATATATGCCAGGCACAGTGGCTTACACCTGTAATCCCAGCACTTCGGGAGGCTGAGGCAGGCAGATCACTTGAGGTCAGGAGTTCGAGACCAGCCTGGCCAACGTGGTGAAACTCTGTCTCTACTAAAAATACAAAAAATTAGCCAGGCATGGTGGCATGTGCCTCTAGTCCCAGCTACTCAGGAGACTGAGGCAGAATTGCTTGAACCCAAGAGGCAGAGGTTGCAGTAAGCCGAGATCATGCCACTGTACTCTAGCCTGGGTGACAGAGTGAGATCCTGTTTCTAAAAATAAATAAATATAATAAAAACAAAAACTAAAAATTTAGCAGGCATGGTGGTACACACCTGTAGTCCTAGCTACTTGGGAGACTGTGCCGAGAATATTCCTAGAGCCCAGGGGTTCCAGGCTGCAGTGAGCTATGATTGTGACACTGCACTCCAGCCTGGGTGATAGAACAAAATCCTGTCTCCAAAAATAAAAAATAAACACGGTAACCAAATCCCGTGAGCCCTTGAGATTGCCTTCCTGTCTGTCATGTGCAAAAGGCCACCTCTGTTCATGTGTCCTGTACCTGCATCCAGGTTTTCAAGAAATGCTCATCTGGTCCTAGGTGTGTGGTGGCTGCATCAGGACAGCTTGGCACCTGACCTCTGGGGTCTTTCCCTGCTAGCCTTTCTCATTTTGCAGACTTTTAGTTCTGTGACTCGATGCCAAAACAGTGATCCCCTTGACCACCACTGCAGGACCCCTGCTAAGGGGACAATATTGGAAAAGTATTGGGGAATGCATGACAGGGGACCAGAAGGATGAATAGTCCTGCCTAGGATTCCCCTCCATTCTCAATCCCTGGGGCAGGCAGTTGGGTTCTCACCTCCTTCACCAGATGCCCCTGTTGCCCCCCACCCTAAGAACCCCCTGACACATGGACACAAGACACCCATCCATCTGAGAGATGTTTAATATATCTTAGGTTCAAGGTACAAAACACAGGGCAGGTGCTGATCCCTAGAAAGTCACCTGCCACCCTGTCAGCCCCTGCTTAGCCAGGCATCCCAGCCCCCAGAGCAATGGAGCAGTGGCCCTGAGATGCTGGGTTCCTTCTCTGTTTGGGGAATGTTCAGGTGGTGACATGGCAGCCCAGAGGCCACTATGTCCCCTCCTCAAAAAACCCAGACCCAAGGATCAGAAAGGTCTAGACTTAGACCCAGAGCAGCAGATCCCAGGGTGACCCCAGTTAAGCAACAGGCCTGAACTGAAGCCTGGCCCAGCCTCTTGGCCTTGGTCTTGGAAAAGGAGGAAATATTACCCCAATACCTGGCAGCAAAGGGAAGGGGCTAAAGCAGGAAGTGGAGGCAGAGGTTCCCACTGCCCTAAAAAAATGGACTATGGGTAGCTGACCCAACAGGGCAGCAAAGCCCAAGGGTGAGGCCTGCCCCACCTCCCACCCCAGTTCCTCTAAGGGCCAGCCCCTCACGGAGCCTCACTGCCAGGACACCACTGACCCAGTGCTGGGGAGGGAGTTGGGGCAGGGAAGGCTGGCATCCACTGAAGAATAGGAATGATGCTCTTGCTTTGCGGGCAGGAGCAGCTGCCTATAGAGTCCCCGGGAAAACCCACTAGGGAAGGGGGACCAGCAACCCAAGTCTCTGGGCCTAGCCCGTAGAAGGCCTGGACTGGGTCCTGAGCCAGAGTAGAGGCCTTAATGAAACAGAAAGTGGCAGGGGTTAGGAGCAGGGAGGTGGTGAGAAAGGCCCCTGTGAGGACCAGCTTAGGTGACCCCTCTGACTAGCTCCAAGGAAGCCCAATTACTACTTCAACCCAGGCCCTTCTGGCCCCATGTCAAGTTTCGAGGGCTCTACCCATCACCCAGGGAGCACTTCCCACAGGGATTCCACCTCCTGCTCCTCCCCGAGGCCTTGAGCTACAGCCGGCTGCCTCTGTTGAACTGGATGCACCAGTGGGAGGTAGCGGTGCCTGGGCTGAGATGGGTGTGGTCCTTGTGGCCCATGAGGGGCTGCAGCTCCTGCTGCTGGGGGAGGTCAGCGCTGCTCTCACTGCGAGAGCGGCCAGCCTTGGCCAGGCTCGGTGGGAAGGCGAAGCTAGAGCGTGGATCAGAAGGTAGGTGGAGAGGGACCTGGGGCTCTTCAGTGCCCCGTGGATGGGGAGGCAGGCAGGTCAGAATTGGGGCCTGGTTACAGGGAGGGGACGCTAGGCTCTCCAGGGATGAGATGCTCTGGTTCCAACCCGTCTGCATGTCCACAGGCACAATCTTGGTGGTTTCCGAGGACACGTACACTGCCAGGTCCCCCTGCCCACTCTTCCAGGGGAGCTCCTTTTCTGCACAGGTTGGGGAGGGGGGAATGATTCGTGGGCTTGGGCACACCTCAAGGCTTCCTGGGGACAGAGAGTACACATGAACTCATTACCAATACAGTGGAAATCTCAAGTATAAGCACATTCTTATAAATTCATGCCACAGTTTCCATATGCCGTCCATTTTTGCGATTATCGGATGAATGTCTTGCTGAGGCGAAGTACCACAGCTTGTTTTACTCTCCACTCTATCCCCAACACCTAGCACAGGGCCGGGCACACAGTAGTTGCTCAAGAAATTGAACATTATTTTCATCAAAGAAACGAAAATAAGGAAAGTTGGCTTATGGCTCATGCCGTAATCCCAGCACTTTGGGAGGCCAAGGTGGTGGATCACCTGAGCTCAGGAGTTAGTGACCAGCCTGGCCAACATGATGAAACCCTGTCTCTACTAAAAATACAAAAATTAGCCAAGCACAGTGGCACACGCCTGTAATCCCAGGTACTCGGGAGGCTGAGGCAAGAGAATCACTTGAACCCGGGAGGCAGAGGTTGCAATGAGCCGAGATCTCGCCACTGCACTCCAGCCTGGGTGAAAGAGTGAGACTCTATATAAAAAATAAATAAAAATAAAAAATAAGAAGATAGCAAAAGCAGGAGCCAGGCAGGAAGCCCCATCTCCAGTCCCCTCACCCTACTGCAGCACTGGTCTCTGAAACAGCCTCCTGCCAAGCCCCATCCCAGCCAACCAGCGAGGGAGAAACGCCAGCCACCAGAGAGGGAAAGAAAGACCTGGAGGCTACAGGCCAAAGGTTTTTCTGCTGAGCATCCTGCCTGAGTACCCACCACAGCCCTTTGGTGGGACAAAGCCCAGGAGTGTGAGCTCATGCAAACCTAACAGCAGGCCAGAGCTTTGCCGCAAAGGGGATGACGAGGCATAGGGGACCTGAGCTAAGAATCCCAGAACTGCAGGGGCGGGGCTGAATTACAGGAAATCTGAGGTTCTGAAGGAGGAAACCTGGAAAGAGAATTCCTCTGGCCACCAACCACCCCAGCTCTCCAAAGTACAGTACAGCCTGTATCTGTTCATCGATAAAGTCCTGAGCAGCCCAATAAGCTTCTGTTTGAGTACATGTGTGAAATGTATTGATGCTATGATTAAAAGTAAAATGGTATCTCTTGAAAGACCTGGAATATTAAAATGCGATAACAACAACAAAAAGTGTAAAACAAAAAACCTTTGGTATTCACCTTTACAGGCTGCTAGGGAATGAATTCTTTGGTCTGAAAACTGATAAATGAAAGAATCAAGCATTTACTGGGTGAACTGTACCTCAAAGTAACCAAATAATTGATGAGGCGAGGTTTTTTGTTTTTTTGTTTGTTTGAGATGGAGTCTTGCTCTGTCACCTAGGCTAGAGTGTAGAGGCACGATCTCAGCTCACTGCAGTCTCCACCTCTCAGGTTCAAGCTATTCTCCCATCTCAGCCTCCAGAGTAGCTGGGATTACAGGTGCCCACCACCATGCCTAGCTAATTTTTTTTTTTTCGTATTTTTAGTAGAGACAGGTTTTCACCATGTTGGCCAGACTGGTCTCAAACTCCTGACCTCAGGTGATCTGCACACCTTGGCCTCCCGAAGTGCTGGAATTATAGGTGTGAGCCACTGCCTGTGGATTTACTGGTTTAAAGGAAATTTAAGAGACAGAGAAACATATTAAATGACACTTTGGGGATGCAACCAACAAAATCCAGACAGAGAAAGACTGTAGGACAAATAAGCAGGTTTCTTCAGTAAATACATCGTGAAGAAAAAAAAGTAGGGGGTTTGGGGGAAACTATGGATCAGGGTTTATCAAAGTTGACACTTGACATTTTGGGACAGCTACTCCTTTGCTGGTGAGGGTTGTCCTGTTCATTGTAGGATGTTTAGCAGCATCCCTGGCCTCTACCCCTCCATCCAAGGCCATCCTCCCCAGTTGTGACAACCAAAAATGTCTCTGGGCATTGCCAAATGTCCCCTGGGGGAGCAAAATCACTCCACCACCATCCCCCTGGAGAATCACTGCTATAGGTTAAAAGGGACATTGGACAAGCCTACTGTAAAAATATATATATATATATATATATATATATATATATATATATATATATATATATAATCAGGGAAATTTGAACGATGTTTGATGACAGATTTTTAGATATGGGAAAGGCATTGTGGTTACATATTTTTTAAAGAATCCTTTTTTCTTCCCCAAGAGACAGAGTGTTGTTCTGTTGCCCAGGCTGGAGTGTAGTGGCGTGATCATAGCTCACTGCAGCCTCAGCCTCCTGGGGTCAATTGACTAGAGGCATGCATCAGGAATCCTTATCTGAGGCCGGGTGGAGTGGCTTGAGCCCAAGAGGTTGAGGAAGCAGTGAGTCATGATCCGGCCACTGCACTCTTGCTTGGGTGTCAAAGAGAGATCCTAACTCAAAAAAAAAAAAAAAAAAATCCTTATCTGGCTGGGCATGGTAGTTCACGCCTTTCATCTCATCACTTTAGGAGGCTGAGAAGTAAAGATCACTTGAGCTCAGGACTTTAAGACTAGCCTGGGCAACATAACAAGGCCTCATCTCTACCAGAAAAAAAAAAAAAAAAAAGGCTGGGCATGATGGTGTGTGCCTGTAGTCCCAGCTACTCGGGAGGCTAAGGCAAAAGGACTGCTTAAGTCGGGGCATTCAAGGCTGCAGTGAGCTATGATCGCACCACTGCACTCCAGCCTGGGTGACAGAGAGAGACCATCTTGAAAGAAAAAAAAAGAATCCTTATATTTTAGAGACATGTACTGAAGTATTTATTGATAAAGTGATATGATATTTGAGACTTGCATCAAAGGAACCCAGTGGAGGGTGGGGCATAGGTGAGGTTTAGGTGAAATAAGATTGGCTATGAGTAGGTAATTATTGAAGCTGGATAATGGATAGATGGGAGTTTATTTTATAGTTCTATCATTGTATATTTTGAAATTTTCTATAATAAAAAATGTTTAAAGACACTTGAGGGTGCCAACCACCAGTGATACTAACAATATGAGTGAATTAGGTCTCTATACATACAGAAAAATGCTTATATACTGTATTTTTGTCCACAATAACTCCATTTTGATGAATTCAGGCTGCTCCTCCAGGTCAGGCTGCCACCTTCACCTGGGGATCTACTTGAGGGCATGGGTCTCAACAGAGCCCATGGTTTGCTCACCACCTCCTATTCCTCACTAGACTACAAAGGGAGGCAGCATGGCCTTGAAAGGGTGTGGGTGGGCACGGTGGCTGACACCTGCAATCCCAGCATTTTGGGAGGCCAAGGAGGGAAGACTGCCAGGAGTTTGAGACCAGCCTGGGCAACACAGTGAAACCTCATCTCTACAAACAATTTTTAAAAATCAGCTGGGTGCTGAGCACGGTGGCTCATGCCTGTAATCCCAGCACTTTGGGAGGCCGAGGAGGGCAGATCACCTGAGGTCAGGAGTTCGAAACCAGCCTGACCAACATGGAGACACCCCATCTCTACTAAAAATACAAAATTAGCTGGGTGTGGTGGCGCATGCCTGTAATCCCAGCTACTCGGGAGGCGGAGGCAGAAGAATCACTTGAACCCGAGAGGCAGAGGTTGCCATGACCTGAGTCACACCATTACACTCCAGCCTGGGCAACAAGAGCAAAACCCCGTAGCAAAAAAAAAAAAAAAAAAAAAAACAACAGCTGGGTGTGCTAGTGCACACCGGTAGTCCCAACTACTCGGGAAGCTGAGGTGGGAGGATCACTTGAGCCCTGGAGATCAAGGCTGCAGTGAGCCATGATCATGCCATTGTGCAATCCATGATCCAGCCTGGGTGACAGAGTGAGATCCTGTCTCAAAAAAAAAAAAGAAAAAGAAAAAAAAGATTATAGCAATGCAAGAATGGCATTTAAAAAAAAAAAAAAAAAGAAAAGAATAGGCCGGGCATGGTGGCTCACGCCTGTAATCCCAGCACTTTGGGAGACCAAGGTGGGTGGATCACCTGAGGTCAGGAGTTCAAGACCAGCCTGGCCAACATGGTGAAACCCCATCTCCACTAAAAATATGAAAATTAGCCAGGCGTGGGGGTGCACGTCTGTAATCCCAGCTACTAGGGAGGCTGAGGCAGGAGAATTGCTTGAACCCGGGAGCCAGAGGTTGCAGTGAGCTGAGATCGCACCACTGCACTCCAGCCTGGATGACAAGAGCAAAACTCTGTCTCAAATAAAATAAAATAAATTTAAAAATTAAAAAAAGAAAGGCTGTGGGCTTGGGAGTCAGATGAGTCAGGTTCAAATTCTGGTTCTACTATGTGATGCTGGACAAGTCACAAGTCTCTTAAGCTCTCTAAGCTCAGTTTCCCCATCTTGGTTGTTGTGAGGGTTGAATATTACCTATGTCGGGCATCTGGTATGAAGAAGAGGCTCTGCAAATGCTGGCTGATGAATAAACTAGTGAATAGGAAAAGGGAGTTGTCTGGAGTAGAGGCCATGAGTGAAGAGAGAGGAAACCAGCTTGCTCCAGAGGGGAGGTGGGCAGGGAGGAAGCCATTACCTGAGACCTTGCCCTCTTGGAGAACCTCACTGGTGGCACGAGCCACAAAGATGATCCCCTCATCGTCCTCCTTCTCTGTCTCTGAACTGTCGCTCTCCTCCTCCTCCTCCTCAGACTCCACGGTTAATATCACAGCAGCTGGACAGAGACAAGAGCAGAGTCAGGCATCCTGGGCTGGCAGCTGCCTGTTGGGACTACACAGCCCCAAGCCAGCTCCCTGTCTCCCTAGGCAGAACACACGTTGGCAGAGACACTTGCTTTCTCCTCTGGCTGTTTCAAGCACTGGCCTAAGAGGTGGGGACTTGGGAGGAAGAGAACTGACATTGCGGAGCCCAAGGAAGCGACCAGAGGAAGCTAAGTCCCCGGAGGAAGTCATGAGGACCACACTTTCCAGCTCCCCCATCCTCTTCTTTCAGCCCCAAATCCCACGATCCACTGGAAACATGAGCACTTGGATTGCTGGAAGGCCCATTAACATTCAGCTCATACAAAACTGGCTTTGCAGCCAGGTGCGGTGGCTCACACCTGTAATCCCAACACTTTGGGAAGCTGAGGCAGGCGGATCACCTGAGGTTAGGCATTCAAGACCAGCCAGGCCAACAATGCGAAACCCTGTCTCTACCAAAAATACAAAAAAAAATTAGCCAGGTGTGGTGGCGTGCACATGTAATCCCAG
Source organism: Homo sapiens (assembly GCF_000001405.40). NCBI lineage: Eukaryota > Metazoa > Chordata > Mammalia > Primates > Hominidae > Homo > Homo sapiens. The sequence goes on along the minus strand of NC_000016.10, from coordinate 67,265,549 downwards.
CTACTTGGGAGGCTGAGGCAGAAGAATCACTTGAACCCAGGAGGCAGAGGTTGCAGTGAGCCGAGATGGCACCACTGCACTCTAGCTTGTCAGAGTGAGACTCTGTCTCAAAAAAACAAAACAAAATTGGCTTTGCAGACAGGACACTGGGCCCCAGAGTCCACCCATCCTCCAAGGCCCAGACCAAACTCCCCCATCTCCATGACACATTTTCCAAGTCCTCGGGGCCTGTAACCCATAGTTAGCAATCAGATGCCTCCTGTCACGCATTGTCTAATAACTGCTTTGAACATTTCCAACTTGGAAATCAAGTCCCTGGAGGAAGAGCCCCAGGTCACGGTGCTGAATGCACCCTACAGCGGGTCCTCCAGGATTCTGGCTGGCAAGCCCCAGCCCTTTCCCTCCTCCCTCCCATCCTCAATCCCACACTGCTCCCTGCTTGCCTGTGTCCTGAAAGCCCAGGCCTCGATGTTTCCCATTTGTAGCCTCAGCATTCGCCACACCATCCTTCTGAGGACCAAGAAAGAAAACCTGAGCCTCTGGCCCCGGCTTCCCACCCCAACCCTGTCATCTGGTGGGGTCAACAGGACAAGTTTTCCTAACCCAGCAGGGGAGGGAATTTATGTCAGTCCCAGTGGTTCTACCATCCCTTGGCCAACCAGGCAAGAGTGACCCATGCCCCAGTAAGAAATCTGGATGCATCAGCGTGGGCTGACTTAGGAGCTCATGGAGTTGCCCCTCAAAGGAATCTCCTTTTCTCCTGCCTTTTTCATCTTTGGTAGGCGGCCCTGCTGCCTCCCAGCAGGTGACCACATGGCCAAGAGGCTGCTCCCCCTCTGAAGGTCTCACCTTACCCTTCTGGGACTCCAGGAACATCTAAAAGGGAACCCAAACTGCTGTAGTCATCAAGCCCCTGAGGACTGTCCCAACTGGGGTTCCCCCTAAGCTGGATCCTAACACTAGGGGGCTCAAAACTGCTTGCTGTCAGCCTCCAGCTCCCAAGAGGAGTCCCTGAGGGAAGACATGCCTTCCTGCGGCCAGTCTTGCGGGGTCGTGGCTTGCTCTTGGTGAAGCAGATGTTGTGCTTGGTGGACTTAAAGGACTCCAGCCGCCGCTTCATGTTCTGCTGGAAGACCTCCTTGTCCTGCCGCTCCTGCGCATCCTCTGAGATGAAGTGGCGACTGCAGCTGGCTTTGTACTGGCAATGACAGCCCCGCCTGGCTATGAGGATGGATGCCTTGGCCTCCCACAAGAACCCCAGGCCACAGCCCCAACATATTCACCACAGGACCTGCCAGCCCAGCTTTTCCAGAATTAACAATGGATTGAAAAACAAAACAAAAAATACAACAGGAACCCAGCCAGAGACCCTGTGTTCTCAGTTCCCTGGGAAAAGCTTCCCTTTATCCCAGAACTTATTCCCCCAAACCTGGCCTTCCCCAACCCTTGCCATCCTTTCCCGATTCTCTCTGGTTTGAAGGTGACCCTCTGTCTTGTTCTACTACTGTGACAACATGGGGGACATTTTCTTTGTACCTCCATTTATCTGAGCTTCGCCCACACACCCAGCCTACCTGCCCCCTTCTAGCTACACAGGATCCTTTCTCCAGCTGGAATCTCCTATCTAGCCATTTCTACAAGAACCACCATGATATCCTGGGCTGCACTTTGAACTTTCATAACTATCTCCCCTGACACCCTGGACCTTCTCAGTCCCAATAATTCAGGATCACCCCCATCATCTGCTTTTTTTTTTCTTTTTTTTGAGACGGAGTTTTGCTCTTGTCACCCAGGCTGGAGTGCAATGGCACGATCTCTGCTCACTGCAACCCCCGCCTCTGGGGTTCAAGCAATTCTCCTGCCTCAGCCTCCCGAGTAGCTGGGATTACAGGTGCCTGCCATCACACCCGGCCAATTTTTGTATTTTTAGTAGAGACAGGGTTTCACCATGTTGCCAGGCTAGTCTCGAACTCCTGACCTCAAGTGATCTGCCTGCCTTGGCCTCCCAAAGTCCTGGGATTACAGGCATGAGCCACTGCGCCTGGCCATGCTCTTTTTAACTCTTATCAACACCAAGCCCGCTACACACTCACCTAGACTGCCTCTGCCTCTACCCTCCTTGCTTAGCACCTTTTCATCATCTAGTGGTAATCCCCTGAAATGCTTCCCAGTGCCTGCCAAATCATCTTATCTTGCCTCAAATCCCAAGTCTGGTCCCTTTATCTCATATTTTCTGCTTCCCTGAACCAGTTCTAAGAGCCCCCTTCAAGTCTTCCATCTGCCCTCCTCATCTACCTATGCACCAGGAGGTACCCTCTCTCCTGGGGAGAAGGGGTCCATCTCCTTCACAAGGCTCATTGCTGCCCAGCCCCGGCCTCCACATTGCTCAGTTCCCTCCTTCCTGCCTCCAGCAGTTCCTGCTGCCTCCTATTCCTCCACTCTCCTGTATCTTCACTCCTTACCTCACCACTTGGCTCCCTCCCCTCTGTTTTCAAGCTCCTGCCCTTGCCTCCTTAAAGAAAGTCTTCCCTTGAACACCATTGTCTCCCTTTTGCTGCTACACTTTTATAATTTGATTCTGACACTTTCTCTCCTACCCACTATTTCCTTAAAAACCAGAAATGCAACTCCAGGGTCCACAACTCCACAGTGCTGCCTTCTTGCTGGTCACCAGTGCTGTGGGCTCTGCCTAGGTGCTGGCCAGGCCTCTGCGCAGCATCCAGCCCTCTTTCTGCCCCAGGCCTGAGGCACCACCTGCCACTGCTTCTCCAAGGGTTCCTTGTCTTTGGCTCTCTTTCCTTTTCTCCCATGCGCACTCCTCAGTGTTATCCTTAGCCCTCCTCCCGCCCCATGAAACACTCTCCTCAGAGAACTTATCCATTCTCTCTGCCCCAGCTATCCCAGTGATACAGATCTGTGGTCCCCCAACATCAGTCATCAGACCAGCTGCATTTGAATCACCTGGGGAACTTAGTAAGAACACAGATTCTTAGTCCCACTCCAGACTACAGAATCAGAATCTCCAGGTGAAGCCAGGAAGTTCCCCAGGGGATTCTGTGGTAGCCAGGTGACAAAACCTGATACAGATTGCTTCCAAATTTCTCTCCAGCCCTTATCTCTCTATTAAACTATAATCTTATCTTTCTAACTGAAAACTAGATATCTCTGTCTCTCTCTAATGATATTTCGATGAAGAACATGAGAAATTGTGGATTGTGTTATCATACTAAGTGGATTCAGAACTGGTTGAGTTACCATACCCCAAAAATGCTTGATCCATGTCAGTCTGGAGGAAAGTCTTTAGTAGCATGCCACAGGGCTCTGTCCTCAGCTCTATCCTGTTCAACATGTTTATGTGGATTTGGATGAATACAAAGTTAACAGGCTTAACAAATTTTCAGATGATATGAATCTAAGAAGGAGACATTTGGTGGCAGACATGGGAACCAAACAATGGGATGATGGGCTAAAGCAAATAAGATGACATTTAACAGGATACACACAAACTTATTCCAGATTTTTAAAAAACAGACTACACATGAACCGATTGGACTGAACCCATTGACCAATCTTATACATAAACACCACATACACACACACACACACACACACACACACACACCTCACCAAATCATTATGTACTTCCTGATGTGACACCACAGAAAATATATAGCATACCTATTGAATGTCCCTGAATTTGATCAGGCCTCTAGATTTAACAACCAGGAAATATAGGGAACGGAGGAACATGTTAAACAACACCACTGGAATACAGTCAGCAAAATCTAGAAAATGTGCAATTCTCCAAGAGAAAGTATCCAGCTTCTTCAATAAATAAATAGCAAGGGAGATAGAGAGGGGAAAAAGAACTATTATAGATTTTTTTAAATGAAGAGACATATTTCCCAAATGCTAAGTGTGGACTTATTTAGACCCTGATTTGAACATCCAGCGGGGAAAAGATATTTATTGAATACTGACTGGATGTAAGAGTTCTTGCCACCTAGAGAGACATACTGAAATATTTTGAGATGATGTGATACGATGTCTGGAGTTTGTTTTAAGATAAAGTGTGGGAGGGATGTGGTAGGGCTGCAGAATGTAATAGAATTGATCATGCACTGATTTTTCAGTGCTGGTTGATAGATAAATATGAGTTATTTTATTCGTTCTACTGGAATTTTGAATAAGAAAGGTTTTTTAAAAACCCCATAGGATGCAGTGAGACAGGGTCTGCCAGCCATTAACTGAGGAAGACCTGGGAGTTTAGCAGATTCTAAGGACAATGTGGGGCCCCAGGGTGGTGAGCCAAGGCTGGAGGGATCTTGGGCTGTGGGAAGAGAAATAGCAAGTTCTAGAACTAGAATGGTGTCAGAGCTTCTAGGCCCTTCCCTGGCCAGCCACAGCTAGAGTAGCAACTTCCATTCTGGGCGCTGTTTTTTTAAGTCCAGAGAAGACATACCAGGAGGTAAGAGATTCTGGCCTGAGGGCAAGAGAGCCTGTGTGAAAGGGAACTGTCTTGAAATTTTGGAAGATGTATTCTGCAGAGCTGCGAAGAGTCAAATCAGGACCAGTGGGTGCAAGTTAAAGGAGGCCAATTCTGTTTCAACAGTAGAAAGAGCTTTGACTGTTGAAACTGCCAGAACTGGTGACAGCTGGCTTCCCATTTTAGAAAGGTGCAAGGTAATGGCTTGCTGCCCTCTTGTGGGGTTGCAACAGACTCTCTCCTGGATGAGCTGGGCCTTTCCAGACGCAAAGCTTCATGATCTGCATTGGACTAACTTCCATTATTTAAAACAGATGCCCACCTTCCACAGGCTAAGCTGGTCTAGGAGGCTTCCTCAGTGCTCTTGCTTCTGTCTGTGACTCCATCATTCTCCAGTGACCCTCAAGGCCCCCAGTACTCTGTCTCCTCCTCCTCTCACCATCAGAGCCAATCACCTAGGCCTACGTGCCCCTCTTCTTTCCCACCGCTCAGCCCTAATCCACAATATTTCACTCCATCTTCCCAACTGGCTGTCCCAGCTTCTCAACTCACCCCCTCCAATTTGATCTGCACTCTGCTACCAGAGAAGGTATCCTTAAACAGTGCTTGTATTAGGTCAACCCTTTCTCCAAAAAATAAAAACAAAGCAGAGGTTTCTTATTACTGATGAGATAAAACCCACACTCTTTTTTTTTTTTTTTTTTTTTTTGAGATGGAGTCTTGCTCTGTTACCCAGGCTGGAGTGCAGTGGTGAGACCTCAGCTCATTGCAACCTCTGCCTCCCGGGTTCAAGCGATTTTCCTGCTTCAGCCTCCCGAGTAGCTGGGATTACAGGCATGTGCCACCGCACCCAGCTAATTTTTGTATTTTTAGTAGAGATGGGGTTTCATTTTTACCATGTTGGCCAGGCTGGTCTCAAACTCCTGACCTCAAGTGATCCGCCTGTCTTGGCCTCCCAAAGTGCTGAGATTACAGGCATGAGCCATCGCACCCGGCTGAAACCCACACTCTTTAGCTGGGCATCTGCAGCTCTCCAACAAGCTGGCGCCAACTGCCTCTTAAGCTCTCCTCAGACCACCTCCACCCCCTCAAAATCCTGATGCCTGCCTGCTCTCACCCTACGGCGCGGCTTGTAGAGGCCTCCGCAGAGCAGATGATGCATCACAGCATCCTCACGATCCCGGCCGCTGCGTACTGTGTCAATCACCTGCAGATCCAGACACGCTCCACTGCCACTCTCCCTCCTGCAGGAGGCAGGGGACACATGTGCTGGAGAGGGGGCAGGAGGCAGTCCAGGAGAAGGGCAGATGAAAAGGTGCTGACAAATCTCCCCCAGAAGGGACTCAGAGAGAGGGCACAATGGAGAGGAGTATGAGGAAGGGGAAGGGGCTCAAGGACTCACAGCAGGTTGGTGACAGAAGTTTCTGCCACAGAATTGCGGCTGGGCATAGAAGGCAGAGTGAGACCTGTGGAAGACAAGACGTGGCCTCCCTGCAGGTGTCAAGACCAAGGTCAGCCAGCAATCAGATGGAGGGTTGCCCAGGAGTCAGGGGTAATAAAGAAAATAATAATAACGAACACTTAGTTTACTCTTTTGACATGCCAGGTACTCTGCTAGGCACTTTACATATCGAATTCACAAAATCTATAACATAGGTACTTGTATGCCTGCTTTCTATTTTTTTTTTTTTTTTTTTTTTTTGAGACAGAGTCACTCTATCACCCAAGCTGGAGTGCAGTGACACGATCTCGGCTCATTGCAACCTCTGGTTCCCGGATTTTTTTTTTTTTTTTTTTGAGACACAGTCTTGCTCTGTCACATAGGCTGGAGTGCAATGGTACAATCTCAGCTCACTGCAACCTCACTGCAAACTCCACCAGGGTTCAAGCGATTCTCCTGCCGCAGCCTCCCAAGTAGCTGGGTCTACAGGTGCCCACCACCACGCCTGGCTAGTTTTTGTATTTTTAGTAGAGACGGGGTTTCACTATGTTGGCCAGGCCGGTTTCGAACTCCTGACCTCATGATCCACCCGCCTTGGCCCCCCAAAGTGCTGGGATTACAGGTGTGAGCCACCGTGCCCAGCCCGCTTCCCAGATTTTAGCGATTCTCCTGCCTCAGCCTCCAGAGTAGTTGGGATTACAGGCATGCACCACCATGCCTGGCTAGTTTTTGTATTTTTAGTAGAGACAGGGTTTCACCATGTTGGCCAGGCTGGTCTCAAACTCCTCACCTCAAGTGATCTACCCACCTCAGGCTCCCACAGTGCTGGGATTACAGGCGTGAGCCACCGTGCCCAGCCTCTTATGCCTGCTTTCTTACAGCTAAGGAAACAGGCTCAGAGAGTGTGCTTACCCAAGGTCACAAGCTTGGAAGTGATAATGGTTGAGCTGACCCCAGAGTCCAGCTGTTTCCCACCTCTCTGGACTGCCTGCCAGACTCTGAATGTCAGCACCAGACCCAGCTGCTTCCTGCCGCTGCCACTTCACCAGACCATGGAGCCAGCTAGGAATTCCCAACTCCCTGCTCAGGGCCAGCCTGCTTGCCACCCCTTTCTGTCCTGCTCTGCTGACCATCTGCCCACCCACCACTGGCCCACCTGGAAGCTGCTGGCCCACCTGGTCCACAAAGCTGATGGCATCCCGGATGTTAAGCCTGTAGTACACATCCCAGATCTGGTCCCGGATGCGGTAGGCTGATCGTCGCATCAGCAGCTGACTCAGGTATTTCTTGTCAAACTGCTCCCACCTACAGAGGATGCCAGGCCCGGCCCTGAGTCCCATTCCCAAGGCCTGGCCAGGTGGCCCTTCCTCAGACGGGGCAAGGACACCGTCAGCACTGGCCTGGCTTTTTAGATATGGGCCTCAGCCAGAGAGAATCTCAAGGCTAGTCCCTGCCCTCATGGAATTTACAATGTCATGGGAAAGGCTGACAGTAACTGAAATTATTACAAATCACTGTAAAATTGCAACCATGACAAGAACTACAAAGGATAATTAGAGAATATGACACAGATACGTCCTAGCCAGGGAGGCCAGGGAAGTCCTCCCTAAGGAATTGAAGCCTATGGTGAGTTGTGAAGGATGAATCGAAGCTGAGTAAGTGAGAGGGAGGTGAAGGAGTGTTCTAGTACAGAGAAGGTCCCAGTGGCCAGGCTGGGGGAGCATGGTGGGTCCTGAGGATCTAAGACAGGGTCCATGGAATTAGCAGGCAGACAGTCAAAGACAGAGCAGAGCATGATGAGGCTGGAGTCTGGCAGTTGCCAAACCATGCAGGGCCAAGCAGGCCACACTGGGGAGCCTTGTCTTAACCTGAGAGCACTGGGATGCCACTGAAGGGCTTCAGGCAGAGGTCACCCAGCCTGAACCTGGCTCTGTCCCTTCTCAGAAGTGTGGCACATCCCCCATGCTTCCCTGGCTGGTGGGGCTGCTGCTGCTGAAGGAGCCTCGGGGCAGCTCCCTCACCTGTCCCTCCAGTAGTGGTAGCCATGGTGCCCCACAACGTCCTCCACTGCAGCCAGAATGTGGTCAAAAGTCTAGAAGGGGGGTGGGTAGGGGGACTGGATCAGGACTCTGCCCAAAATAGGAGAAGGTCGAGAGGGACAGGCGAGGGCTGGGGTTCTGATACCCACGTGTTCATGCAGCTCCTGGTTCAGGGTGGGTTTGTGATGCTCACTCCTCTTCACCTTCAGCCATTTGACCAGTGGCTTGATGGTCAAGCCCTATGGACAGGCAGGAGGTGAGCCCTGCCCTATTCCTATTCAGTTCCCTGCTGCCTTTCTCTCCCCGTAATGAGGCTTCAGCTTCAGTACCCCTACCCCACTGCACTCAAGGTCTGGGAAGTCAGGGCCCTCCATCTCCCAGCGGGAAGAGAAGCCCCTGTCCCACAGGCTCCAAGACTCCCCCAGGGCCTGCCCAACCCTCTCCCTACCCAGCCTTGTGGGCACTCCCACCTGCACGATGACTGTGAAGAAGACCACTACAATAGTGGTGGCTACAAAGTAGTCCTTGGCAGGGACCTTGGTCCTATCCAGTAGGATGACGAGAGCAAAGGCCACAGCCCCCCGCAGGCCCCCATAGGACATCACCACTTGGTCAATCTTGTCCAGAGGGACTAGCCGGAACTGATTCAGCACCCAGGTCTGCAGGACTACGCCTACAGCGGGAGGGAGGCCAGTGGGAGCAAAGCGTTGGGAGTGGAGGACGTGGGACCGGATGGGACCAAGTATCTGGGCTGAGGTCTAACAGGGGCTGGGACAGGTGAGCAACAAGAGGAGGCTTAGGAATTGACAAAGATGTGGACTCAGATAGGGAGATGAGCTGCAGGGAGGGGCGGGACAGGAAGGAGAGTGGGAAAGCAGAGGGTGCCAGCAATACCGAGGGCTCGGAAGAACAGGATGAAGATGAGGGTGCCCAGCACCAGCCCAGAATCCCAGGCCCACTTAGAAGAGTCCACGGCTGAGATGCCAAGCAGCATGAAGATCACGGTCTCAGCACAGCTGGCTAGAGTCTTCATTGTATATTTGACAGTTGTGCGTGACTTATGGGAGATGTTGGCCTCCACGTACTTCTTACAGCCCAGGCCACACATGGTCACCCTGGGAGAGGATGGAGAGACATGGCAAGTGGGGAAGGGTTCCAGGGGGCTCAGCCTCCAGGGTTTGAGCATACTGCAGGAGGGGGCATTGCCCATTACAGGATGTCAGACTCTCAGAGCTGAAGCCCAGGGAGGCCTGAAGACTTGAATGGTAGTGCTGGGCTAAGAGTCCAGATCTCCAGGCTTCCCATTCAGTGTCTCCTGGAAGGGAAGGTGGAAGGAACGTGCTCTGACTAGCGGGCTCTCTAATGCACCTTCTGGAGTGCTGCGGCCTCCAGAGCTGGTGGCCCCAGGCCTTAAAGTCTACTTCCAGCCCAGCCTACACCCAGAGGGTTTCAGGGTGCTGAGGACAGCTCTGGGGGCAGCTCCTGAAATATTGCTGAGGTTTACTGACTCCCCAGGACAGTCTGAGGCTCCCACTACCACAAGGGCTCAGGGAAACCTATGGACTCCTGAAGTTCCTGCCTGTGTCCCTATGAGGGGCAACCATCTCCAGTGCCCCCTCCCAGCTATCTGCCTGCAAGGCCCCCAGAACTCACGCAAGAATGGCGGAGAGCGAGGCCATTTCAGCAGTGAGGTAGGCTGCGTAGGCGAGGAGGAAGACCAGCAGCGGCTCGATGATGCGGACCCGCTTGGTGAAGCGTGTGGTCAGGGCCAGGAGGAAGGCAAAGACTAAGCCCACGGCTGCCCCGCCCAGACTGACCACAAACAGGGAGGCTGGGGGAGGAGTGGGTTGTCAGCATGACCCCTGGCCCGGACCCTACCCGGGCTGACAAGACTGCTGCCTGGCAGGGAGTGAGGGATGATGCCCACCGCACTCCCAGGGGCTCAAAACCCCAGAGCCAGGATCCCTGGCAAGCCCCTCCCAGACCCCATTTCTCTATAGAGGAGATGAGGCAACCCGAATAGCCTCTTCTGTCCTGATGCGGGGTGGGAGGGCCTCAGCAACCCAGGGGAGGCAGACCTCCAATGCCAGCTGGGAGCGGGGAAATACTGACCGACTCCCTTCAGGTAGTCAGTGGCCTGCACATTGGCAGAGCCCATCTCCACAAAGGAGTTGCAGACCTTGTACAGCACCTGAGCGAGAAGAGGAGAGTCAGCAGTGAGGCGGGAAGGCAGCAACTGGGACTGCTGGGAGACAGACTGCTGGGAGAGCAGGGTGAAAGCAGACAGCATATTTCTGCCCCAGGGGACCCAAGGGAAGGGACTGAGTCTGCGCAGACCCCTAGTTGGTCAGAGCATGCAGCCTGGGGTCAGGGAATGGCAGTCAGCTGAGCACGCTCACCACGGTGACAGCATCGTTGAGCAGGGACTCGCCAAAGACGATGATAAAGAGAGTCTCATTGACGTGCACCTCCTCAAAGACAGCTAGCACGGCCACGGGGTCCACCGCCGAGATGAGGCTCCCAAACAGCAGGAAGTCCAGTAAGCCAGCCTGCACCCTAGGGGCTATTAAGGGACATGTGTAGGACAGGCCAGTCATTGAAGACGACCCAGTCTCCTGGAGCACGCCCTGGAACAAGCCCAGGCCCCACCCCTGCTGATAACAGCAAGGAAGCCCAAAGAGGACTTGGGATGGCAAAGACAGCATTAGCCTGCAGATCAGGAGACTTCAGTCAAGCTACCTATGCCTAAGGTCTGGCTTTGCCACTTACCAACTGTGTGATGCTGGTCCGTCACTGTCATGTGGCTCACCTTAGCCATGCCTCCTCATCTGCCTGCCTCACAAGATTGTTTCAAAACTCAACCCAGCCATTTGGAATAGGGAAAAAGCCCAGGTACAGTGACTCATGCCTGTAATCCCAGCACTTTGGGAGGCCGAGGTGGGCTGGATCACCTGAGGTCAGGAGTTCAAGACCAGCCTGGCCAACATGGTGAAACCCTGTCTCTACTAAAAATACAAAAAGTAGCCAGGCGCAGTGGTGCAGGCCTGTAATCCCAGCTACTTGGGAGGCTGAGGCAGGAGAATCACTTGAACCAGGGAGGCGGAGGCCGCAGTGAGCCGAGATTGTGCCACTGCACTCCAGCCTGGGTGACACAGTGAGACTCAGTCTCAAAAAATAATAATAAATAAAATAAAATAGGGAAAAAGCACTGTAGCAACAGTAATAATAACTACCAGCAAATGGAAATTGGCTGCTAACTATTTTTATTAGGGGGAATAACAAAAGAGAGTGCTTTCTCCCACACCTGTGGTTCCCGGCCAAAGGGATGTGACACAATTCTCAGCAGGTGTGGAGAACTGAATATAGTAAGAAAAGCAACACAGATCGGACTTGAATATGTCATATAATTTCTATGAGCCCCAGTTTCCCCATGTCTAAATTGAGACTAATAACAATATCTACCTCAAAAAGTTCCTTAGCCAATGCCTAACATATAGTAAGCACCCAAAAGATATTATTATCTATTACTGTTATTATGATCTGATGTCCTCCCTTCCCTTCCTGCCCCAAATAGTTCACTACCTCAATAGGGAAACCAGGTTAGAGTCCCAGGTAGCAATTGTAAACGTTTTCTTGTAATACCTTGGAAAAAGTGTGAATCATTAACCTTCAGGGTTGAATGAATTTCTTGGGTTAGGAAATAAAGAAGGTAGCAAGAGAGGGCAACCTAAAGGCAAAGAGCCTCAGTAAAACAGACCTGGGGCCAGGCGTGGTGGCTCATGCCTATAATCCTAGCACTTTGACAGGTTGAGGTGGGCAGATCACCTGAGCTCAGCAGTTCAAGACCAGCCTGGCCAACATGGCGAAACCCCATCTCTACTAAAAATACAAAAATTAGCTGGGCATAGTGACATGTGCTTGTAATCCCAGCTACTCAGGAGGCTAAGACAGGAGAATTGCTTGAACCCAGGAGGTGGAGGTTGCAGTAAGCCAAGATCATGCCATTGCACTCTAGCCTGGACAAGAGTGAGACTCCATCTCAAAAAAACAAGCAACAACAACAACAACAAACACGGACCTCTTCTGCTAACCTTGGACCTGATAGCAAACAAATGCAAGGGGTTCTATTTCCTCATGTGTAAATGTGACAAACTACACAAAAGGGTTGCTATGAAGAGTCAGTGGGATAAGTAAGGAGAGAAAACCCAGTGTAGTGCCAGCATTTGATGGATTTATAATATTTATTTTTTAAATATCTATTTATTTATTTAAAAAAATAAATGTTTAAAATAATGAATTTCTTATAGACAACATATAGTTAAGAAAAAAAAATAATAATAAAAACAGAAAACCACCCAGACCTGGCCTGGGGAGAGCCAGGACAGCAGGCCCTTGCAGAAATGATGCACAGCTATGCCTCAGGGGAGACGGGCTGGCAAATGGCAATGTGGTAACAGAGGGCAGGAGGCAACAGAATGGTAACACAGGCTCCCCAGCCTTGGCAGCCCACATACAGCTGGGAGCCAGACTCCTGCTCAGCTGTTATGCTGCAGAAGCCCAGACTGGCAGAGACCTCAATGAGGCCTGAACCCCAGCGGGAGCACTGCCTTGCACTCCAGAGGGAGGGACCTAGGATGGAGCTTTCAGGGCATGGCTCACACCAGCATGGGCCTCCAGAGCTTGAGGAGAAGGGAGAGGGGTGATGGGTCTGGCAAAGCCCAGGTCTTAGGGTCACTCACCTACAAGTCCAGCCTGCTGCAAGCCCCAGAGGGCAGCGCCTGTTGTGAAGGCATTCCAGAGTGTGCCTACCACGGCATAGGTGAGGATGGCACCCAAGTTGTCAAAGAACAGCCTGCTAGGCATGAAATAGCCTGAGTCCAACACAATAGGAGGCAGCAGGAAGAGGAAGAAGGTGCCTGGCTCCAGCTGGTACTCAGCTTTCTTGGCCACAGCCAAAACAATTCCCCCTAGCACCAGGCCCAGCAAAATCAGCAGGCAGCTCTCAGGGACCAGAGATGTTACTTTCCGAGACAGGTGAAACACTGCAATGCAAAAAGAGTGCAGGATGGATCAGTTTATGGAATATCCTCCCACACACAGGCCTATGAACTCCCAGTTTTGTTTTTTTTTTTTTGAGATGAAGTCTCACTCTGTTGCCCAAGCTGGAGTGCAGTAGCACAATCTCAGCTCACTGCAACCTTCACCTCCCGGGTTCAAGTGATTCTCCTGCCTCAGCCTCCTGAGTACGGGGACTACAGACACGCGCCACCATGCCCAGATAATTTTTTTTATATTCTTAGTAGAGACAGGGTTTCACTATGTTGGCCAGGCTGGTCTTGAACTCCTGACCTCATGATCCGCCCACCTTGGCCTCCCAAAGTGCTGGGATTACAGGTGTGAGCCACCGCGCCTGGCCAACCTTCTAAGACTGGGACCAAGGGAGGAGAAATATGCAAGACTTCTAGAATTTCCAATCTCCAGGGCTACAAACCCTCCCCTGCAGTCAAAGTCATCTGTTTCTTAGTGCTCCTGTCACACTATGGTAACCTAGGCCTTTACTGCTTTTTCCCCTTCTAGAAATGTCCCTTCCTTTATACTTTCATCCTCAGGGGACCTCACCTTTCTCTGACAACCCTTATCCATAGCCATTATTTGAACCTCAGCTAATGCTACCCAGTATCTTTTTATATGTAAGAAAGCTGTAAAAATCAGGGTCTTTGGAGTCAAGTTGCTTGGATTCAAAGCTTAGTTCTGTGATCTTAGGGCAAATAACTTCATGTCTCTGACTCAGTTTTCTCATCAGTGAAATGGGAGTAAAAACGATAATGATCTCATAAGATTATTGTGACCATTAAAAAAGACAATCTACAGGCGGGGCGCGGTGGCTCATGCCTGTAATCCCAGCACTTTGGGAGGCCAAAGTGGGCAGATCACCTGAGGTCAGGAGTTCTGGATCAGCCTGGCCAGCACGGCGAAACCCTGTCTCTACTAAAAATACAAAAATTAGCTGGGCATGGTGGCGGGTGCCGGTAGTCCCAGCTACTTGGGAGACTGAGGCAGGAGAATCACTTGAACCTGGGAGGCAGAGGTTGCAGTGAGCCGAGATCATGCCACTGTACTCCAGCCTGGGTGACAGAGTGAGACTCTGTCTCAAAAAAAAAAAAAAAAAAAAAAAAAAAAGACAATCTACTCAAAAGCACTTAGCACACTACTTTACAGTAAGCACTCAATAAATGTTACCTATTATAATGTCCTCACTCCTTAACTAGACCAGAATGTATATTATACCTCCTAGGAGCTGTGTAGACTTCCTAGCCCAATGTGCTTTTCATTATATGGGCTCACTCAGGACTGCGTAGTTTTTAAAACTTTGGCTTTAGCAATCAGAAGATCTCCAGGTCTTCTTCCAGCCTTAGCACATTCTATGTGATCTCAGGCAAATTATTTAACTTACTTGAACTTCAATTTCTTCTTTTGTAATATAGGAAAAATACCCAGCATCAAGGGTGAGGATAAAATGATATAAAGTATGCAAATGTGCCTAGCATAATGTCAGACACATAGTATGTTAGACACACACCAAATGTTAATTAAATAGAACAGTTCTGTCTGTAGGAGGGGAGAAGAAAAGCGTTTCTAGCACTATAGCCACTCCTACTTTTGTCCTCTAAAATAAACTCTTTGGCTCTCCTTTAAGTCCTCAGACCACAAGCGAACACATCTCTCTCTACATAATCCCTGGGGTGTTGGGGAAGGAGACCTCTAAATTAGCCTCTGTGAGACCCTATGCCAAGACAGTGCCCTTTGGAAGCTGTACCCAAAGGGCCTAGAACAGTGCCTGGCACATAGTGAGCTCTATGTAAATATTTGTTTAATAAAAGGGAAAAAGTCTCCTAGCAATGAAGCTGGGGGAAGGTGTTCCTGAATGCTCTGCCTTTTCTCTTGTTCGAGGATTTTCTTTGACTTGTGAAAAGGAGGCTCTCTTCTCTTACTTCCATAGGAAATGTCATCCAAACTAGAAAAAGAACCATGATTTATGGGGAAAACTACAGTTTTTGCTATAAACCCTAAGACAGGAACTCTTCTGCAACTCACAGACTTAGCAAACCCAATCGTTGGCTCCAAACCTGAGGCTCTTTCTACTCTTACTCTCATTGCTGCTGGACCTCTAAGGTAAACATGGTCATAGATCTCTCCATACTTGTCCCTACTTTGGTCTCCCACTTCTCTCCTTCGGGGACCCTATTTCATCTTCATCTCTTCATGCATTAACCCCAGCCCCGAGATCCAAGCCCCATCACAGAACCACGCTCCCGGAAGGCATATTGAGTTCCACTTTCCATTATTAATCTCAGGCTGCCACAGCAGAGTGGAGAGTTCTGTTCCTGCCCAGCCCCCTCACCCCCTAGCAGTGTCCATGTGGGAGAAGAGGGGCAAATTCTAGGCTCTGGGTGATTCCTCCATGAAGGCTGTATTGGTGAGACTGGAGTACAGGCTGTGCCAGCATCCATGGGGAGAGAGTAGCAACGCTCAGCTATAATTAGTCACCCCCACAGCAGAGCCAGCACAACAGGGAGAAGGAGGAGGGTCTCTGGTGGGAGGAGGGACCACTGGCTGCTCAGAAGGGAGGAGGAAGGAGCAGATGCAAGGAAAAGCAGCTCTATTCAGGGAAAAAGAAGTCTGAAGCACAGCCTTCAATGCTGTCAGGACTGAAGAGGTCGGATGTATGAAAGCATCTAGGGTAGACAGCACACAGGAAGGCCCCGATACACGGAAGTTTCTTATACCCTGAAGTGAGAAGAATGTGGACCTGAACGTGGGTTGGGGGGGTACCCATACACAGGCACAAGAAGGCAGCAGCTTTAAGTGGGGAGCAGGGGAGAGCTGGAGGAAAAGTGGCAGTGTAGTTTCCCAAGGGAATGGACACTCGGACATGGTCTCCAGGGAAGGCTGCTTTTTCAGAACCAGGATGCCTGTGTTCTTGGGAGAACACCCTCCCCTCAATGTCCCCACACATCCTCACCAGCGACAGAGGTTTCTGGGAGGCTAGGGATTGGTGGGGGAGAGACCAGACTGAAGAGGGCCTACTGCAAGGGGAAGAGGGGAGCGGAGAGGGCAAAGGAGCCTACAGATGGAGTTGGGGAGAGCGGGGGACAGCCCTTCAGAAAGGCAAATCCTCAGAGCTCCCAGGGGAGAAGACAGGGACCTGGGACCCACAAGAAGCGATGCAGGAACTGGGCGAGAGCCCGGATTTGTGGAATCCAAACCTAAGTCCCAGCACCGTGCAAGAAGCCAGCCCCAATCTGAGGACCGAGGAGGTGGGGGTGTTGGGGGCGGGTCCGCCGCTGGCGGTCGGCCTGGCGCACGCACACACGCACTCACCGATTTTGGCCAGACTGGCCACCAGGATCCACAGGGCCACCAGGTAGGGCGCCTCCACCTCGTGCCACTGCCAGCGGAAGAGCTCTAAGCCTGGGGGAGGCTCGCCCGGGGACTCTGGCTTCTGGGTGGGCTCTTCGGCCGCCCCCGCCAGGGGCAGCGCGAGCAGGGACAGGGCGGCGCGCAGCATCCTGCCGCCTGCCCAGCCGCCCTCCCGGCACCGCACGGCCGCCGGCCCCGCGTCGCCGCCGCCACCTACCGGGCGCCCCCGCGTCACAGGCACGTGGGGCCCGCTCCCCCCAATCCCGGCTCCGATACCCCCAAGCCAGGTCCAGGCTCCGAGACCCTGCCTCGGACTCTCGTAGTCGGGGACTCTCTCCTCTTTCCTCCCTAAATCAGTCCCAGCTCCGGAAATTCCCCAGTGCAGCTCTCCCCCAAGTTCCACAACCTACTCCTTCGAGTCCGCGCCCCCAAACCTCCCCAAAACCGCCCCCACCAGATCCAGAGCGGTGCGCGGCCACGGCCCCCCTGGGGCAGCCCGCAGCGGGAAGGGCGGGGGTCTGCGGGGGGCGCGGTCAGGACGGGAGGGGCACGGCTCCTCCTCGGCCAGCGCTGCTGTGCGGCGAGCAGCACCCCCCTGGGACCAAGGCGCGGCCGGGTGCAAAACGCAGGGGACCGTGCTTGGCCGCCCTCCGCCCACGTTGCCAAGCCCAGGACCCCCTGCCGGCCCCCACCCGGACCTGAGCTGCGCACGCGCACTGGACGCTCCCCAAAGCAGTGACGGACAACGCTGCCCCCAACGTCCCAGAAACCCTAAGGCCCAGACTGGCCCAGCTCGTGCCAGGCGAAGAGGGAGGCTGTTCTTCATCTCCCAAACCAAGGGGCACCTGGCCCTCCCTTTCAGTCACACTACAGAGAACTGTCTCATCTCTTTGATGAAGCTGACAGGAACCTATGGAAAACCCAGCCTACTGATTCCCTTCAAACTAGGCGAGATGCACCCAACTTTTTCCAAATCTGAGGGGCATTCGGCTCATAGCGCCCCAAACAGAGGAGGACCGTCTCCACTTTTCATTCAGGCTGAGGGGCACCCATCCCACTTTTTCTCCAAAACTGAGGGGAACGTGTTCTATCTGCCCCCTCAAACTGACTCCTCCCAATCTTTTCCCAGAAAACTGAAGGGCATCCTTCCCTCTTCCTCCCACAACTAAAGGGAACTGATCCCACCTCTTCCTTCAAACTGGGTGGAATTTATTCTCACTTCTTGCTCCAAATTGAAGGGACCCCCTCTCACTGCTTTCCCTAAATGAGGAAACCACAGGGACTCACCCCTCAAATGGAAGGAATGAGGGCTATCTTGTCCCTCAACTGAGAGAGACCTGGCCGGCCACTATCTAAAGAAACTTCTGCCCCATCTGCCCTAACACCCCTCAAAGAGAACGCAGCCTCACTATCCCCAGACCAAAGAAAGCCTCCCCGCCTTCTGCGCGTTCTCGAAGGTGGGGCGCGAGCTCGGTTTTTCCCGCCCTCCTAGCCAGTGAACTAACGGGATTCCCATTGGGCCCTGTGAGTGGCTAGCGGCGGCCCCGCCTCCGGCAGTGGTTACCTCCTGGCGCGCACTCGGGGACTAATCTTGGCTCCACCCCCTTCCTCGGCCCCGCCTCCGTCTGGCCCCGCCCCTCCAGCCGCGTCCGGTCCGGCCGGGCCCGAACCGCGGAGCTACAGTGTGCTTTGAGTAGAAGCTGCACTGGGGCCGGGACTCGGAGGCGCGCTGCGTGAGCCGGCCGCAGAGCCATGGCGGGCGGGGAAGACCGCGGGGACGGAGAGCCGGTATCAGTGGTGACCGTGAGGGTGCAGTACCTGGAAGACACCGACCCCTTCGCATGTGCCAACTTTCCGGAGCCGCGCCGGGCCCCCACCTGCAGCCTGGACGGGGCGCTGCCCTTGGGCGCGCAGATACCCGCGGTGCACCGCCTGCTGGGAGCGCCGCTCAAGGTGAGGGAGGCCGGAGAAAGGTTGGGGCGATCGGGGGTTCAGGGTGGGCGCCATGAAAACTGGTGGGAGGTGCTCCGCGGGAAGAGGCTGGAGCGAGTGTTCTTCTCCGGAAAAGTCTTGGGCTGGGGTCCCAGGGTCCACTCTGCCCCGCCTGCGGGGGAGTCCCCTCTCAAGTTGAGGGGAAACTGAAGAGGGGTGCCAGGAACTTGGCTCCGCCATTCTGACTGCCCTTCGAATTAGGCGCACCTGGGGAGGTGCTCGAGTTCCACTCGCCGTCGGTCTGCCAGGGTGGCTTCCCTGGTCAGAGTGACGGTAGCCGCTTGGGCTGTAGCGGACCCTGGAGGCGGAGCTGGGGAGGGACCAGCTTCCACCTGCTTCAGGTGAGGTGGGGGCGGGACCACGAGGAGGGGCGGGCCCGAGGCGGACTACTAGAGGTGGCAGAGGTTTCCTGCGGTGTCAGGAAGCTGGATTGGGGCTTGACCCTGTAGGTCAATGGGAGTATGGGAGTGCCGGCCGAGGAGAGACTTCACGGGGTGAGGGGAGTCCCCGCGAAGCGGTCTGGCCCGGGATCCGCAGAGCGCAGGAGGCTGCACGGGTGTAAAAGCCCTTTGAGTCACCGCTCCCGCCCCCACCCCCGGACACTCGCCGCCCATCGGCCCGCGCCTGAAAGTGAGAGGGAGGGCCGGACTAATTTTAAACAGCCGGCCTGCCCTACTTTGCTGCCGCCCCGAAGCGGACTTGTGCACAGTGCGGAAAGAGGCCCTTTTCCAGATGGCCAGCCTACCTCCTCTCCCCTCCCTCTCGCCGCCGTCAGCCCCCCGCAGGCAGCCCTTTCCGGCGCGCTGTTTCCGGGCCAGGACTCTGGGAGGCGCACTACCACCTCCACAAGCTCCCCACCAGCCCGGCCGCCTCCAGTGCTGGAGAAGAGGAGAGAGAGTCGGGGTGGGTGCCCTCCCCTGCTCCCAGCCTCAGCTGGGCGGCGAGTTGCGTAAACTTGCCCCTTGGGCCTGGGGTCTTCCCTGGAATGTGCCCCGGGCCCCCAGCCCGCATTCCTCGCGCTGCGGCCAGCCCCGCCTCTGAGCGCTGGCGGGAGGGGTGGTGAGACTATTGGCCTGGAGAGTGGCACGTGTCCAGGCCAGAACCCCGGCTTCAAGGCCATGGCTGGAAGGATGCAGGACACTGCTCACCGCCAGTTTTGACTCAGCCCCCGCTTCTCTTGCCCTATTCAGAGGGGCAAATTGAGGTGTGCCTGGAAGAAGCGTGTGCAGCTGGAGGCCACCTCCCATTCAGGATGGGGGCTGGGAAGACAGGAGTGCTGAACTAAGACTGGTTCCCGCTTCCAGGCTCCTAAAGTCCGGATCCTGAAATAAGGGTGGGGCACTAGAGAATATATTGTATTCCTCTCATCCTGCAACTCAAGGATTGGACCTAGCCCTGACACCACCCCCCCGATTTTTTTTTTTTTAAGACGGATTCTGGCTCTGTCTCCCAGGCTGGAGTACAGTGGGGCTATCTTGGCTCACTGCAACCTCCACCTCCCGGGTTCTAGCAATTCTCGTGCCTCAGCCTTCCAAATAGCTGGGATTACAGGTGTGCGCCACCATACTCAGGTAATTTTTGTATTTTTAGTAGGGACAGGGTTTCTCCGTGTTGGCCAGCCTGGTCTCAAACTCCTGACCTCAGGTGATCTGCCTGCCTAAGCCTCCCAAAGTGCTGGGATTAAGGCTTGAGCCACCATGCCCAGCCCCTTGACACACCTCTTCCCAGCTGGGGGCAAGCCTGGGAAGTCAGCTGCAAGAAAGAGGCTCAGAACCACTCCTTCTATCTCCCTCTCATGGGACCCGTGTCCCCACCCAACCCTACCAGGTGCTCTGCCCTGTGTTCCCTGCTCCTTAGCTGAGGACACTACTGAGCTCCGGTGAAGAATATAAGTTCCTCATCCCCAATGCAGTCCTTCCTGGTCTCCCCGATTTCATGTTCTCCCACCTGGAGTACCTGAGGACTGCCTTCCCTCCCCCACAGGGATATGGAGGTGGCACACTAGGTTACCACAATGCCAGAAGCCAGGATTCCCTGGGGCTAGCAACTCTGCCAGGAATGGTCAGATGCACTGTGATGTGCTCAACCCAAATATAAACTATGACCACAGCCCCAGAATAGAAGGCTGGAGGAAGAGGGGCTGAGAATAGGGCAGAGACAGGGACATCAGAGAGCTGAGCAAGGGGGAGCAGGGCCCCTCCTTGCAGGAAATGTCAACAGCTGGTTCCTCCCGTAGTCCTATAAGTGGGTGCCCCAGAGTCACAGACATGACTCAGGCCTGTCTTGCTGGCCCTCTAGAGGGAAGAGGTGGCCCAGAAACCAGGGCATCCCTGTCCCAAGCTGTAGGGCAGAAATAAGAGGAAGGGGTTCTTTACTCATTGCTTCGTCCTATGTACAGTTGTCCAGCAGAGGACAGGACACAGCCAAGTGGCCTCTGTCCTCCTCTGGGTACTGGCCCCGGGTACTGGCCCTGATCATCCCAGCAGATGACCCCCCTCCCTGGGGATGTACAGAGGCCAGCCTGCTTTCTCCCTGGGACTCCACCCACACACCCCATTGGGCCGAGCCTAGCCCCTAGAGTTCCCCTGGGGGCTTCCTTTTTAAAGAGCTTTCAGATCTCAGAAAGCCTTGCTCATTTCCTCCTAGACTAGGAGGAAGCTCCTGGCCACAGCCTCTGACTCATCTCCTGGCCCTGGTTGGTGGAAGGGAGCTTGACAGTGTCTTGGGCCGGGCCTAGTGTCCCTGGGGGAACTCAGGAGTGCCTTCCTCCCCTCCAAAATATTCCCCCAGCCCAGACCTGCCTTTGCCAGAGGGGAGAATGTGTCCCTCTGGCCTTGCATCTCATCTCCTAATCTAGAGCCTCCCAGTTCTACCCTCCCTTCTGGGAAGTGTCTCAGGAGCCTCTCCGATACCCAAGGCCCTACCACACCTGGTATAGCACTGACTTCTCCCTGAGCTCCGGGTAGGGGGATCTGGGGTGCTTCTCTGACCCTGCTGCAAAGGCCAGGAAAGCCCTCTCCTCCTGACAGTGGGGATAGCCCTAGAAATCTGGTCATTACTAGCAACTTTGTTTCCCTAGCTGTGGCTAAAAATCAGAGTAGGACAGGGGTGGCACTGTCCTGGAATGTTTCCTGACCCTACCCCAACCCACTCTAGCCTTTTTACATCTCAGGAGCCTTTGGGAGACTGTAGAAAACTGAGGTGTGGGCATGAGTCCTGGTCTCCTCCTAGCCTCCCCTGGGGCTGGACTATCCAATCTGCTGGTCATTCTGGAACAGAGTGGCTGAGCTGCAGACTGGTGAGGGACCCTGACACCTAGGTCCTGGCAGAGGTAGATACTATTATCCTAACTTGCATGGGGTGCGTGTGTCTATTGGTGTTCCCTTACTGGAACTGGGAGGACCAGTATGGGGTATTTGCAGAGTCCAGAAAACTAAGAGGATGTCTTCAGCTCTTGGCAATCCTTCTGGCCCCAGCCCTCACTCCACTTCCCCTCTAGGGTTCCTTGGAGCATTTCCAGGGCCCATCCGCCCAAGATTTGGTCAATTAGCCCTGGCTCCTGGCTGTGCACCCTGGGGCAATGCGCTGATTTTCTGATTCTTGGTTTCCCTATCTGTAAAAGGATTATTGGTAGAATCAAATTAAATAGGCGGCTCAGGCTGGGCATGGTGGCTCATGCCTGTAATCTCAGCACTTTGGGAAGCCAAGGCCAGAGGATTGCTTGAGGCCAGGAGTTCAAGAACAGTGTGGGTGATATAGCGAGACCCTATTTCTATTAAAAAAAAAAAGAAAAGAAAAAAAAGAGGCAGTCCGGTGCCTGGCACAGAGGAAGCATAAGATAACAAAAGTGGATTTCCCTCCCCAAGGCCCATCCTTGTCATCTCATTCAGGAAGTCACACTCTAGTTGGAGACCTGCGATAACAGGAAAGGAGGGTCTTCAGAACACAGGGTCCTGTGTTTATAGGAAAGGAGACAAAAGAGGCAGTTAACCAATTATTTTCTAAAATGAAAGCCCTTCAGCCTATAATCCTGCCTCTTTTCCATCTTCCCTGTACCCTGCTCTGGTATGTTCAGTCTTACCTGATTACACTGTTATTAAAAATATTGGGTAAGACAGTCTAAAGAAACAAGCGGGAAAAATGTATATTTATAAAATATATAATAGATATATGTAATAGATGTCTAGATATATATAATAGATACATAGCTATATATATAAATTATCAATATCTATAGACATCTATATATTATAGATCTATATCTATATATTATACATAGGTAGATAGATAGCTAGAAAGAGAGAGAGAAGTAGATGCCATGGTCCCCTGGGCTTGACCCTGCATATAAAACCATACATAACCAGTTGGTTTTGGGCTGCCAGAAAAGCCTGAGCCTGGAAAGTCAAGAGTATAGTGGGCTGGAGGCCAATGTGAGAAGCTGAGCCTGGGAAGAATGGGGGAAAGACTCCACCCCAAGACAGAGACCAGAGAAGTGAGGAAGACAAGAGCCAAGAAGGTGTCAGGGAAGTGGGCCCATACTACGTGCTGAGCTTAAGCCCCGTCAGCAAGGACCAGGGTTTGGGCTTATTCAGGCCTGGCCCAGCCCCAGGGTGTGAGAAACAAGGCCCAGAGGTTTGGCTCTCAGAAGGGTGACCCCAGGAAGGGGCCGGGGTGTGAGGGACATGTGCCATCCTGCTAGCAGGAAGTCTCCTGCTCTTTGCTGCTTGCCTGACTCTAGCCTACCACCCCACACTTCCACCCAGGACAGACAGCTGGGGGTGGGGAGACACTGTCCTGGAAGGCACTGGACTACCTGTTTCCCTGGACCTCCTCCCCAGAAATGGGGCCCTGGCAGGATTGGACAGGTGAAGTGGCTGAGGAGGCTAGAGAATGTGGACCATTGGCCGGGCACAGTGGCTCACACCTACAATCCCAGCACTTTGAGAGGCAGAGGCAAGTGGATCACTTGAGGTCAGGAGTTCAAGACCAGCCTGGATGACATGCTGAAACCCTGTCTCTACTAAAAATACAAAAATTAGCCAGGCATGGTGATGCACGCCTGTAACCTTAGCTACTCAGGAGGCTGAGGTAGGAGAATTGCTTGAACCCAGGAGGCAGAGGTTGCAGTGAGCCAAGACTGTGCCACTACACTCCAACTTGGGAGACAGAGCAAGACTCCATATCAAAAAAAAAAAGAAGGTGGACTATTTAACCTTCAGGACCCTTCCCCAAATGGATGCAGGTGTCCTGGAAGGAGAGGGACATTCTCTGCTCTCTTGGGATTACAGCATGCAAGGAGGCAGGACAGCGTGGTGGGCCTGACCTTTCTGGGTCTGTGCTGCTTCAGCCTGTGTTGGCCAGTGCATACCCAACCTTATACCTGGGTGTGTAAGCAGTTACCAGGTGTAACATGTTTTCCCTTCCCGTTTATCTTTATAGCACTCTGCCCCTCCCCTTTCTTAGCACTGTGAAAGTTGTGATTCCACATTCATTTGTGAGCTTTTTCTGACTCGTCTGTCTGTCTTCCCGTCTGCCCCACTGGGCTGGAAGGAAGGGAAGGCAGAGGCAGTGTCTAATTCCTCCTAGGTCCTCTGCATCTGAAACCAGCCTGGTCATGAATGTTCAAAGAATGAGCTGTTCTATATGTGTGTGATTCGAGGGGATCCCTGACGGGGGTGGCTCTGGGGTAGGTGTGTTCTTCTAGGGTCCCAGAATCTTCCAGGCCAAGGGAGGGAGATGCGGCTGTGCCTGAATGGGGGTGGGGTGGTAGGCTGCTGAGTCACTGTGTGGGAAGAGATCAGGAGGAATGTGGGTTGCCCTCAGCTGAGCTGGCCCTGGACAAGATACCCCAGCCCTCAGGCCTTGCTGCCCCTTCTCAGGCCTGTTCCCAGTAGGCCCTGGAGAAGATGACTCTGCTCCCAGGGAGGGGAAAGTGGCCAGGCCTGCCCAAGGCACCCTGGGGAGGGCAGGCAGCCAGGCAGGAAGTGGGACAGAGAACAGGCTGGAGTGTTTGTCCTATGTCCCAGGTCCCAGGCGGGGGTGGGCGGGGGGGGGGGTCATCCAAGGGCCCCACAGGCTAAACTGTGGGGAAGGAGCCAGGTCAGGCTCTGAGGCAGGCGCAAGGGTTGCTAAACAGAGGTAGGGGTTGAGGCAGGAGCTGGACTCCCTTTTTCTCCAGGGGACCAAGGCCAGTTGGAAGCCCTTGGGCAGGGTCCAGAAGAGGGCAGGGCTGACCAAACAGCAGGACAAATGTTGGAATTGACATGCCCAGTAAGATGGAGACCAGAAGACACCCTGCCTCTCCAGAGGTGGGCTCTCCCTGGGCCAAGGCATCTCAAGGGCCAGAGCCACTTAAGTCAAGGAGACTTTGCTGAACCTGCATATCTGCACTGTGCAATGGAGGGAGGTGTCTGGGAGAGGTAGAGTGCCACCCTCCGACTCACAGGAGTCACCTCCCTCAGGCTTCTCTACAGGCACTTCTCAAGGGGCTAAGTGCCATGCCTTGTGGCGGGGGAGGAGAGCCCGGGGAGGGAAACATGGACACGTGGATGGAGCATGTGCCTGCTTGTTACAAAGGCAGGCTTTGGGGTCCTACTGTAGACTGAGTCAGACTCTTAAGTGTTTTGTTTTGTTTTGTTTTTTGAGACAGAGTCTCACTCTGTCTCCCAGGCTAGAGTGCAATGACATGATCTCGGCTCACTGCAATGTCTGCCTCCTGGATTCAAGCAATTCTCCTGCCTCAGCCTCCCCAGCAGTAGCTGGGATTACAGGCACCCGCCATCATGCCTGGCTAATTTTTGCATTTTTGTAGAGACGGGGTTTCACCACGTTGGCCAGGCTGGTCTAGAACTCCTGACCTTAGGCGATCCACCCTCCTCAGCCTCCCAAAGTGCTGAGATTACAGGCGTGAGCCACCACGCCTGGCCTAAAGTTAGTTTTTTAATAGGCCCCTTGGGTGTCTCTGAGGTCCAGCTAGGACCATTGTAACTGTAGCCCACTTTGGGAGAGGCCAAAGACCCTGAAATCTGGTGGGACTGGGAAGTCTATGGATCAGACCCTGTCTTCACCCTCTTACTCACTGAGACACACACACACACAGACACACTCTCCCGGGTGGGTTTGCACCTCCCAGCCATCTTAACACTTTCTTTCTGGGGCTTAATGCTTTGTGACTATAGCTTATCACCCCACAGGGCTGTGAGCTTCCTCGAAGGCAGGAACTTCCTCCCATCTTCTCTCCATTCCCCTTCCTCATCTGTGTTTATTAGCTCAACAAGTCCTAGTGAGTGCTTACTGTGTGTCAGGTGCTATGCCAGGCTCTATAGATACAGCAGGGAGCAAGACAGACGGAGTGCCTGAACGCAGAGAACGCAGCTAGAGGAGACCAGTGGCTCGGATATTAGAATGCTGTGTGGAAGGTCTCGAAAGGGAGCATACACACAGGGTGGAGTGGGTTGCATAGCAACCTAAAGAATAGGTAGGTATCAGCCAGGAGAGGAGATGGTACAAACAAAGGCCAAGAAAGCCTGGTGCCTGACACAGATGGGCTTTGCACATAGTAGGTGCTTGAGAAGCAACTGCTGAAGGAATGCACAGCTGTAGTGCAGACCCTGTGTCTCTCTGCCACCCTTCAAGTGGTAGGTAAGAGGTCAGGGGTCTTCATACATTCGCCTGCCACCTCTTCCTCAGTCTCACAGCTGTTCCCTTTGCCCCCAGTTGGAGGATTGTGCTCTGCAAGTGTCTCCCTCCGGATACTACCTGGACACCGAGCTGTCCCTGGAAGAGCAGCGGGAGATGCTGGAGGGCTTCTATGAAGAGATCAGGTCAGAACTGATGGGGCCAGGGAGGCAAGGTTACCCCCACCCTTGCCAGGGGCTAGCTCAAATGTCAGCAGCTGAGACACTCGATCACTAGCCTGAGCCATGGGTCACCTCCTGCCCCAGGGAAGTGTGCCAGGGGAATTCTAAAGCCTGGCCAGTGTTACCTGCTGCCCAAGGTGGGAGTTAGGGGCTCTCCCACATACCTGAGATACATGTGTTTGCACCAACCCTCTTGTCCGACCAACCCTTGGGTTCTTGGAGGAGCAGCTGGGAGGAACAAGCTGGGCTGGGGCTGGCATGGGGAGGTCTTTGGCTCCCTTGGCTTGTGGGGAGGAATGCTGAGGGATAGGCTGGGAGCTGCTAACAGAGATCCTTGATTCCAGCAAAGGGCGGAAGCCCACGCTGATCCTTCGGACCCAGCTCTCTGTGAGGGTCAACGCTATCTTGGGTGAGTGTGTGAGAGCATCCATGTCCAGCAGCACCTCCTCCCCATAGCCCAGTTGGCTCACCTTCAGGCCTGTGCTGAACAGTGAGCAAAGTAGGTTTAGCTGTATGTGCTCCTTCCTCTCCCTATCCTGACCTCTTCTTCCAGGGCCATGGTGGGAGTGGAGGGGGATTCAAGAATGTTAGAATAGACCAGGCGTGGTAGCTCATGCCTCCAATGCCAGTGCTTTGAGAGGTCAAGGTGGGAGAATTGCTTGAGGCTAGGAGTTTGAGGTTGCAGTGAGCTATGACTGTGCCACTGCACTCCACACTCCAGCCTGAGTGACAGAGTGAGACCCTGTCTCTCAGACCAAAACATATATATTAGACTATTCTTTGGTGGAGAGTTGTGGTTGTATCCAAGCAGAGGAAGACAGTGAGTCTGTGTCCATCAAGGGTTTTATACCCTACCTTTTGCAGAAAAGCTGTATAGCTCCAGTGGTCCTGAGCTCCGCCGCTCCCTCTTCTCACTGAAGCAGATCTTCCAGGTGAGGCCCCGCAGTGGGCTGGGGGTAAGTGTGTAGCCCAAGCTTCCCTAAACTCCCCCATGGTGCCTCTAGGAGGACAAAGACCTGGTGCCTGAATTTGTGCATTCAGAGGGGCTGAGCTGCCTGATCCGTGTGGGTGCTGCTGCCGACCACAACTACCAGAGCTACATCCTTAGAGGTCAGCCCCGCCCCTCTCCCATGACCTCTGCTCCAGCGACCCTCGCTGACTCTGCCCATCCCTGTTTCCCCAGCGCTCGGCCAGCTGATGCTCTTTGTGGATGGAATGCTGGGGGTGGTGGCCCACAGTGACACTATTCAGTGGCTGTACACATTGTGTGCCAGCCTGGTAAGTGGCTCTCCACTCAGCCTTATACCCTTTGCCTGTTGCTTCTCTCTGGGCCTCAGTTTCCTGTTCTGCAAAGTGAGCTGGAAGGGAGTGAGTCTGAGGCCTCTGTAAGCCTATAAGGCACTTCAGTGCCTGGGCCTGGGGCCAGGGTCATTCTGCCTAGATTCTCTCTGGGTCCAGCCCCAGCAGCCCTTCCCCTTCCCCAGCAACAGCTGGCACAGGTCTGGCCTAAGCCCCACTCATATGTACTGACCTCTCTCCTCAGTCCCGCTTGGTGGTGAAGACAGCCCTGAAGCTGCTGTTGGTGTTTGTAGAATACTCCGAAAACAACGCACCGCTGTTCATCCGTGCAGTGAACTCTGTGGCCAGCACCACCGGTCAGAGACTGTCCCTTTCTCCCCCCACCGCTCAGAGCCCTCTCTCCTACCTGTTCCCCCATGACTGCTCCACTTTCTGTGTGGCAGGTGCTCCTCCCTGGGCCAATCTGGTGTCCATCCTGGAGGAGAAGAATGGCGCTGACCCTGAGTTGTTGGTGTACACGGTCACCCTCATCAACAAGGTGTGGCCAAGGACTGGGTGCCAGCTCTGGGATGCTCAGGCTCCTGACCTCCCCACCAACCTCAGCCTTGCCTTCTTATCCCCGCCCTCCAGACGCTGGCGGCGCTCCCGGACCAGGACTCCTTCTACGATGTGACGGATGCACTGGAGCAGCAGGGCATGGAAGCGCTGGTCCAGCGCCACCTGGGCACTGCGGGCACTGACGTCGACCTGCGCACGCAGCTTGTGCTCTACGAGGTGGGCCGGGCCTTACGCTCTGAGGCGGATTGGAAAGAGGGAAGAGAGAAGCGCAGTCCCCAGCGCCCCACCCCACCTGCATACACGTTAACCACTTTCTTACATCCTGGTCCGCCTCTGCTAGAACGCCCTGAAATTGGAGGATGGAGACATCGAAGAAGCCCCAGGCGCTGGTGGGCGGCGGGAACGACGAAAGCCTTCTTCTGAGGAGGGCAAGAGGAGCCGCCGTTCTCTGGAAGGCGGGGGCTGCCCCGCGCGTGCCCCGGAACCTGGGTAAGTACGAGCATCTGTAGATGGGAAAGGGTGGATCTACTAGGCATGGCCCAGTGAGCTGACAGGCCCTGACCCCAACCCCCTCAGGCCCCGCCCCACAGACAGCCCCCACCTCCTCCACTGGGCCTGCCCTACCGACATGCCCCACCTCCCGCCCCGCAGGCCCCACCCCACTGACAGGCCCCGCCTCCAGCTTCTCAGGCCCCGCCCCACTGACAGCCCCTGCTTTCAGCCCCACAGGCCCCGCCTCACCGGTAGGCCCCACCTCTTCCACCGGCCCCGCCCTGCTGACAGGCCCCGCCTCCAGCCCTGTGGGCCCTCCCTCCGGTCTCCAAGCTTCAGTGAACCTTTTTCCTACCATCTCTGTGGCACCCTCAGCTGACACCTCCAGCGAGAGGAGCATCTACAAGTAAGTAGGGAGACAGAGGCCACCCTGGAGTCCTCTCTCCCATTGTCCCTCCGCTTTGCGCCCCTCCATGGGCACTCAGCCTCCTCTGCCCAAACGCGTGCTTTCTCTCTCTCTCTTTCCAGACTTCACCAAACTGCTTCCGTTTGGTAAGTGACTGCCAGCGGGTGGGGTTCGGCTCTGACTGGATCTCCTCCTCCTGTGGTTTCCTTTGTCTCCTCCGACGTTCTGCCTGTCTTTGCCTCTTGTCATGTCTCCCGCCCACTATCTGTCACTCCCTTGTTCTGCTGCCTCTGTCTCTTCCAGCACCCTGTCCTGCTCCACGTCAGTCTCTCCCCTCCACTTCCAGTTTCCTCGTGTCATACCTTCCCCCACTTCCCACTGCGGCTGGGAAGGAACCCCAATATCACTGCCTAGCTCTGTGTGGGTATGAGCAACCATGGAGCTGACACCACAGTTACCATCTCTTCCTCTCATCCCCCCTACCCAGGGCCCCTGAGAGCCCACCCGTCCCCCAGTCCCCTCCTGGGCAGGCCAGGCTGGAGTAAGTACAGAGGCCGGCCTGCCAGGCCTGCCATGTGCTCAGGGCTTCAGCATTGCTTCCCCCAGCAGGGGTTTCACGTGCCTGATGCAACCAAAGCTGGGGGACTCAGGCCTATCCTCTCCCAGACATATGCCTCCTCGGTAACCCAAAGGCTAAGCACTGGGAACCAATTCACTGGGGTCACAGTGGTCCCTGTGCTTCAATAGCAACACCTTAGCAGCCAGAGATGGGGATGTGGACACCCAACCTGGGGCTCATTCTGCCAAGTCTTCAGCTCAGAAGCGAGCAGGGAGGGGACCTAGGGTGCTGTGTGGTGTGTGGTGTGGGGGTGGAGGGGTAACCTAAGGCTGAGGGAAAGGCAGGGACTGAGAGCTGACAGAGGCTGGAGGGGCCAGAAAAGAAACACTGGATTGCACCCATTATTTCAGCATAAACTGAGGGTCCACTGTTTACCACATCCGTTTTTTTTTTGTTTTTTTTTTTTTTGAGACAGAGTCTTGCTCGGTCTCCAAGGCTGGAGTGCAGTGGTGTGATCTCAGCACACTGCAACCTCTGCCTCCCAGGTTCAAGCAATTCTCCTGCCTCAGCCTCCCAAGTAGCTGGGATTATAGGCCTGCACCAGGATACCTGGGTAATTTTTGTATTTTTAGTAGAGACAGGGTTTCACCATGTTGGCCAGGCTGGTCTCGAACTCCTGACTTCAAGTAATCCACCCACCTCTGCCTCCCAAAGTGCTGGGATTACAAGCGTGAGCCACCGCACCTGGCCTGTTTACCAGGCCCTTTCCTGGGCATAGGCTCCCAGAAGCTACCAGACATGCCAAGGGAGGGACAGCCTGATATGCCCATTGGGACAGCTATCCCCTTCCCCTGCTCTAAGAGTCCTTGTCTAGACTCAAGACACCAGCCTGGGCAACACAGTAAGACCTCATCTCTACAAAGAAATTTTTTAAAATTTGGCTGGGTGCATCATTCACACCTGTAATCTCAGCACTTCAGGAGGCTGAGGTGGGAGGACTGCTTGAGGCCAGGAATTCAAGGCCAGCCTGAACAACACAGTGAGACCCTGTCTCCTCAAAAAAATTAAAAAATCAGCTGGACGTGGTGGCACATGTCTGTAGTCCCAGCTACTTGGGAGGCTGAGGGTCAAGCCCAGGAGAGTGAGGCTGCAGTGAGCTATGATCACACCACTGTACTCCAGCCTGGGTGACTGACAGAGTGAGACCCTGTCTCTAAAAAAAAAACCAACCAAAAAAAAACCAGGACAGTGAACATGAACGAGGTTGCAAGTTAGATGTTAAGTAGATCCTCTCCCTGTGTTTTCACCTGGGAATGCTGGGTTGGTAGTAATCCTCCCCAGATGTGGAGGACTGAAGAGGGGCTGGCCTTGGGGGGGGTGTGGTTCTGGTCTGCTCAGCGCATGGACTGTTCCCTGTGTGTCTGTGCGTGCCTGCAATTGGGGGTGGTGTCCAGGGGCTCAGCAAGGCATGTACACCTGGGCTGGGGTGTGTCAGACGCTGTCAGTGACAAGCACCTTCCCTCAGAGCCCGGTTCCTGGAGAATGTGGCGGCAGCAGAAACAGAGAAGCAGGTTGCGCTGGCCCAGGGCCGGGCAGAGACACTTGCCGGGGCCATGCCCAATGAGGCGGGTGGACACCCAGGTGAGTAGGTGGGTGAGCAGGCAGAGCCTGCCTGTTGCTTTGTTGCCCCACAGGGGGCATGGCACTGACAGCTCCTTCCCTTTCTTTAGATGCCCGGCAACTCTGGGACTCCCCAGAGACAGCCCCTGCAGCCAGAACACCCCAGAGCCCTGCCCCCTGTGTCCTGCTCCGGGCCCAGCGAAGCCTTGCACCAGAGCCCAAGGAGCCACTGATACCAGCAAGCCCCAAGGCTGAGCCCATCTGGGAGCTCCCTACCCGTGCACCCAGGCTCTCTATTGGGGACCTGGACTTTTCAGATCTAGGGGAGGATGAAGACCAGGACATGCTGAATGTAGAGTCTGTGGAGGCTGGGAAAGACATCCCAGCTCCCTCACCCCCACTGCCCCTGCTCTCGGGAGTACCCCCCCCTCCCCCACTTCCACCTCCCCCACCCATCAAAGGCCCCTTCCCACCACCTCCACCTCTACCTCTGGCTGCCCCTCTTCCCCATTCAGTGCCTGACAGCTCAGCCCTCCCCACTAAGAGGAAGACAGTAAAACTTTTCTGGCGTGAGCTGAAGCTGGCTGGGGGCCATGGAGTCTCTGCAAGCCGCTTTGGGCCCTGCGCCACCCTCTGGGCTTCACTGGACCCTGTCTCAGTGGACACGGCCCGACTGGAACACCTCTTTGAGTCTCGTGCCAAAGAGGTGCTGCCCTCCAAGGTAAATCCACTCATCTGCAAGGTAGCCCCAAGGGAGGCAGGAGGGAATCAGAGCTTAAGGATCTGACCTGTTGGAGCTAGTCACTCACTTCCCACATGGGGAAACCAAGGCAAAGAAAGGAGTAGGAAATTGTCCAAGGTCTCCTAACAAGGGATCAGCAGTGCCCCAACTAGAATCTAAATGTGGCCGGGCATGGTGGCTCACACCTGTAATCCAAGAGTTTGAGACCAGCCTGTGCAACATAGTGAGACATTATCTCTACTAAAAGTTGGTCTGGGTGTAGTGGCTCATGCCTGTAATCCCAGGACCTTGGGAGGCCGAGGCAGGTGGATCATTTGAGGTCAGGAGTTCGAGACCAGCCTGGTCAAATTAGCAAAACCCCGTCTCTACTAAAAACACAAAATTAGCCAAGCGTGGTGGCGGGCACCTGTAATCCCAGCTACTCGGGAGGCTGAGGCAGGAGAATCACTTGAACCCGGGAGGTAGAGGTTGCAGTGAGTCGAGATCGCACCATTGCACTCCAGCCTGGGGGACAAGAGCAAGACTTCGTCTCAAAAATAACTAAATAAATAAAAATAAATAAATGTTAAAAAAAAAATTAGCCGGGCATGGTGGCTCACCCCTGTAATCCCAGCACTTTGGGAGGCCAAGGCAGGCAGATTACTTGAGGCCAGGAGTTTGAGACCAGCCTGGCCAACATGGTGAAACCCCGTCTCTACTAAAAATATGAAAATGAGCTGGGCGTGGTGGCTCATGCCTGCAATACCAGCTACTTGGGAGGCTGAGGCAAAAGAATTGCTTGAACCTGGGAGGCGGAAAAAAAAATGTTAAAAAAAAAAATAGTTGGGTATGGTGGTACACGCCTGTAATCCCAGCTACTTGGGAGGCTGAGGCAGGAAAATCCCAGAAGATAAGCTGCAGTGGGCGATGATGGCACCACTGCACTCCAGCCTAGATGGTAGAGCCAGGCCCTGTCTCAAAAGAATCTAAGCTCATCCCCATGACTTACACATTCCAGGTTGCCAGTTTGTCAGTTGTGGGATCATTTGGCAATCTAGAGGAGGGCCTTGGAGTGCCCTCTGAGGTTGCTGTCCCAGCTAGTCCCTTCCTCAGTCTTTTTTTTTTTTTTTTTTTTTTTGAGACAGAGTCTTGCTCAGTCACCCAGGATGTAGTGCAATGGTGTGATCTCAGCTCACTGCAAGCTCCGCCTCCCGGGTTCACGCCATTCTCCTGCCTCAGCCTCCCGAGTAGCTGGGACTACAGGTGCCCGCCACCACGCCCAGCTAATTTTTTTTGTATTTTTAGTAGAGATGGGGTTTCACCATGTTAGCCAGGATGGTCTCGATCTCCTGACCTCGTGGTCCACCCGCCTTGGCCTCCCAAAGTGCTGGGATTACAGGCGTGAGCCACCGCGTCAGGCCCCCTTCCTCAGTCTTACACTGCCCTTCCCCCAACCATGCAGAAAGCTGGAGAGGGCCGCCGGACAATGACCACAGTGCTGGACCCCAAGCGCAGCAACGCCATCAACATCGGCCTAACCACACTGCCACCTGTGCATGTCATTAAGGCTGCTCTGCTCAACTTTGATGAGTTTGCTGTCAGCAAGGATGGCATTGAGGTGAGGTCACCCAGCTATGGGTGTTGGGGGGAGGTCTGGCCTTCTCCTTTGGTAGGTGGGCATTTCCTGTCCCTCTGGTGGTGGGCATGGGCTTGGCATTTCTGCAGGGCAGTCCCCAGACACTGGGGCCTCCCCTAGATGACTGAGGGGTCAAGACCAATGCCTCAGGCCTCAGGCCTGCATTGAGGGGGCCATGTCAGGCTCTGGCTACATCCTCAGAAGCTACTGACCATGATGCCCACGGAGGAAGAGCGGCAGAAGATTGAGGAAGCCCAGCTGGCCAACCCTGACATACCCCTGGGCCCAGCCGAGAACTTCCTGATGACTCTTGCCTCCATTGGCGGCCTCGCTGCTCGTCTACAACTCTGGGCCTTCAAGCTGGACTATGACAGCATGGAGCGGGTACCTGGGTCTTGGAGTGGGACAGTCAGTAGGGACAGGTAAGCATCATGACCATGTAGTCTGAGAGTCCCTGGTCTCCCATACCAGGAAATTGCTGAGCCACTGTTTGACCTGAAAGTGGGTATGGAACAGCTGGTACAGAATGCCACCTTCCGCTGCATCCTGGCTACCCTCCTAGCGGTGGGCAACTTCCTCAATGGCTCCCAGGTGAGTGAGAGTACATGGGGACTAGGGGGAGTCAGGGTTCTGGAGCCAACCAGGCCCAGGCTCAGAAAGGGTCCTTTCAGAGCAGCGGCTTTGAGCTGAGCTACCTGGAGAAGGTGTCAGAGGTGAAGGACACGGTGCGTCGACAGTCACTGCTACACCATCTCTGCTCCCTAGTGCTCCAGACCCGGCCTGAGTCCTCTGACCTCTATTCAGAAATCCCTGCCCTGACCCGCTGTGCCAAGGTTAGCACCTGCCAGAATCAACCAAGGCCGGACAAGGCATGAGGAGCGCTGCTTCCTGGGCCTGGCTCCTCCCCCTTCTCCCCATTTGGGCTGCTGTGCCAGGGCTTGCTCCAGCCACCTGGGTGTGAGCTATGCCCTCTGCCAGAAATGCTCTTTCCTCTATTGGCCTGGCCACACCTACTCAGTCTTTGGGTCTGTTTAACTGCCACTTCCCCCAGTAAACCTTCTGCTCCCCATTCACATCAGATGGACTTGTGTCTCTTGCACTAGTCTATGAGATTTGGATGTCTGTGTCCTTAGGGCCCAAGCTGGCCACTCTGGCCCAGAAGCAGCCTCGGGCCATGTCTTGTCTACAGGGTGTGGGGGGACAGTATGTGCACCCCCTTGCTTTCTCAGGTGGACTTTGAACAGCTGACTGAGAACCTGGGGCAGCTGGAGCGCCGGAGCCGGGCAGCCGAGGAGAGCCTGCGGAGCTTGGCCAAGCATGAGCTGGCCCCAGCCCTGCGTGCCCGCCTCACCCACTTCCTGGACCAGTGTGCCCGCCGTGTTGCCATGCTAAGGATAGTGCACCGCCGTGTCTGCAATAGGTAGGGGCATGGACCCAAGAGAGGCAGGACGGCCACCACCCTCCCTCAGACAATAAGCAGGACTTACTGTCCCTCCCTACTCTGACCTGCCTAGGTTCCATGCCTTCCTGCTCTACCTGGGCTACACCCCGCAGGCGGCCCGTGAAGTGCGCATCATGCAGTTCTGCCACACGCTGCGGGAATTTGCGCTTGAGTATCGGACTTGCCGGGAACGAGTGCTACAGCAGCAGCAGAAGCAGGCCACATACCGTGAGCGCAACAAGACCCGGGGACGCATGATCACCGAGGTGGGTGCCCTTCCAGGTCTTAGTCTTGACTGCCACCTCCTTGGTTTCCTTCGCTCCTCCCAGCTCACCCTTCTTCTTTCTCCAGACAGAGAAGTTCTCAGGTGTGGCTGGGGAAGCCCCCAGCAACCCCTCTGTCCCAGTAGCAGTGAGCAGCGGGCCAGGCCGGGGAGATGCTGACAGTCATGCTAGTATGAAGAGTCTGCTGACCAGCAGGCCTGAGGACACCACACACAATCGCCGCAGCAGAGGTGAGGCCCATAGCAGCTGTGGGGAATGGGCTCCAGTGCCACCTTGGCCTGACTTTGCTATCTGGCCTTCCTCAGGCATGGTCCAGAGCAGCTCCCCAATCATGCCCACAGTGGGGCCCTCCACTGCATCCCCAGAAGAACCCCCAGGCTCCAGTTTACCCAGTGATACATCAGATGAGATCATGGACCTTCTGGTGCAGTCAGTGACCAAGAGCAGTCCTCGTGCCTTAGCTGCTAGGGAACGCAAGCGTTCCCGCGGCAACCGCAAGTCTTGTAAGTAACCCCCCACAATCCCACTGCCCACCTGAACCCCATCAACCCCCTCCAACCCTGCTCTGTCCCTGCAGTGAGAAGGACGTTGAAGAGTGGGCTCGGAGATGACCTGGTGCAGGCACTGGGACTAAGCAAGGGTCCTGGCCTGGAGGTGTGAAGGTGCTGTATCCCGGAAATCTATCTGGACCCTGGACTGCAGTGCAGGAGATGACAGAGTGAGGAGGGCCCAGAGCAGAATTCTGGCCCCAGAACTCTGTGCCCAGGAGCCATGCCTTGAGCAGTATTAGCCGTGTGTGTATGCATGTGAGTGTGTGTGTATGTGTGTGTGTGCATGCATATGCATGTGCATGTGTGTGAGCTCCTTGAACGCACGGAGCAAAATAAAATTTTCTTAGCTAATCCAACAGGTTTCTCTTCTTTCAGGGTCCCCACCAGGCTGGGTTTGTAGCAGGAGGGAAATCCCATAGGACCAGCTTTTCCTGCCTCATCCCTCATCACCCACACAGCCATCAGCCACATTCTAAGCCATTTATTCAACGACCCTATAGAGTATAAGTATACCCAATACCTCAGACTGCTTTTGGCCCCTGGACTAGACCCTCATTGCTCCAGGCATGAGGGGCTGTGCACCCTGACAGAGCCACCCAGGGCCAGTGGCCTGTGGCCACAATGTCAATGGCTATAACCGCTTCATCTGCCGCCGCTCCTGTCGGCGCTGCCGTTTCTCATTGTGCTCTGGTGCTGGGGTGCCACTGTCTGCAGTGAACCAGGGGCCCAGCACATTCACCCACAGGAGGTAAAGGGCCCGGCCTGGAGCCTACAAGAGAAACGGTAACTTGAAGCAAGATGCAGGGAATAAAAGATGGGGAGGGTTAGATGCCCCTTCTTGGGAGCGCCCCCAGCCCACATACCAGAAGCCAGAAGGACCAGACATAGAGAGAGAAGCAGCTGAGCACCTGCACGATGGCTGTCAGTAGGATCACATCCTTAAGGTGCCTGTGGATAGAAATAAAGCTGGAAAGACAGCATATGGGCCCTTCCACCCTTTTCAAGTTGCAACTCCCTTCCACCCTTTTCAAGTTACAAGTAGCTGTGCTTCTTGGGCTATCTGGGCCCCAGCCCTGGGGCCGCTCACCTGGGCTGGCGGTGGGGGACACTCACTCTGCCATGCCCTGCTCCATGTTGAGGTCCATGCCACCATCCATCAGGGCCCCATCCTCAGAGAACGCTGCTCGTGCCATCGAGCTCATAGAGTGGTAGCTGGCCCCATACACTGCCAGACTAAAGCCCAGGGCCAACTGCAGAGCAAGAATGAGGGTATCAAAGGCCAGCCACTGACCCTACGCACTCATCCACCTCCCAGGATGGAGATACTTACCCAGGCCCAAAATGAGGCAGATGAGTAAAAGAAGACCAACGTCACAAGGCAGTAAATGGCCTGCAAGCAATCACAGGATCAGGTTGGGGTCAGAAGTTACCTCCAAACCATGGGTCTCCCTCAACTCTGACCAAGAATTAGGCCAGGCTGTGGGAGGAGCAAGGTTGTTCTTACAGGGTTGAAGAAAGGGCCCTGCTCCCTGAATCCCAAATACCCACTCTCCTCTGACACCCAACTCAGCCCAGGAAAGAAGCCTTTGTGTACTTGGAGGTAGGAAGAGCTCTCAAATTCAGCTACGACTCACGCCTTCATTTTCTTTGTGTTTTACTAGTTAGCACTTTCTCTGTGCCCAGATCTCTCATTTCTTTTTGACTGGAGCTCTCTTCTAGAGCTTTTTCGGGTACCACTCCTCGTCACCAAGCAGGGCTGAGGACTAGGGAACTGACTATAAGTGGGCATAGAAGCAAGGAGGTAGGCACTTACATTGGCCCCCAGTATGATCCGCAGGTAGAACTTCAGAGTCTCTCTGTTCTCTTCAAATATCTGCTTCTTCCCTCTCGTGCCCACTTTGCCCTTGGGCTGCAGAGGAATGATGAGATGCCGTCAGGAGGCCACGGTCCTCCTCATTCTCCCCACCAGCCTGGTGAGCTATAGAGCTCCATCCGCAACTCAGCCAGGTCCCCGTAGTGCAGAAACCTAGCAAAATCCCTGGGATGTCCACCCATCCTCCAGTCCATTCTGCCTAGGGCTGACGCCATCTCTCCAGCACCCGCAGCTAGGATCAATCGCCTCTTGCTCGCCCTGGAACAATTCAATCCTAAGCTAATACCGCCTCTGGATCCCGTGGTAGTCTGGCTTTAGGCTAACGACTCTTCCAAGGGTACTCCTGAGCGGAGTTGAATGGTGCCTCTCTCAGGCCTCCGCTGGCGTAGTCCCGATCTGGGTTAACCCCCACCTCAGGTCACTTAGATCTCTGGCCTGCCCTGGTACTGATGCCCACCCCGCTCTGGCACTAGTCCTGGTATGGTCCTGCGCCGCCATCCCCCCAGCCCAGCTCTAGCACGGTCTGGCCAGGGATGGCGCCCCGCTCTGGCCCACCCCATATCCCTTAATGTTCTTTCTCAGTTTTCACTCTCACAGCCCCTGGAGAGCTTTGCTGGTGCGGACCCCGCCCTATCCATCCTCCTTACCGCCATGGTGCGAGGCAAATACCCAGCCCGGGAAACACGGGAGAGCGACCGAAACCGCAATCACTAAGCACCACATCGGCAGCTCATGCACTTCCGGCGCAGACCGAAGTCGTCAGCTTTTGCGACGGAAATAGGTCTCACTTCCTTCCCAAGCCCCGCCCCAAAGAGGCGAGACTACATTTCCCAGAAAGCCTTGCGCAGTGGGGGCGGAGGCGGCAGGGATGCGATGGCGGAGTCGCTGCCCCTGGAGGTGAGAGGAAGCCGCCCTCAGGCCTAGCTCTGGACAGGCCCCGCCCTCGCGGTCCTGAGCTTTGGGGAGGGGCTGTCAGATAGCTAGCCCGGCCCCTCCAGCCTGGCGGAAACGACCCGCCCTCCCGATCCCGGGACCTTCTAGCTCTGGGTAACGGTTCCTCCTTTGGGCCACTCTGTCCCTTTAGCTTGGGGGACCGTCCTCCCCTTCCCTATCGGCCCCAGAAGATAGCTGCCCTGTCATCTCCGCGAGAACAGGCCCTCTGCCCATCCCCTTCCCTTGAAGTGGCTGTCTCCTCCCCGCTCAGTTCTGGAAGATGTCCGCTCCATCTCATCGTCCCGAAGGGTAACTGATCTTATCCCCATTGGTCCCTTGGGATGATCTCTCCATTTCCTACAGAGACGGCCGCCCCTTCTCCCTGGCAGTGGGAAACAGACTGCTCCCTCCCCATCAACTGCAATGATCTCTGAGTTCCTTTAACAAGGATAGGCCTGTTCCCCATTCCTAGGCCCCTAGTGATGGCCGCCCTTACCTCTTTCACTCCGTGGGATGTTTGCTCCTTCCCCTTAGCCAGGGGCAAGACCACTCTGCCCCATCTGCCAGGGAGATAACAGGTTTTGTCTTCAGTGGCCTGTTGGAATGGCTTCTCCATCTCTTTTGTCCTGAGGGTTGGCAGCCCCCTCTCTCTGCCCATGGGAAACAGGCCACCCTTTCCCATCGGTCCTGGAATGATGCTCCTGTCCTTAGCAAAAATAGGCCTGTTCCCACCCCTATTGAGCTTGCAGTGCTATCCCTTTCCCCCTTAGCTTTAGGGGCTATCTATTTCCATCCCCATAGACCCCATGAGTGACCAATCATTATCTCCAGTAGCCCCCTTGAGATGGGACTCATGGGATGGTCACTCCATCCTCATCACTGCCTCCTCTTGTCCCTCTAGAAAGGCCACCCTCTTCTTAGGTCAATGAATTGTGTCCCTTCCCGACTCACCCCAAGGGATGACAGGTTTGTTCCCCTCTCCCTTTGCTCTTGGGCTGGCTGCTTAGCCCCAGAAGACAGGATGGCCACTGTCTTAACTCAGCTCAAACAGGCTTCCGTGCCTCCCTGGAGGGATTGGGACTTGGTCAGTCCCAGTCCCCATCAATACTGTCTTCCCTATGCCTCCCTTCCTGGCCCAGAAGTCTATTCTGCCAGTCATTGTCCTCTCAGTAATGACTGCTTTATTTCCCCGACCCCTTCCCTGAGCATACTCTTGGTGAAAATAGAGGTAGAGGACTGGACTGTCCAACCTTAATTTAATCCAGTAAGCACTGGCTGAGCACTGTGCCTGCGTGCTTGGCATCTGAGAAAGGAAGGAGAGATCACAATGGGTTGGTGAAGTTAAGCTTCAAGAAGGGGATCCCAGGGAAAAGGCCCGCATAGGCAAAAGGAAATAGACATGCTGTGTGCGTAGGGCAATGGGGAGACTGGACTGGGGAAGTTTGGGGACCAGCGAGTCCAATCAGGCACAGAGGCCTGGCAGTGCTGATCCAGGAGTGGAGACTGTCCTGAGAGTACTGTGAACCCTGAAGTTTTACAGCAGGGGTGAGCTGAAACTGAAAACTGTTTTATAGGAAAAATTAACCTTGTGACAGTGTGCATAATGTATTAGCAAGGATGAACTTGGAGGCAAAGAGTTCAGGTGGGAGATTGTGGAAGGAATCCAGGTTTGGGGTGGTAGAAATCTGAGCTACTGAGGTGGGGAAGTTGCAGAGGTAGAAATTTTAGTAACAGCAATCCAGCAACCATTTATGGAACATCTAGTTGTCACACACACACTATATATATGTAAAATTTAATCCCCATGAGGCTATGATCTAGATTTTTTTAAAGTATCCCTATTTTATAGATATGGAAACTGAAACTCCCAGAGGTCAAGTACCTTGTTTAAGGTCACACATCAGTATATGTGGAAGTAGTGGAGCTGGAATTTGAATGAGTTTAGGTTAGCCTGGCCTAAAGCCTGTGCATTACACCTGTATCTGGGAGGAAGGGACAGAATGGTTTGAATAGTTGAAAGTGTTATCAGGTAGATGCACTGTTGGCATTGAAAGGGGAATTTGGGAGGAGAGGCTGTTTTGGGCTGAGGGTAGAACATGAGTTTTGGTTGAGATTAAAGTGATGGCTAAACATTTGCATGGACAGTTGGCAATATGGACTAGCACTTGGATAATAGGACAATATGGGAATATTGAATTGTTGGTTATTCCTGTGTTGGTAAACAGAAAACCAAAAGACCCAGGTCTGAGCCCTGGGAGCCACAGAAGAATCCAAAAACGAGACAATTGGGATGCAGGGAGGAAGATTCCAGAAGAAAAGAAGAGTTAATATCAAATCATTCTAGGCCTCACTGGTAACCCCTTCCCCAGTCCCATTTAGGACCTCTAACCTCACCACCCCCTAGGTGGGGGGAAGGGCCTGAGCCTCCCAGGCTAGGTCTTGCTGGGAGCGCATCTTAACAACCAGTGGAGAGGGCAAGGTGGCAGTGAAGAAGACAGAAAAACAGCAGGGTCCCAGAGCCTGAGCCATGAGGGCAGGAGGACCAAGCATGACTTCCTGAGGACCAGAGTGAGCACACCTGGCCTGCTGTGCTCTAGGTCCTATGCAAGACACTTGGCTGTGTTCTTTAATTCTCACAATAATCCATTTAAATCTCACTACAATTGCAATTTCACAGATAAGGAAAACAAAGTTCGAGAGGTCAGTTGGCAGAGTAGAGATTTGAACTAGGTTTATCTGGCCTCAATGCCCAGGCTTTTTCTACCCAGCTAGGCAGGAAGTTTGATTCTTATCAGTCAGTGCAAGCCTGCACCCAGCTCAGGAAAGGTTTGTTTACAGGAAAGATACCTGAAGCCTGGAGCGGGGAAGTGAATGCTTCGTGAAGCTTCACATCCAAGATAAAGTAGAAGCCAGGGCTCTGGTGCCCTCAGACCCATGGTGCTGTCAGCTGGAGTGGGTTCCAAAGACCTCCCACCTCTAACAGTCCCCAATGCCCTGTCTTTTTCCCTCAGATGCTCACATATATTCTGAGCTTCCTGCCTCTGTCAGATCAGAAAGAGGCCTCCCTCGTGAGTTGGGCTTGGTACCGTGCTGCCCAGAATGCCCTTCGGGAGGTAAGGCACCCACCCTCCCCCGTCCCATCCTCAGGTGTTTCTTACTTCAGCTTACTCGTGGCCCTGCTCATGTATCTCCATCCATCTATCCATCCATCCATCCATCCATTCATATGCTCATACATACACATATATACATACATTCATACATACTTGGCTCTGGGTACAGTGCTGGGGCTATACAGATAAATAAGACATAGTTCCCTAAGGAGCTCACATTCCAGTGAAGGAGAAAGACGAGTAATATGAATGATCATGCTATCGTGTGCTCAGCGCTGT
The DNA here is from genome assembly GCF_000001405.40 of Homo sapiens. NCBI lineage: Eukaryota > Metazoa > Chordata > Mammalia > Primates > Hominidae > Homo > Homo sapiens. Next base: position 67,223,546 of record NC_000016.10, on the reverse strand, counting down.
GACACTGGGAAGAAAGAGTTCGACGGGGACAGCCGGGCGCAGTGGCTCACGCCTGTAATCCCAGCACTTTGGGAGGCCAAGGCGGGTAGATCACCTGAGGTCAGGAGCTCGAGACCAGCCTGACCAATATGGTGAAACCCTGTCTCTACTAAAATTACAAAAATTAGCTGGGTGTGGTGGCGTGGTGTGCACCTGTAGTTCCAGCTACTTGGAGGCTGAGGCAGGAGAATCGCTTGAACCCGGGAGGCAGAGATGGCAGTGAGCCGAGATCGCGCCACTGCACCCCAGCCTGGGCAACAGAGCGAGACTCTGTCTCAAAAAAAAAGAGTTTGACGGAACATGAAGAAGGACATCCAGAGGAGACTGGTGGTGTCAGGGAAGGCTTCCTGAAGGAACAGGATGAGAAGAAAGGTTGGGCTTCTGGGATCAGTAATAGCATAAGTGAAGGCACCATGGTGTGGAACCAATCACACAAGTTCCATTTGGCTGGAACTAAGTGAGACATGGCAGGAGGCGAGGCTAGAATGGCATCAGGCTGCAAGCTGGCAGATGTGCCAGGCAGCAGAGTTTGGCTTTCTCCTGGTGACCATCAAGGAGCCCATTAGGCAGGCAAGTGACACAGCGTGATTTGTATTAGAACTCTGCAGTGCAGAGTGGACTGGGAGAGTGAGACAGCATAGGGAGGAGGCCAGCCAGGAGGTGAATGCAGACATCTGGGCTAGTTTGAAAGGCAGGCAGTGATGGCTCATTGTTTTAATTTTGATTTGTTTATTAGTGAGGTTGCACTGTTTTTCTCATTAGTTCACCCTTCATATTTCCCCCTTTTGTTTATTCATGTTCTGTATCCATTTAACTATTAAGGTCTTAGTATTTTTCTATTCCATTTGTATGGACTTTTTCTTTTTCTTTTTTTTTTTTTTTTTTTTTTTGAGATAAGAGTCTTGCTCTGTCGCCCAGGCTAGAGTGCAGTGGCGCTATCTCGGCTCACTGCAAGCTCTGCCTCCTGGGTTCAAGCAGTTCTCCTGCCTCAGCCTCCCAAGTAGCTGGGATTACAGACACACGCCACCATGCCCAGCTAATTTTTTTTTTTTTTTTTTAGATGGAGTCTTGCTCTGTCACCCAGGCTGGAGTGCAATGGCGCAATCTCGGCTCACTGCAACCTCCGCCTCAGCAATTCTCCTGCCTCAGCCTCTCAAGTAGCCAGAATTGCAGGTGTGTGCCACCACACTTGACTAATTTTTGTATTTTTAGTAGAGATGGGGTGTCGCCATGTTGGCCAGGCTGGTCTCGAACTCCTGACCTCAAGTGATCTGCACCCACTTGGCCTCCCAAAGTGCTGGGATTACAGGCGTGAGCCACTGTGCCGCGCTTCTTTTTTTATTTCTATTTATTTATTTTTTTGAGACGGAGTCTCGCTCCATCACCAGGCTGGAGTACAGTGGCATGATCTCAGCTCACTGCAACCTCCACCTCCCGGGTTCAGGCAATTCTCCTGCCTCAGCCTCCCGAGTAGCTGGGACTATGCATGCACCACCACGCCCAGCTAATTTTTATATTTTTAGTAGAGATGGGGTTTCACCATGTTGGCCAGGATGGTCTGGATCTCTTGACCTCATGATCCACCCACCTCGGCCTCCCAAAGTGCTGGGATTTCACGTGTGAGTCACCAAACCTGGCCTCTCTTTAAAATTTTAATTTGATTTAATTTTTTAAAAATTTCATTTGTTTGTTTTTGAGACAGAGTCTTGCTCTGTTGCCTGGGCTAGAGTGCAGTGGTGCAATCACAGGTCACTGCAGCCTCGACCTCGCCAGGCTCAGGTGATCCTCCCACCTCAGCCTCCTGAGTAGCTGGGACTACAGATGCATGTCACCATGCCTGGCTAATTTATATATATATATGTTTTTTGTTTGTTTGTTTGTTTTGAGACGGAGTCTCGCTCTGTCGCCCAGGTTGGAGTGCAGTGGCGAGATCTTGGCTCACTGCAAGCTCCGCCTCCCAGGTTCACGCCATTCTCCTGCCTCAGCCTCCCGAGTAGCTGGGACTACAGGCGCCCGCCACCGCGCCCAGCTAATTTTTTTTTTGTATTTTTGGTAGAGATGGGGTTTCACTGTGTTAGCCAAGATGGTCTCCATCTCCTGACCTCATGATCCTCCCGCCTCGGCCTCCCAAAGTGCTGGGATTACAAGCGTGAGCCACCACGCCCAGCCTATATTTTTAACAGAGACGAGATTTCACCATGTTGCCCAGGCTCGTCTCAAACTCCTGGGCTCAAGAGATCTGCCCACCTTAGCTTCCCAAGGTGCTGGGATTACAGGCATGAGCCACCATGCCTGGCCCAGAAGTTAAATTTCTCTGTTGTTGATTCTGAACATCCTTTTCTTTTTCACTTCTTCCATTGTTTTCTAAACTTAATGATTCCTTGCCCTTTTACACTTTTCTTCTGTTTTTCTTAAATAGACTCTATTACTTAGAGCAGTTTTAGGTTTACAGCAAAACTGTCTCTTCTGCTTTCTGGTTTGAATTTTTGTGTTAATGTTTTTATTGGTAAAAATTATTTAGATTTATGTTATGAGGTAAGAAGCTAAACTGATTAATTTTCAAAGAGCCCGAACACCATTTACATCTAATCTTCTCCTTCTCTGTTTGGTTGGAATCCTCTATCCCCTATTAAATATGAGTCTATAAGTAGATTCTTTTGTTGAATTATGTATACAGTGACATTCATCTCACTGTCCAAAGGAATTTTATTTTGGACATGTTGAAAGTTTGAAGTGTGAGGATCTAGATGTTGAGATCCACTTGGTAGTTGCATTTCTGAGTGAGGAATTCAAGAGAAATATCTGGGTAATAAATATAGATTTGAGTGTCATTAAAGAATAGGTGGCAGTTGAAGCCACAGATCTGAGTAACTTCCCCCGGGGAGAACATGCAGAGCCACAGAACAGCAGGCCACAGAGAAGCCCCAGGAGAGGACACAAGTCCAAGGGCACAGAAAGGAGGAGATACCCAAAGAGGGGAATGAGGAGCTCTCAGAGAGAGGAGGGCACAGACGTCAAAGGCAGGAGAGCAGGAGAGCATTTAAAGGATTGAATGAGGCCGGGCGTGGTGGCTCACGCCTATAGTCCCAGCTACTCAGGAGTCTGAGACAGGAGAATCACTTGAACCAGAGAGGTGGAGGTTGCAGTGATTCGAGATCTAGCCGCTGTACTCCAGCCTGGGCGACAAAGCGAGACTCAGTCTCAAAAAAAAATACATAAATAAAGGATTGAATGGATGATTAACAATGTCAGATCCCACAAAAAGCCCAGCAAAATGAAGAACAAATATTGTCCATGAGATATGTTATCCAAGGAGGCCACCAATGGCTTCAGTGATATTTGGCATCTGGAAAAATAAGCCAGGTGGATTGAGGAGTGAATGAGAGAAGTAGGAAGTGTAGAGCGTGACCTCGCTGGCAAGAAATTTCTTGGCCGGGCGTAGTGGCTCACACCTGTAATCCCAGCGCTTTGGGAGGCCGAGGTGGGCGGATCATCTAAGGTTGGGAGTTTGAGACCAGCCTGACCAGCATGGTGAAACCCTGTCTCTACTAAAAATACAAAAATTAGCTGGGTGTGGTGGCGCATGCCTGTAATCCCAACTACTCGGGAGGCTGAGGCAGGAGAATCGCTAGAACCCAGGAGGCGGAGGTTGCAGTGAGCCCAGATCGTGCCATTGCACTCCAGCCTGGGCTGGAGCAAAACTCCATCTCAAAAAAAAAAAAAAACAAAAAAAAAAGAAATTTCTCTACAGAAAGAAGGAAATAAATAGGGCAAGTCAGGCACAGTGGCTCATGCCTGTAATCCTAGAACTTTGGGAGGCCGAGACGAGTGGATCACCTGAGGTCAGGAGTTTGAGACCAGCCTGGCCAACACGGCGAAACCCCCTCTACTAAAATACAAAAATTAGCCAGGCATGGTGGTGGGTTCCTATAATCCCAGCTACTCTGGAGGCTGAGGCAGGAGAATCACTTGAACCCAGGGGTGGAGGTTGCAGTGAACCGAGATTGCTCTACTTCACTCCAGCCTGGGCAACAGAGAGAGACTCCGTCTCAAAAAAAAAAAAAAAAGAGAGAGAGAGAGAGAAAGAAATAGGGCAGAAATGAGAAGTTGAGATGGGTTTGACAAAGACAAAGGGATTCTCTTCTGGAGAAATCTGAAATGTGTTTGAATGCATCAGGAGACTGGGCACGGTGGCTCACACCTGTAATCCCAGCACTTTGGGAGGCTGAGGCTGGTGGATCACTTGAGGCCAGGAGTTCAAGACCAGTCTGGCCAACAAGTTGAAACCCCATCTCTACTAAAAATACAAAAATTAGCCAGGTGCAGTGGTGCACACCTGTAATCCCAGCTACTCGGGAGGCTGAGGCACAAGAATCTCTTGAACCTGGGAAGCAGAGGTTGCAGTGAGCAGAGATCACACCACTGCACTCCAGCCTGGGTGACAGAGCAAGACCCTGTCTATAAATAAATGAATAAATAAATAAAGCTTCAGGGTGGCCCGGTGCAGTGACACAAGCCTGTAATCCCAGCACTTTGGGAGGCCAATGCTGGTAGATCAATTGAGGTCAGGAGTTCGAGACCACCCTGGCCAACATGGTGAAACCCCATCTCTACTAAAAATACAAAAATTAGCTGGGCATGGTGGCGAATGCCTGTAATCACAGCTCTTCGGGAGGCTGAGGCAGGAGAATCACTTGAACCTGGGAGGTGGGGCTTGCAGTGAGCTGAGATCATGTCACTGCACTCCAGCCTGGGCAACAGAGCAAGACTCCATTTCAAAAAAAAACAACGAAAAACCCATCCTGGCTAACACGGTGAAACCCCATCTCTACTAAAAAAAAAAAAAAAAATACAAAAAATTAGCTGGGCGTGGTGGTGGGCGCCTGTAGTCCCAGCTACTCAGGAGGCTGAGGCAGGAGAATGGCATGAACCCAGGAAGCGGAGCTTGCAGTGAGCCGAGATTGCACCACTGCACTCCAGCCAGTCTGGGCAAGACTCCATCTCAAAAAAAAAAGGAAAAAAAAAAAAAAAGAGGCCGCGTGCAGTGGCTCACACCTATAATCCCAGCACTTTGGGAGGCCAAGGTGGGTGGATCACATGGTCAGGAGTTCAAGACCATCCTGGCCAAGATGGTGAAACCCCGTCTCTACTAAAAATACAAAAAATTAGCCGGGCATGGTGGCAGGTGCCTGTAATCCCAGCTACTCAGGAGGCTAAGGCAGAGAATCGCTTGAACCTGGAAGGTGGAGGTTGCAGTGAACTGAGATCGTGCCACTGCACTCCAGCCTGGGTGACAGAGTGAGACTCTGTCTCAAAAAAAAAAAAAGTAAATAAATAAATTAAATAAATAAATAAATGCTTCAGGGAGTCACTAGAGGAGGGGTGAAGATTCGGGGAGGAGAGAGGTCAGGTGTAGAAGATGGTGGCAGGGACAGGCTTCCACATACCAAGCTTGATCTGGGATAGGATGGAGAGGATATCACCTCTCCCTTTTTTTTTTTTGTTTTTTTGTGTGTGTATGTGTGTGTTTTTCTTTTTTGTTTTTTCAGCATCAGTTTGGTGAAAAAAAGGATGTCACCTCTTCCTGAGGAAGCAGAGAGGTGGGGGTGGAAACATGGAGCTATTTGCAGAGAAGTTCCTCAGAGGCATCTCCTTCCTCAGCGGCCCCTTCACTCAGTGGATTTGGAGACCAGGTTGTCTCAGGAGAGTAAAAAGAGACATAGAGGCCAGGGCTTCAGCAGAGAGGGTTGGAGCAGTCACAGGACAGGAGGAAGATGGAAAATTACCAGAGACACATAGAGAGGGTGTGGGCAGCCTTACTCAAATGTTTCTGCTGTGCCGGGCAGTGTGCTGGGCACCAGCGAGGCAAAACTGAGGAAGGCACAGGGCTGGGGAGTGTGTAGTGAGTACAGATGAGTAAAAAGAGGCTGGGGTGCTGCATTTGAAGTCTGTGTGAGGCACATCATGGGTGCAGAGAAAAGATCAGAAAAGACTCCATGGAGAAGGAGGTGCTTGGCCTGAGACTCGAGAGAGGAATAAACATTTGCCAAATAGACCAATAGGAGCCAGTGAGGGGTGGGACCCCCCCAGAACAGAAAAAGCAGCTGAGCAGAGGCGTGCGGTACAGGACAATGGTCAGAAGTGGCAGCCCCAGAGCCAGGACTAGGAGGAAGGGGAACGGGCTTGGGAAGAGCTTGGCTGAAGCAGCAGGCCTGGGTCCTAGAAGGGCTTGAATGCAGGCTTAGGAAGCTTAGCCTGTGTCCTGGAGGCGTGCGGAACTGGCAGAGGGTCTGGAGAGCACAGGCAGAATCGCCTTTTGGAAGGGTCACATGGTGACAAAACCCAGGATGGATTGGAGCCAGAGGAACTGGAGGCCAGGACCTGATAAGGAGGAAGCTGGCGTGGTCTGAGCTTAGAGGAAGCAGCTCTCGGGCTGCTGGCATACAGTATGGGGACTTCAACTAGGGCAGAAGCAGTGAGGTTGGAGCAGAGGGACAGATTGCACCGTATCAGGGAAACAAAAGTGGAAGGGGCTTGGGTCATTGTGGATGTGGGGAGTGAGGGAGGATTCTAGAATCACTCCCAAATTTCCCACTTGGGTGACTCAATAGAGGGTGGGGAGAGTTTAGAAGGAGCAGAGTTGGAGGATGAGATGATGAGTTCAGATTTGGGTATGCTGCATCGTGCCCTCTGGAGAGAGGCCAGTCAGGCACTTGGCTCCCGGGGTCTGGCGTTCAGGAACATCATGTGGATCGGAAAGACAGTGGTTGGAATGATGGCCCCATGGGGCAAAATGCAGTTGGCCAGGGTACACTCGGAGGGGCACAAAGATCGTGTGCATATGTGCACGTGCACACGTGTGTGTGTTCTTGGGTGGAACAAACCATGGGGAACCCACTCATCTGTGGACTGGATCTCTGTTCTTTGTTGACCCCAAAAGAGCCTGAAGAAGAGCAGGCTAGAAGGTAGGAGGAAAGCCAGGGGGGCAGAGTTGCAGAACCCCAGTGGAGATGGCATCAAGGGGAGTGGCTGCTGGCCATGCAGAGCAGGTGACATGGCAGAGAGAACCCTTGTGGGAGGTCTGAGGTGAAGCCCCCACATGTTGGTGACCTTGCTGGAGGGGAGTTGTTGCCAGGAATGCGTGATCCTGTGGGGGCCAGGGTGGAGGGGTGAGCAGGTGAGGCGAGGGGCAACGAGTGGCGGGACAGCAGGCATGCCTGTGCCTGTGTGCTTCCAAGAAGCGTGGCTGTAGAGGAAGGGGAGAGAAGAGAGGCAAGAGGAAGGGGTGCGGGATGAAAGGAGGCTTTTAGTTGCAGTTTAAGACTCTGGGGTGTTTGTGGCCTCTGAAGAAGGAGCAGTGGAAAGGCATAAACATCAGGGTTCTCAGAGGAGAAGGTGCAGCAGGAGAAGGAGGCCAGGAGAAGAAGTCTTCTGGAAGCAAAAGAGCAGGAGAAGGAGGAAGGTTCAGATGGGCCCTGCCTGGAGGCAGCTGGTGGACATGAACAGGGGAAAGGGAGGGACTTCCCACTTGATGGCCATCCCTGAGAATCCTGGGTGAGGGAGGGTGTATCAGTAGGGCCAGGAGCTGGAGAGGGAGGGGCTTGGAGAGAAGTCTTGGGGCAGGGTGGGAATCGAGCAAGGAGGCCATGACTTCCTGGGCGGAGTTCTGTATCCCTGGTACAGACTCAGAGGAGGCAGCTGGTCTTGCCAGCCCTGGCCGGGCCAGGAGAATGGGCACAGCAGCACGACTGAGGCAGGGCAACAAGGACCCCGAGGAGAGGTTGTCACAGGGCAAAGCCTCATGGAACCCAGCAAAGATGGGGCAGTCAGAGGAGCCCAAGTTGGGCAGGGCTGGAGGAAGGAGAAGGAAGCCAGAGTGAGTGTTTTAGAGCGGGAGCTGCTCCAGCCAACCATGCTCTCCAGATAGAATGCGGACAGAGACAGATGACAGAGCCTTGGGATAACCAAAAACAAGAAAAAGAAAAAAGGAATGTTGACAAAGACCCTTTGGTGCCTCTGCGAAACTCAGCCCCACCTAGGCTGGGAGCACTGGGAGGCCAGGCCACAGGTACCTGGCATCACCCCTACCATGTGCCAGAGAGCGCCTGCGGGACCCTGCAGGCAGGAACCATCTCCCAGGGCTCGGGCATGGGCAGGTGGATACTGAGGCAGTAGCAGTTAGGTACCAGTTAGGTGCTGTGGAAGACACTGGCTTACCGAGGCCCAGCTAGAGCTGGTGACTCACCAAGCTGGGCTAGGACGCTGGTCTTGGGGACTTACTTTCCCTGACCAGTCCCTCCTATTCCCTTAATCCCAATTTTCTCAAATAAGGATGCCGGCAAAGGCAGCACCCTCCATATGTACCGGCCCTGTCCGTTCCTGGGGGAGCCCTGGTTGTCTCTGCTGGTTGGTCCCCATGAAGCAATAGCTGAAGAGAGCTCTTTGTGCCCTCCCTGCCTGAGGGATTGATGAAGTCCTGGAGCAGCCTCTGTATGACCCACTAGTCTAACTCCTCTCTAGAGACCAATGCCCTGGGTGCCAGGGCGTACATTTCCCAACGGCCTCCTGGAGAACAAGCACGGTAGCTTTGGAGTCCTGTATTAGGCAGGACGAAGGGCCATTTTCTCTGTCACATGGCTTTCCAAGTCTGTACACAGGCCTGCAGTCTCGGTTCAGGGCTTCATTAGGTACAACAAAACCCTGGTCTCCCACAGAAAAGGTACATACGTTACTTGTAGCAGATTCAGAGCAGTTCCCAAATGATATTGCGATTACTCTTTTTTTTTCCTTTTTTTGAGATGGAGTCTCGCGCTGTTGCCCAGGCTGGAGTGCAGTGGCAGGATCTTGGCTCACTGCAACCTCTACCTCTGAGGTTCAAGAGATTCTCCTGCCTCAGCCCCCAGAGTAGCTGGGATTACAGGTGTCTGCCACCATGCCCGGCTTTTTTGTATTTTTAGTAGAGATGGGGTTTCACCACGTTGGCCAGGCTGGTCTTGAACTCCTGACCTTAAGTGACCTGCGCGCCTTCGGGCAAAGTCCAGGGATTACAGGCATGAACCACCACGCCCGGCCAGCAGTTACTCTTAAGATGCCAGCATCGGGAAGGGAGGAGACCAGGGGGCAAGGTGTTCCTTCTGTAGATGGGGCAGCTAGAGCTAGAGCATGTGGCCTTGCAGTTCTCTTTGGGTGGGTCTAGAAGCATCTTCCCAGGGCCCAGGAAGGGGGTGTCCTATACCAGGGCCAAAGTCCAGAACCCAGAAGGCCTGCTTCAGCCTGCTGCTGTTCTCTCACACAGAGAAATATCCCTGAAAGGCTGTTCCTGGGCTCCTGCAGGTTATTTATTTATTTATTGATTTAAGCTGGAGTCTCGCTCTGTTGCTCAGGCTGGAGTGCAGTGGCGCGATCTCGGCTCACTGCAACCTCCGCCTCCCAGGTTCAAGTAATTTTCCTGCCTCAGCCTCCCAAGTAGCTGGGAATTACAAACTCCTGCCACCACGCCCAGCTAATTTTTGTATTTTTAGTAGAGATAGGGTTTCACCATGTTGGCCAGGCTGGTCTCCAACTCCTGACCTCGTGATCCGCCTGCCTTGGCCTCCCAAAGTGCTGGGATTATAGGCATGAGCCACCACACCTGGCCAACTCCTGCAGTTTTAAGTCCATATGACCTCAGGAGCAGGTGACCTCAGGAGCAGACCTCAGGAGCCACCTGGGAGGTGGCTTAGAGGCTGCTCCCATCCCACCTGCAAAAATGGTGGGGCCTGGACATGGTCTCAAGCCTCTTCCGTACCCCCAGAGCTAGAAGTCCTTTAAGCCAGGCTCTGCTTCTTTATCGAGTGGCCTTGCTGCCAGGAGCCAGCCCTGGACTTGGGCCCTGGGGCATTGCCAGAGCCTTCCAAGGTCTTTTGTCCACCTGGTTCATAGGGAGGCAGTGGGAGAGAAGAGACCCTTCCTGGCCAGCCAGGCTCCAGAATGAAGGGAAGGAAAGAAGTCAGGCTGAGCCCCTGAAGGTGCTGTGCCACTGGAGCTGGGGCCTGCAGGACTTTCAGGGGTTCCTCAGTGATGTGTGACTTGGGGGAGGAGGTGCTGCCTCACAGCCAGCTCTGCCCCACCTGCCCCAGCCAGTTTCCTCTGATCTGCATGGGATGGAGTCGTTCAGCTTGCAGGGCTTGGGAATGGCTGGAGGTATGCCCTCCATTCCTCTCTGATGTTTTATTGCCCTCTCCACCCTCACACACTGGGATCTTCCCAGCCTACCTTTCACCTGAGATCCCCGATCCATTGCCCACGAGGAGACCTGTGGTGAGTGCCCCTCTCATCTGGAATGACCATGTTCCAGAAGTAGGGGCTGGAAGGGGAACCTGGCTGACCTCTGGTTCCTGTGAAAGAGGCCAGGAGCTGGTTCCTGTCTCTTACACCACTCCTTCCTGTCATTATAGCCATGGGTGCCACTTTTCTGTGGTAGAAGCCAGGCTGGCCTCTCCACACCTGGGAATGAGTCCTGTGTTTCTTAGGAGAATCCTGTTGATAAGTATCTTGCAGGAGCACATCCTGTGAGTCACTTCTACCTTCTGCATTCCTTTTTTTTTTTTTTGAGATGGAGTTTTGCTGTGTTGCCCAGACTGGAGTGCAGTGGTGCAATCTTGGATCACTGCAACCTCCACCTCTCAGGTTCAAGTAGCTGGGATTATAAGCATGCACCACCACACCCAGCTAATTTCTTTTTTTTTTTTTTGAGATGGAGTCTTGCTCTGTCACCCAGGCTGGAGTGCAGTGATGCAGTCTCGGCTCACTGCAAGCTCCACCTCCCGGGTTCACGCCATTCTCCTGCCTCAGCCTCCCAAGTAGCTGGGACTACAGGTGCCCACGACCATGCCCGGCTAATTTTTTTGTATTTTTAGTAGAGATGGGGTTTCACCATGTTAGCCAGGATGGTCTCGATCTCCTGACCTCATGATCAGCCCACTTTGGCCTCCCAGAGTGCTGGGATTACAGGTGTGAGCCACCGCGCCCAGCCTAATTTCTGTATTTTTAGTAGAGATGGGGTTTCACCATGTTGGCCAGGCTAGTCTCAAACTCTTGACCTCAAGTGATCCACCCGCCTCAGCCTCCCAAAGTGCTGGGATTACAGGCAGGAGCCACCGTGCCTGGCTTGGATTCCCTTTTGATGATGGTCTGTGGGGTACCAGCAGGGAACAGCAGCTTGTTTTTGCAGTTACTGACAAGACAGGTTTAGGGGAGGATTCTTTCCTGCATCAGGACCATGTTGATTCAAACAAGAGCCCTCTTTGAGTACCACGTGCCTGCAACATGGGCAAGAGGTAGGGAGATGGGGCAAGGATTTTAGAATCCAAGCCCTCTTCTCCCTCTCCCCAGAGATCTGTTCCACACAAATTATACCGATTTCCCTTTGGCTCACTCCAGTGCAATATCAGGAAAAGTTCTTTGAAGATATCTCCTTAGCTGGGAGCTCCTAAATGCCTGCACAAGCCAACTTATTCCCACTATGTAGCCCTGAGCTTTTCTCTTGGGTCCCACCTGACTCCAGCTGTGCACTCCCCATTATCACTCCCCTGTTCCTCTACGCAGAGCCAGCTCAACTTCCTTGGCACGGGTGAGGTGTGTTCTGTTAGCTCCCACCCACGGAAATGGGAGGCTTCAGCGTCCTTACCGTGACAGATAGATGCCCCCTCCAGAGATATGCCACAGGGATCACAAGCACATCTTGAACTCTGGAGCATCCGGGGCCCAATACCAGGCAGCTCCACGTGTTCATGCACACACACATGCACATGCACATACATGCACACACACATATATGCACATGCACACATTTTTGCTTACACACAGAACACATTTTTGCAAACATTCATGTGACAGGCTCTCTCAGGCCACCAGGGGACTTAGGCCTCACTGCCTGCCCCAGACCTCTGGCACCTGGGCCATAGAGGGTTGTGGTGAGTGACACCTACCTCACTTCTATCGCCTTCCACTCTTCAGAGGGCTACGCTCTCTAGAAAGTGGGGGAGGCTGGCTGCTTAGCTCATGCCAAGTCCCTGGAGTAGGAGGCTGAGTCCATGGATCTCAGGGCCTCCTTCTGAAAGTCCCAAAGGTTGGGGTCTGGCATACTTTGCCCTCCCACACCCTGGGGACTTCACTGGGTTTCCTCTAGGTCACATCTCAGCCCTCCTGTGCTCAGCATGCCAACTCCCCACTCTGTCTCCACCCCTCCCTCAGTATCCCATCCTGTCCATCGCTAACCTTCCCGCCTTCCTCTGATGGTCATCTCCTTTGAACCCCAGCTCCCACTTCCTACCCATACCCAACTTGACCACACATGACACCACACACCATGGTGGGTCTCCATTGTGGAAGGGCCCTTCCTTGACCTGCCCTCAACCTCTGGCCAGTGACTTGTCACCAAACCCAATGCCCAGCACCCTCTGAAGCCAGAGGGCTACCCCCAGGCCTGCTGCTGCTCCGTAGACAGATGTGCGATACAACATCCCCGTGTCCTCTGCCTCCCTCTCGGCCATCAAGAGCCTGGGCCTCAGGGGCATCTGCTGCATCAGCCTGACCAACCTGGATGGCTCTCTGGCTTCACACCAGGTGCTACAATCTGTTGCTTACCACCTGGGCCCACACCTGCAGAGCTTGTCCCTGGGTGGAGGCAGCCCCACAGAGGCCTCCTCTGTGGCCCTGATCCTGGGCTGCCCAGCCCTGTGTGTCCTTGACCTCAGTGGCTGCAATAGCCTCTTCACCTCGGGCACACTGCTGGCTCAGCCAGAGATGGCACAGAGCGTCCAGCAGGCTTTGAGCGGCCTCCGTGAGCTCAACCTGGCTGGCCTGCGAGACCTGGCTGACCTCAGCTTCAACCAGCTCAGCAGCTGTGCCCCCAGCCTGGAGCGCCTCTCCTTGGCATACTGCCACCTCACCTTCGAGCTAGGCCCAGCCTGAGGCTCCATCGGCCCCCAAGACTCCTCTCCCGCCCAGTTCTCCTTCTGCAACCTGCTGCGATTAGTGCAAGAGCGGGCTGGCAGGCTGCGTGCCCTGGACCTGAGTGGCACTGGCTTGCCCCCCGAGGCCCTGCAGGCTCTGGGCCAGGTAGCTGGGCTGCAGCTTCAGGAGCTGAGCCTGCACAGCTGCCGGGACCTCTCCACAGAGGCTGTGGCTACCCTGTGCTTCCAGCAACCAGGCCTTACCTCCCTGGACCTCAGTGGCTGCTCAGAACTGACTGATGGGGCGCTCTTGGCCGTGAGCCGGGGCCTGCGGCACCTGCGGCGCCTGAGCCTGGGGAAGCTGCAGCGGCTGACAGATGCAGGATGTACAGCTCTGGGTGGCCTGCAGGAGCTGCAGAGCCTCGACATGGCCGAGGGCGGGAACTGGCCCAGGCCCTGGGCTGTATGCACGGGGCTCCATCCCAGCTGGCCTCCCTCAGCCTGGCCCACTGCTCTTCATTGAAGGTGAGCACACCATCATCCCCTTCCTTCCTCTCCAGGGCTGAGGACAGCGGGAGAGGGGAAGCGGGGTGGTGGGGGGCCTTTGGCACCAGGGAGGGACTCCCCAGTGTTCATGCCTATGATTGGCAGTTAGAAATGAACTTGGGACCCAGTCTGGAGGAGGGCAAGAGCCTAGATAGCTGCTGTTGCTGCCAGCACACCCCCCACAAACCCCCCATTCTGGGCCTAGGAGGTCCAAGTGGCCAAGGTGGCCCAGCCCACGAGGCAGCCAACAGCTGACATGTCAAGTGTGTGGCGACCGCTGCAGTCTGGGGAGGGGCGCTGAGGATGAGTGTTCTGGAGCTGGGCGGGCTGAAGAAAGGGGGTGATGGGCAAGGAAGGCAGGGAAGGAGCACTGAGGAAGGTGCTGGGGCGGGGCCTGCGAGGGTGATGTGACAGGAGCAGCAGGGTCATTTCCTAGCCAAGGCCAGGCCCGTCAGCAGGGCTCAGCGCTGTCCCTCTGGGTGGCACCCCTGTCTTGGCAGTGTCAGTCTGTCCCTCTTTAGCGGATTATTTCTTCAGCCTGTCCATTTGACCAGGGCATTCCCAACCTAAAAACCGTCTCTCCACCTTGTTCCCCTCCAAGCGCCTCTCTTCCCGGCCTTACTCCTCCTCTTTGGCACCAAGCACGTCAGATATGTAGTACAACATCCCCGTGTCCTCTCAGCTGCTGCCTCCAGGCCTCAAGTTCTTGTGTCCCTGAAGCTCCCCTCTGTGCATCTCTCTACAAACCAGCCTCCTCTACTCTGCCCTTAGCTCCTGCTCCCCGTCCCTAACTGCTCTGGCAGCTGGCAGCTCTACCTACATCTCACTGTTTTGCGTCCAGCTCTAGAGGGAGCAACTCCGATTGGCTTAGCAGGGTCAACTGGCTGGTCCAGTTGTGAGCTGTGGTCTGAGGTGGCCTCATTCACTTTTTTGGCAGGGGCTGGGAGCATAGGCAGGGTGGCCACCCTAGGCCTTGCCACCTGCATCCTTCCTGCCCCAGCCACAGTCCAGGCCTTTTTCCTGTGGCAACCCCCATGGCCCACCCTGTCCACCCCCAACTTTCACTACCAGCACAGGGACCATGTTTCTTCCTTCCTTGGACCCTCTGGTAGCTCCCTCCTGCCTGTGGGGTGAGAACCTTGAACAGACCCTTTCTAGCTACCCCTGCCAGGCCAGGTGGCATAGGCAACCAGCTGGTGCTCCATCCTGTCTCCTCCCTTCCTCCCTCCTAGGATGCCTCAGTGCTCTCCATGATCCCAGCACTGGGCCTGAGCCTCAGGGTGCTAGACCTGTCCTCCTGTGTGGCCCTCACCAACAGGACCCTGCAGGCCATCTGCACCTACCTCACCCACCTCTCAGTCCTGCGCCTGGCGTGGTGCAGGGAGCTCTGTGACTGGGGGCTTCGGGGGCTGGGGGAGCCTGTGCAGGGGACCCAGGTGTGGGACCCTCGAGGTCTTGGAGGACGGGGTGGCCCCTGGGATCAGCTGCCCTCCTGCCCCTCCCAAGTCTCTGTAGGAGTATTTAAGGGCAAACTCAGGAGGAACCTGAGAAGCAAAGGCTTCTTCCCACAGTCACGCCCAGAGCTGGAGCATCAGGCCTCAGGTACCAAGGACGCCTGTCCAGAGCCACAGGGCCCCTCCCTGCTCACGCTGCGGGCCCTGCAGGAGTTGGACCTCACAGCCTGCAGCAAGCTGACTGATGCCAGTTTAGCCAAGGTGTGGGGCTGGGGGTGCGGGTAGGCTGAGGATCTGGGGGCTGAAGTCAGGGGTCTGGGCCAACCCACTTTTTGCTTGGAAAAAAGTTGACCTTGGAGTTCCTTTTTCATTGGCTTCTGCTGCCTCTAGTCACGCCCTGGCTGGGGTGGGAGGATCTGGAAAGGCCAAGGCTGTGGGCTCCAGTGGCATTTACCTCTCCCCTACCCTCCCCATCCTTGTAGGTGCTCCAGTTTCTCCAGCTGAGGCAGCTGTCCCTTAGCCTGTTGCCAGAACTCACAGACAACGGCTTGGTTGCTGTGGCCAGGGGCTGTCCTAGCCTGGAGCACTTGGCGCTGAGTCACTGCAGCCGACTCAGTGACAAGGGCTGGGCCCAGGCAGCCAGCTCCTGGCCAAGGCTGCAGCATCTCAACCTGTCCAGCTGCAGTCAGCTCATAGAGCAGTAAGTGTGTCCGATGACACCAGGCAGATGGAGCCACGGTGCAGGGGCTGGGCTGGGTCCCACACCGGGCCAGGCACTCATCAGGTGGCCTCCCCACAGGACACTGGATGCTATTGGGCAGGCGTGCAGGCAGCTCCGGGTGTTGGATGTGGCCACGTGCCCTGGCATCAACATGGCCGCCGTCAGACGCTTCCAAGCCCAGCTGCCCCAGGTGTCCTGTGTCCAGTCCCGCTTCGTGGGAGGGGCTGACCTGACCCTAACACTCTGAGGCCAGGTCAGTAACCAGCCCTGCAGCACAGCCTCCTTGACTCCCCCAGTCTCCAACCCTGGCCTTGACCCGGGTTGCTTTTTGCCTCCCTCTACTGCAGACCCTCTAGGACTGGGGGTGGGGCCAATCCAGGGCAGCCCAGAGGGAACATCCTGCCACACCGCCTGGCAGTAGCCTCTTTCCAGCTACACGTCGCTGCCACAGGCCCCTGGAAATGCTACCTACGTGTTGCCGCCACAGGCTCCTGCTCTCTGGCCAAGCCCTGGGTGGGAGGCCAGGCCCCCAGCGGGCAGGGTCTGGTGCTGGGAGGAGCAGAGCCTCTGCCTCTTGCCTGCCCTCCTCTCAGACCTAAGGCCGGGCTCCACCTACTCCTGTGGGACTCTCCCAGCACCCTGTGTGCACTGAGCTTCAGCAGCTGAGCCTAGGTCTGTGCTGTAAATCCTAAGATTAAACATTCCAGATAGTACCTCCTTGTCTTAAGTTCTCAGACTAAAGGGCCCCTCCCCTCCCAGCTTCAGCTGAAGTGGCCCTGGGGCAGGCGGAGAAAACCCTGAGGCACGCTCCTTCCTCAGGCCTGGCCCACAGCCCCACAGGGGCTCCTAGCATCTTCCCCACACAGTAGGAGACCCTGCAGGCCTGGGTGTGCCCTGAGGCAAAGGTACATGCTGTGCGCTTGTCCCAGCCAGATTCCAGGAACAACTGATGAATGATGCCTGAGTCAATGAGGCTGTCCTGAGGGGGAAATAAGAAGAAAAGAATGAAAGAGGCCAGCATCTCTGGGTGAGGGGGTCACTAGAGGTCACCTAATCCAGCCCCCTCAATGGTGCTGGTGACTTCTCCATGGCAGGTCTGGCCCTTGGTGTGTCCCCGCACCTCGTCTATATCCCTGTTCATTGGTTGTAGCAGCGAGCCAGGGCTCCCCCAGTACCTGCAGGGACTGTGCTTTATGTGGGGATTCAGAGGGGCCAAAGCTCTCCCAGCCCCAGGGCCAGCTGGGGAGGCAGAGAAGCCAGCTAGCAGGGACAGTCCAGTGTGCAGGGTGCGGGTGAAGAGAGAGACAAGCACCTGGGACCAGAGCCCAGGGAGCAACAAATTGGGCCTGGAGGGTCCAGGAAGGAATCAGGGCAGTGAAAATGGCCAGAAGAAAGGAAGGGGGTGATCCAGGTAGAAGGCACTGTGGGGACGCACACAGGCAGGCCAGAGCTGGCACTGAGGGGGTAGTCTAGGCAGGGAGGATGCCAGCTCAGACCAAGCATCGAGAACCCTGCAAGCCACAGGTGCTCAGGTGGAAGGGCTAAACCACGGTATGTCTGAGACTCACCTGGCTCAACTCAGGCTCAGCCATGGAAACTGTGGCCATTAACCCATGGACATGGATAGGGTGACATCAAATATATGGGATGTTTGTGTGTGTGTATGATCAGATTTATGTCGGAGAAAGCAGTTGGGGTAGCTGGTATTGAGAGGATTGGAAGTGCAAGACAGGAGGCCAGAAGTCAGGAGGCTTTTGCTATGATGGTGGCATGCACAAGGGACTGGAGACATTAAGAAGGAATAATTGACAGTTACAGGGAGGCCGACAGCATCAGGGGTCCCTGCCCCCCATTTCCACCTATAACTCAATGGCCGACTGCTCCATTTGTGGTGGGAAGTCCTTAGGCATGGGCATAGTGGGCCCTGGATGCCCAAAGATCTGCAGCTTAGCTGGGGGAGGGGGAGTAAGTGCCCTCCAGCACTGAGGGCTGAGCACTGAGGGATGAAACTGAGTTTCATCAGTTCTCAAGGTCAGCCAGGTTGATGGTTAACAGTTAAAAACAGTATTGGGGCCAGGCACGGTGGCTCACGCCTGTAATCGCAGCATTTTGGGAGGCCGAGGTGGGCAGATCACCTGAGGTTGGGAGTTCGAGACCAGCCTGACTAACATGGAGAAACCCCTTCTCTACAAAAAATACAAAATTAGCCGGGCGTGGTGGCGCATGCCTGTAATCCCAGCTACTCAGGAGGCTAAGGCAGGAGAATCACTTGAACCCGGGAGGCAGAGGGTATGGTGAGCCAAGATGGTGCCATTGCACTCCAGCCTGAGCAACAAGAGCAAAACTTCATCTCAAAAAAACAAACAAAAAACAAAACAAACAAAAAAGTATTGGAGACAGGTGCGGTGGCTCATGCCTGTAATCCCAGCACTTTGGGAGGCCGAGGTGGGTGGATCACTTGAGGTCAGGAGTTAGAGACCAGCCTGACTAACATGGTGAAACCCTGTCTCTACTAAATACAAAAAATTTAGCCAGGCATGGTGGCGCATGCCTGTAATCCCAGCTACTTGGGAGGCTAAGGCAGGAGAATTGCTTGAACCTGGGAGGCAGAGGTTGCAGTGAGCCAAGATCACACCATTGCACTCCAGCCTGGGCAATAAGAGTGAAACTCCATCTCAAAAAAAAAAAAGAAGAAAAAGAAAAAGAAAAAAAAGATATTGGAGGTAGCACTGGTGAGAGAAGAGGTGAATGGCAGGGGGAAGTCTGAGGGGCAGTGGCTTCAGCCTATCCTGTGAGCTCCACAGACTTATAGGCTCTTCTTTCCTCACGGGCTTGGGGTCTGTGATCACAGCCTCTGCCCCTGTGACCAAACCTCCAGCTGGGCCCAATACTCCTCGATGCTTCTGCCCCCAGGGGCTCTGGCCTGTCTATGGCCCCCACCCTACCCATGGTTCTGAGTTAGATTTTTAATTTGTTTTTTGAGATGGAGTCTCATTCTGTCGCTCAGGCTGGAGTGCAGTGGTGCAATCTCAGCTCGGTGCAACCTCCGCCTCCCGGGTTCAAGCGATTCTCCTGCCTCAGCCTCCCGAATAGCTGGGATTACAGGTGTGCTCGACCACACCCAGCTAATTGTTATATTTTTAGTAGAGACGGGGTTTCACCATATTGCCCAGGCTGGTCTTGAACTCCTGACCTCAGGTGATCGGACTGCCTCAGCCTCCCACAGTGCTGGGATTACAGGCGTGAGCCAAGCCCGGCCCTGAGTTAGGTTTTAATCAGAAACCGGGTCTTCCTGCACAGAAGTGGCTCTTGTTGGAATCAGCCCACATCCTCCTACCAGCCTGGGGATCCTGACCCTGCCCTTCTGCCTCTCTCCCTTCATGCCTCTCACCAGAGAACTCCAAGTCCTACAAAGGACACCAGGCAGGGCCATGCAAGCTTGAGGACTGAGGTCAGATTGTCAGGAGCCTTCTGGAGATGGCTCCCAGACTACGCCCCTGTTAACGCTGTCCAGGAAGGCATCCATTTGGGGCAGTGCCTCCTACCCTGCCAGTTCTCCTGCAGCAGGCCGGCAGCTCAGCCTCTCCCTTGGCAGGTGCCCCCAGACCACAGGCCAACCCTCCCTGCAGGCCCAGCATGGAGGGAGGCTGAGGACTCACCTTGGAGAAAGGCTGCAGTCCCAGCCTCTCCCCACCCCCTTCAGAACACCAGCCCCTCAACCGTAGCTGTCAAAGTTTGTGGCCTGGCCTGATGCCCCATCTTATCCACCAGCTAAGTTTGAAGGCAGAAGGGGAAGACTGTCACTGTCACAGGCTCAGCCCGCAAGGTACAGAGCTGGCTCAACATATCCCAAGAGCCAAGCAGACTTTATTTCTGCAGCAATCTCTGCTGGTCAGGGTGCCTGCACTCCTCTACCCACTGCCCTTCATGGCTGCTGCAGTGGCCGCAGCTGTGGCCCATGGCCAGCCACACTGTCAAGGTTCAGCGATGCTGCAGTCATAGCAGAAGTTGAAGTTGGTGGGGGGTGGGGGCACAGGGGGTGGCCGCTCGGGGATGGGCACGTTCTCCAGCTCCAGCAGACGCAGCTTGGTCTCCATGGTCAGCAGCTGCTCCAGGTCCAGCCGTGTCTGCTCGCTGCCCATGGGACTGCCCAGCAAGGCACTGAGCCCATCTGTCCACAGGTAGAACTGGGGGTGGCACAGAGCCGTGAGGGTCTGCCCATCTGCCTCCCCTGCCCACCTGCCGACCTCAGCCTGGCGGACACTCACCTCCCGCTTGGAGGGGGCAATGAAGTTGAGGTACGCTTCCTCCTCCCCACGGTCATAGCTGATTGAGAAGGCCAACTCATAGAGGTCCTGGGGAAGCAAGGGAGCGGGGACACTGAGCAGGGGACAGGGTAGGCGGGGGCGGGTGGGAAGGAGCCCCTGGCCCGCTGTACTCACCTTGTTCTGCTTCCCGGAGCCCTTCTCCCGGACATGGGGGCAGTCCTTGCCTGTCAGGAGTGCCCTCATGTCGGCCACAGGGACTGCAGGAAGAAGGCTGGGCTGAGCACTGCAGCCCTGGCAGCCCCGGGGCCCAGGGCGGTCTGGGGAGAGCAGGTATCTGGCCCCCGCCCCTGCCCGCCTTACGTTGCTCGGGCAGACTCTCCAGGGTAGGCGGGCTGGCGCCCTCCTCCATGTCTCCGTACTGCAGCAGCTTGTGGTTGGGGGACAGGCAGCAGAACCACAGCTTATCTGCGTGGAGAAAGGGAAGAGGGCCAGAGTGCTGAGAGGTCCTGACACCAAGCCAGCCGCCCTCTGCCTGCCCTCTGCCTGCCCTCTGCCCCCTGCCCATGCCCATTCAGAGACCCTGGCGCCGCCGGCTGCTGATCTTGCGGAAGAGCGTCCCCTCACAGAGGCGGAGCAAGCGCTGCTGGCGGATCAGGCCCATGAGCTCTGGCTTCAGCTTCTCCCGCAGCTCCCTGATAGAGGGGTGTCACTGAGCACATCTGACCTGGGGAGTAGCCCAGGGGGCACCAAGGAAGGTAGGGCTAGGACTGAGGATCCATCCCCCCAGACTCACAGTATAGGGGGAGCCAGTGTGCCCTCCTGGTGCAGCCGTTCAGTCTGCCGCAGCCGCAGCACCTCCCCATAAGTGAGCGCATTCACCTTGGTTCGGAAGAGCTCCAGGGAAGTGGGCTTCAGGGCCAGAGTGCGGGCCAGCTGCTCCCGCACCACCTGCATGACCTGGGGCCGCCCAAGCTCAGCTCAGGGCCTAAGCTCTGTACCCAGATCAGCCCCCTGCCCTGGCCCAGGCCTCCCAGCTCCCACCCCACCCACCTTGTCGAAGTCCTCCTGTGTAGCCCGCATCTCCTTCCAGGTCTTATTCAACAGCTGGATGCCCACACAGAAGAGCTCGTGGAAGCTCTGGTCTTGGCCGAAGAACATGGGTGAGAAGTCCTGGGCTGTCTCAGAGCCTGGAGTGGGGGGGCAGGAGGGGCTCAGGGAGAAAGTGCATACAGCCCCTGGCCCTCTCTGCCCTTCCGTCCCCTGCTCTTGGCCATGCTGTGCCCAGTCCAGGCCACTCACAGGGCTCCCCAACACGGAGCAGCTCACACAGCAGCACCGTCAGCTGGATGCTGCCCCGGGCAAAGGGGCACTCGTGCTTGTCCTCGCGGCTGCTGTTCTCCAACACAAACTGGGGGCGCAGAGAATGGGGCAAGGAGTCACAGCTAAGCCCATGGGGACCCTGCCTGGGGGATGCTGCCACCCCCCCACCCTACCCTGTCACCGACCCGGCTGTACGCGCTGGGCGCGTTTCTGGAGAAGTACAACATGTTGTCCAGGGCCAGCAGACCGGGGGGCACGCGCTCCAGGTCCTGTGCTGGGTTGCTGTTCTGGGGGAAGTGGGCACAGGCAGTTCAAGAAGGGCCACGGCCGCCTGGAACAACAGCCCTGGGCTGAGGCAGGGGTGGGGAGTTGGGTAGGGGTGATACTCACAGAAAAGCCCAGTTTGCGGAACTCTCGGGCACAGAGGGAACGGCGACGGTCAGCACTTAGCCCGGCACCCGAGGACTCCCCCTCCACCTCGAAGGCAGCCTGGCGTAGGACCTGCAGCTGCTCCCGCTGCTCCTGGGGTCAGTGTTGGGTGGCGGGGGAGGGGATCAAGATTATAGATTCAAGGCCAAGCTCTAAGCCACCCCCTGCCTTGTCCTCACCAAAGACACACACCTGGCTGTAGGGGTCCAGGGGCGTCCGCATGCGCGGCTCCAGCAGCCCCAGCATGAGAGCCTGCAGTACGTACAGGTGATGAGCCATCTCGTCGCCCATTGGTGCTGCACTGTGGATGATGTTCTGCAGGACAGCCAGTCCCTGGTGTAAGCGAGGGCTCACGGGGAGGGAGGGGCAGAGAGGTCCCCCTGGCCCACCACTTCCTACCTTATAGATGAACTGGCGAAGGTTCCTCTGCCAAAGATAGTCAAGCATGTGCTGAGGGGGTAGAAAGAAAGGGGGCTTAGGCTGGGCGCGGTGGCTCACGCCTGTAATCCCAGCACTTTGGGAGGCCAAGGCGGGCGGATCACGAGGTCAGGAGATGGAGGCCAACCTGGCTAACACAGTGAAACCCCGTCTCTACTTAAAAAAAAAAAAAAAAAAAAAAAAATCAGCTGGGCGTGGTGGCGGGAGCCTGTAGTCCCAGCTACTCGGGAGGCTGAGGCAGGAGAATGGTGTGAACCCGGGAGGCAGAGCTTGCAGTGAGCCAAGATCGCACCACTGCACTCCAGCCTGGGCGACAGAGCAAGACTCCATCTCAAAAAAAAAAAAAAGGGGGGCTTAGAGGATTTTGCTTCAGGGTGGGGCAGCGCCCACCGGGTGCTGCCCCCATCTAGCCACCGATCGACACTCACCTTGCGTTCCACAGGGCTGGCCCCCTGCAGCAAGGCTGTCAGCAGGGCCATGGCCTTGGTTTGCAGCTGCTGGTTCATCCTATGGCAAGAAGAGGGCTCAGTGGAACATTCAGGCTCCAGCCCTGCTCCCTGCATCTGGACCCCAGCCCCAGAGGCTTACACCTGTAGGTGCACCAGCAGCCTATCCAGGGGCACCTCGCTCTTGACCAGCTGGCCCAGGGCTGGGCTGCTCAAGGTCACACTCTCCAGCAGCCCAAGGGCCAGGGGAGGCACGGAGGCATCCATGAGGTTCATGTTCACGTAGCACACCACCTGTAAGGGGCGGGGGTGTCACCACCTCACCCCCATGGAAGACCGGGTCTACCACTGCCCCACTGCTCCACTGCCCCCACCCGCTGCCCTAGGAAAGCCCACCCACCTTCCTCACAAAGGGGATGCTCAGAGTCTCCCAGGACACCACGCCGTGCTCCATGAGCTCTGAGAAGGCCCTCAGGCTGAGGGCCAGCACCTCTCCTAGGCTGGAGGGGGGACATCTGGGGCTGAGCAGGACCACCCCAGGACCAGAAAGACCCACCATCTCCCCCAGCCCACACATCCCTGTGCTCACTCGTCCCCATCTTCAATGATGGTGCCTAGTATCTGGAGCCCATTACGGCTGATGACCTCCCTGGCAAAGATCATGTCCGAGGCCAGCGGAACAAGGCGCCTCAGGGCTTCCCGGCGCCCTTCAGGACTGTTACTCTGCAGCCCACCCAAGAGCTGCTCAGCCTCAAGGTCCTGGCAGGAACGGAGCAGGAGCAGAGGTGAAGAGGCTGGGCATGGTAAGGGTGGGACCTGGAAGTGTGCGGCCCCGGGCGTCAACTAGGTGGCGCAAGGCAGGGCTGGGGCGGGGGCCTCCGGGGCGGGGGGCCTCTGGACCTGGAGCAAAGGGGCAGGGATGGGGAAGGCGGGACGGGAGGGGCATTACTGGGGCCGTGCTGAGGCACAGGATGCTGCCATTCTTGATCTCCGCGCGGTTCTGGAGAAGACAGCAGAAAAGGCAGCGAGGTCAGGGAGGGCTCCGAGGACTGATCAACTGGGGTGTCGGTGAGGGCGGCTGGGGGTGAATAACAGATCGCGCTCCGGTAGTGGGATGAAGAGCCAGAGTTATCGGGGCCAGGTGGGTTAGAGGGGTCGGAAGGCCGAGCTTGGGGCTGGGGAGAGGGGACTCACATTCTCGGTGATGTATCTCCGGTGCCCATCCGCAAACTGCAGGGCGTAACGCTCAGAGTGCGTCAGGCTCCACCTGAGGGGCACGAGGCTCAGCGAGGCCGGCAGGGGGCGCCGCCCCTCCTGCCCTCCCGCCCTCCGCAGGCCCTGGCCCGGCAGCACTCACGCGTCGCACACCTCCTTCAGCACAGCGGCCAGGGGCTTCGCCTGCAAGTGGAGTGGTCATTCTCGCGGCCTGGGCAGGGAGGGATGGGGAGGAGCCTGGGGGGAGGGGTGGGGCGGGCTGCCCCGAGGGCCAGGGGGCTACCGGGAGGTGGGGCAGTGGGGCAGATGGAGGCGGGACCAGCCGGGTGACCTGGTCCAGCTGGATGAGCTGCGGGATGGCGTCACGCATCTTGATGGCAATCTTCACCACGTTCCGCGGAGGCGCCATGGTCCAGCTGGGACGTGGGCGCCTGCACTTTCCGGAGACCGTGCACCTGCGGCCAAGGGTGCACCTGGCCTGGGGCCCCTGGGGACGAGGAGGTCCTCCCTTTCCGAGACCTGACCTCGGTGTCCCGCACTCGCGGCCCAGACTGCTGCTCCTGGCCATGCAACGCGGCCTTCCCAAGGGAGCCGAGGTTAGTTCCGGGTTGGAGTCTGGGGGTAGGAAGGTAGGACGGCTCCGCCTGCCCCGCCCCGCCGAGGCGGCCCCGCCCCACACCAAGGTGCGGCAGGTGGGGGCGGGGAGGGCAGGCTGCCGGAGGCCGCCCCACCCCTAGTTCCAGCAAGGTGACCCACCCAATCACACTGCCAGTCCAGCACAGTCCCAAGGAGGGTCCCCAAAGAACCACATCAGAGCTAGCCTTAGGCATGGTTTTTATTCACTTGAACACTGTACAAATATTACAATTTCCTTTTGCTGCAAAAAGTATAAAAATAATCTTTATATAGGAATCCATTCGTTACTGTAAATCTTTCTAAATCTCTGCAAATGGCTCTAAATGAGGGTAAATGAAAAAGCCGAAATGAAGAGAGGGTTATGGGGCAGCAGGAGGTGGGGCCAATCATCAGGGCTGGACCACCCAGACTCCTCCCCAGAGACCTCTGTTCCTTCTTGGTAGCCGCCCCCACCACCTGCAGGTTCTAGGGCTAAAGGCCCAGCAGAAGTGGGCACGTGAGAGGGCCAGGAGGAGCTGGAGGGTCAGGGGGTGGGGGATAGCGAAGGAAGCTAGAAGTGGTGCTGGCATGTGCCCAGTTCCACCCCACCCTTCCCTCCTAGGGGAAGGAGCTGGCAGAAGCAAGACACTGAGGCTGGCAGGAACAAGACACTGCCCCCTATGGGGGGTAATGGCAGCTCCTCGGTTCTGTGCCACTGGGTGGCAGCCGAGCCTGGGCTGGCGAAGGCCGCAGAAAGGGAGAAGCAAACACTTTGGCTCCACGGTGATGGGGGCTGAGTCCTGTTCCCCTGCTCTGCGAGCACAGAAGTGCCAGCACAGGAGCGGGAGCTGTGGCCAGAACTGTGCGGTGAGGGGAGGCCGGAGAAGCCAGGCGTCTGTGGCTCTCAAGCTCTGTAGGGGTCGGGTGGGAGAGGTCCCCAGGCAACCCCCAGGTCAGACAGTCTGGGTCCCAGCCACACAGGGCATGTCCCTGTCAGTCAGAGGTTGAGAACAGGCACATCAAAGAGGTCACAGACACCTTCACTCTCGTCCAGGTTGTAGATATAATCGTGGTCTCCCGGGGGTGGAGAAAGACGAAGCAGAGGGGCAAACACTGCAGAGAGCACTAGTCTCAGGCCCTGGGCCAGGGCTCCCCTAGCAGCAGCCCAACCCCTGCCCACACCCACTCCCACCTTCCAGGGCCACCCACCTTCTGAGGACATCAACTCCTCCAGCAGCTCCGAGCTCATGCACTCTGGGAATGGAGGGAGCTCAGTTACTAACATTCCAGCTCCCACCTCTCCACCCACCAAAGCCCAGGAAAGGGAACCCCACCTGCCCATCAGGAACTTCACCCTTTGCCCCAGTTACCATAAGCGCCACAACAAGGTCCTCAAAAGGGCAAGAAAACAGCCATAGGACCCAATGAGCTGTGTCCCTTACCCCTAGCCTCAGGGAGGAATGCAGCAGCCTACCTCGTGTGGGATCAAAGATTTCTGACAGCTCTTTGGGGAGTTCCAAAACTGAAAAACAAGAAAGCCATGCTCAGGGCACAGAGGTCCAGCCTGGCCCCACTACAGCCCCCTGGCTTCCTCGGATCCTATACCACCCACCCTGAGGCTCCACACAGCTAAGGAGATGTAGGTCCTGCCTAGGCCAAGCTGGCACTGTCTGTTGGCCTCACTTGCTAAACCTGAATTCCTCAGTGCTGAGCCCAGGGTACCAAAGGCCCCCTGCAAGCGATTGGTACAGCTTTTCTAACTCGGAAAGGCCACAGAAGCCTCTTTCTGGGCTCAGCATGCACCCCCTGTCTGACAGAAGGTACCCCATCTGTCCCACCCTTGCTGAGCACCTGCTCTGTGCAAGACTGAGACCAGACCCTGGGTCAGGTCACCAGGCAGAGGTGGTGGCGCTACAGGGTGATGACTCCACTACAAACCTCTGGCCAGGAGGACACAGGGGAAGCAGAAGAAAATGCAACCAGAGAGGACTATGAGGGATTTCACATGCCAGGCTCAGGAGTTCAGATCTTATCTGGTGGCCCTCAAGGAGCCATTAAAGGTACTTTTGCAAACAGAGAAATGCCACATTTTTCTGTCAGGCCTGCATTTCAGAAAGATTAGTCTGTCAGTCAGGGTAAAGAGAAAGATGCTGAAGAATCCAGGACAGAGGTGGCCAGGGGTCATCCTGAGTGCTGAGGATACCAGAGGATAGGAGGGGACATCTGGGACAGACCTCAGTTAGCTGGCATGGGGTGGGCAGCAGAAGGAGGAGGGATAAGGAACTAGAACTAGAGTGAGAGCCAAGGGTCAGGCCTGGATAACTAGGGCTGACGGCTGGGTGCGCAGAGGTGGAAAGCAAGCTTCGGGAGGAAACTAAGTTCAGTTGAGGACATGCAGGAATAAAGTGTCCATTGGATGTACACAGGACGGCAGGTGGACACCGAAGTGTGCAGATTGGGAAAAGATCTAGGCCAGGCGGAGGCTGGGGATTCGTTCACCCAGAGCTGCAGCCCTCTCCAGGAGTGGAATGGGACAGAGCCCTCAAAAACAGCAATGTTTAAGGACACGCCAGGGAAGAGTTCAAGAAGCCAGTGAGATAGGAGAGCCAAAAGCTGGCATCATGATGCCAAAGGAGGAAAGAATATTGACACAGACCAAGAGAGCACCAGCAAAACACGCTGGAGGCTGCTGGGCTCGGCAGGCCTTCGGCAGCTTCTCAAGAGTAACACCGCTGTAACACTGGGGCTGGGGGGGTGACTGCTGCAACCTGAAAGGTGACTAGGAGACTAATGAATGGAGATTACTTTTTCAAGGAGTCCAGACAGAAAGGAGACAGAGAAGATGAGAGAGAGTGATACAGAGAAGTGTCAATTAGTGAGGCGGTGCTCCAAGGGGTGGCAGGAAAGGGCTTGAGAGACGGCAGGGAGTTCTGTGTTAGCCTAGGATGGGGTGCTAGAGGGGGCACCAGCACTGACCCAGAGGTGCTGGCAGAGAGCTCTCGTGTCCAGCAGGGTTGACAGGAGATCTGGGTTCCATCCCCAATTCTGTTTTCTGACCTAGGACTGGACTGAGGCTAGACTCTCTCTCTCTGCCCCCAGGGGGCAGGTACTCACCACCTGTGGGGTCTGCCTTGATGGGCTCAAAGGAGGTAGAAGGGTTGGGTCCGGACGAACTGCTGCTGTTACTGTTGCTGCTGCTGCTGCTGCTGCTGCTGCTGCTGCTGCTGCTGTCCAGCAGGGCAGAAGACTGCAGTGGCCGGGTGTCCAGTGTTGTTGGGCCCAGTGGGAGTGAACTGAGCTCACCACTGTCCTTGCTATCAGTCCCAGGGCCGCCACTCACTACAATGATAGCCCCCAAACCCAGTCATACAAGGTCAGGAAGAGGTCGTTGAAACTGGCTGTGCTGGAACCCAGACACAGGAGGACCACAAGCCTGGTTCCCAGACCCAAGGAGAATTAGGCATTGCCAGTCACCCCCAGAGGAAGTAACCTGAAATTAGTCACCACAGGAGACAGGGACACAAGACCTACAGAAGAAGACTCGTGGTCAACATGTCTGCTGTGGCCATACTTCAAGACGGGCTACCAGGGCAATTGAGACACCAGTGGATGTGGATCTGGGGGAGAAAACTGCCACCAGCAATGGCTCTTCCCACAGTCAGAGGTTCCCTGTTAAAAAGGGCCCATTCAGGCAGGCATGGTGGTTCAAGCCTGTAATCCCAGCACTACAGGAGGCCGAGGCAGGCAGATCATTTGAGGTCAGGAGTTCGAAACCAGCCTGGCCAACATGGTGAAACCCCATCTCTATTAGAAGTACGAGAATTAGCTGCGCATGGTGGGCGCCTGTAATCCCAGCTACTCAGGAGGCTAAGGCAGGAAAATTTCTTGAGCTTGGGAGGCAGAGGTTGCAGTGAGCCAAGATCGCGCCATTGCACACTCCAGCCTGGGGGACACAGTGAGACTCCGTCTCAAAAACAAAAACAAAAAAGGCTCATTCATTACCATAGCAAGGGAAGGCTAGGTGGTCAGGAAAAGGACAATCCCCAACCTGAAGAGTCTCTTCCAACTCTGAGCATGGTGTTCCACAACACAGAGATACTACCTCTTGGGCCTCTGTCACAAGCTCCCATGGTGCCTCACCTGTGATCTCAGCTGCTGGGCCAGCCATTCCCTGGACTTCTGCACTGCCAGGGACAGCAGTGGGAGTGAGCTGAGGACTATTTGGACGTGAGGCTTCCTGGGACTGGGCTAGGGCAGGCTTGGGCAGAGGTGGAGGTGTAGAAACAGCAGATGGGCTCTGGAGCAAATCTTCAGGTGGTGGCACAGGCACAGCCACAGGGGGTGAGCTCCATGCCTCCTTGTTCACCAGCAGAACCTCAATGGGACCACTCACACTCTTCAGGTGAATCTGGTACTTCTTCTGCCCATTGAGACCCTAGAGATGGGTGGTAAGGGATGGGAGATGGGTAGAATTGTAAGCAGGCTTGGCTCCTGCCCGACTCCGGGTCAGGACCACAGTGTCCTCTCCCACCCAGGATGCCCATCCTCCTAGATAACCCCAAACTCCAGGCCTCCCCCTACTTGCCCCACCCAGGACTTATCAGGCTCCACAGCCAGCACCCGCCCTCAGCTGACCCCGCCTGCCTGGGCTAAGCACCCACCTCTGGGATGGGCACCTCCAGGCTGGTGCCTGATGGGGCCCGGATGGCCAAGAGGGTATCTCCTAGAATGACATGGAGAATGGGTCAGAGCCCATGGGCTCAATCTGAGCTGGGAACAGAGGTGCCTGCCTTTTGGAGCAAGGCAGGAGATCACGGTCCCTGAGGAACTAGACAGTGGGCCTCACCCATCCCCCATAGTGGCCAGGCAGAGCTAAAGCTCTTCTCTTCCTGAGAGCCCAGGGTCAGTAACCAGGAAATCTGGGTTCAATTATGTGGAGTGAAAGATCACTGGCCACAGGCACCTCATTCCTCTACCGATGGCTGATCCCTAGGTGAGGGTGTTCTAGCCAAGGCCAACATCCCTTTCCCATGACCAGTCAGGAGCATACAAGATGGAGAAGAAACACATCAGCGGGGCACAGTGGCTCACACCCATAATCCCAGCACTTTAGGGGGTTGAGGAGGGAAGACAGCTTGAGCTCAGGAGTTCAAGACCAGCCTGGGCAACACAGCAAGAGCCCATCTCTTAAAAAGAAAAAAAAAGGAACAGATCCTGTATTCACAATGCAACTAAACTAACAAGTTGGAAGTGGGCACCCCCATGCCCTGCATGTAAGAGCCTGCACACAAGCAAATACACACATATCCTCTCTCCCTCTCTCCCCCTTGTGCCTCTATCATACCCAAGAAGCCAAATCCAGGAAACAGTAGAGATGGGAACAGACCCAGGGACCCACTCCAGAATTTCTGTACCCTTTTGGTATAGCTGACCTCCACAGGGTCCCAGTGACACTCAGACAGAAGACTTACCCTGCCTGGTTCCTCTCTGAGCAGGCCCCAGAAACCCTCTTAAGAGACAGAACTCTCCTAAGACACTGAGCCCAGTGCTCAGGACTTTGGCTGAGCCCAGCCCACCCCCTTACCCCTACCCAGGCTCTGCTCACCAGCAAAGCATCTGCAGATGTCCTCATGAGTGACGTAGGCCAAAGTGTGAGGGTTAAGGAGAATGGCTGATGCCCTATGGTGACAGATGGCAGACTACAGAAAAGACCCAATTCTTTAGCTAAGGTCTGACACACAGGCCCTCAGAGACCGTTCTGGGGACTCAGGTCCACCGGGGGAGGGATCACAGGCTAAGAGTGGAAGGGGAGGGGCTCTGAGGAGGGAGCCTGAGGCTGGGCCATGGCCAGTGGCTATAAGACAAACTCCCAAGAGGAACAGGACTCAGGGCAAGTTGAACCAGAGGGCCCCTTGCCCACTCCCCCCAGCAGGGACCGCCAGGAGGATATCAGCTGTTCTGCACGTCCTCTGTGACGTTCCGGATGCTCTGCTGCACCCACACCTTGTGCTGGTCTAGTTCTTGCTCCCGCTGCTGCAGCTCCTCGATCTCTGCCTTGAGCTCAATCAGTTTGTCAGCAATCTCCCGGGTATTGCAGCCAGGCCCCACACCCCTGAGCCCAGGGAGTGGGGCTGAGAGGGACTGCTGAGAACTCTGGGTCCCATGGCCCCTGCCTTCTTCGGCACCCTCCACCCCACGCCCGACACTTCTGGGTGGGAGACTCTACTACCCTCCCACTATGCCCACTCACTTCCACTGGATGCTGTTCTTGGACTTTTTCTCGATTAGCCCGATACCTTCCAAAACATTGGTAATGTCGTAAATCCGCCGCTTCTGGCGTACAGCTAGGGTGTCAGCTGCCTGGCAGAGAGAATGGAGAATGCTCAGCCCCACTCTGGGGTGTACCCCCAGCCACCCTGAGACGTGGTCTGGGAAGGGAGTAATCTGGATTCCAACCCTGTAGTGCCTCCCAGGCGCTACTGCAGCTCAGGACCGCAGCTCTGTCCCATAGGCAGCTCTTCTCCTCGCCAGCCAGGAAGGGCCACGAGGACGAACACCTGCAGCCCGAGCCTGGCCCATAGCTGTAGCTCGATGGCCTCGGCCGAATGAATGAAACATCCCCCGGCTTCTCTCCTGTGAGAAAGCACACGATGGCGGCCGGCTCTCGGAGGACCCAGCTGGGCCGCCCCCGGGGTTCCCGCTACCGGCCCAGGCCTGGTCCACCAGCCTCCCTTGTCTCCCCTTAGCCCAGGCCGCACCAGCTTGAGGTCAAGCACGCCGTCCTTGGCCTCCTGCAGAAGGGACACGAACTTGGTGGTGAGCAGTCCCAGGCTCTTTTCGTGCCGGCTTGGAGTGCCCGGGGGCGGCGGCGCCTGTGGCCCGGCCTCCGCCATCGCGCCCGCCCGCCGCCTCCCCTCAGCCAGGCCAGGCCAGGCCGGCGCCGCCGCCACTTCCGCTTCCGTTCCTGGCCGCCGGGCAGCCGGAGCCAGCGTTACTGCTTCCGCTTCCGTCCCGTGCGCCTTCCAGGGAACGTGGCGCTATTGCTGTCTGTGGGTGCAGCCGCAAAACTTCAGGGACCAGTAGCAAATGTCCAGCCTCCGAATAAGACGAAAACTACCTGGGTAGACCGGGGAGTTGGGATGAAGTTGGGGAGGAATGAGAAGGGCGTCAGTGGGCCGCCCTGGCAGTAGAGAAGGGGACGCCATCGGAACTTTCCTTGCCAATCTGCCCCAACATCACTAACTCTGCCTAGTCCCCATCTTGGGAGAGGAGACCACACTACCTGACTAATCCAATCTGCTCCCTCAAACCTGTTCCTTTTCCATTTTTTTCTCTTTATTTATTCTTTTATATATTTCAAACTCATTTTACTGCCACATCAAACCTGTTCCTAAAGGCTGCCCTACTGTCTTGGGGTCACCCCATCTATTCCTATCCCTCACTTCCTGCCAAACAGCAAGCACTAACTATATCTACCTTGTCCACCTTGTTCCACCCATGGTCCTAGCCTCATCTTTCGCTCGTCTTGTCCTCACAGTACAGTGCTCAGAGACTATGGGGTTATGAACACTTCAGCCAATGCAAACGTGTTTACCTATGTGTAAATATCAGTAAAGCACTCAGTCATTCCTGGCATGCAGGAATGTGTGATACGGTCATTTTGTAACTTTTAACATTGTTACTATTTATTATTGTTTCTTTTAGATCAGGTCCTCTGGGAAATGGGACTCGAGATAGGGTTTTGCAGCAAGTTTGTTGGGGATCCACACTTTTTTTTTTTGAGACAGGGTCTCACTCTGTTGCCCAGGCCGGAGTGCAGTGGCAAGATCAATGCCGTCTCAGCTTCCTGGGCCCAAGCGATTCTCCCACCTCAGCCTCCCAAGTAGCTGGGACCACAGGCATGCACCACCATGCCCGGCTCATTTATTTTTAGTTTTTTAGAGATGTGGGTCTCACTATATTGCCCAGGCTAGTCTTGAACTCGTGGGCTCAAGAGATCCTCCCACCTCAGCCTCCCAGAATGCTGGGATGACCGGTGTGAGCCACCGCACCTGGTCAGGATCCACACCTTTAAGGGATTAAGACAAGCAGAATTGAGCAGATGCAATTATATTATAGGCCTCAGCCTATCCCACTAGGATCTCTGAAATTGGGGTAGCACTTCTGAAGGGTTCATGTTCACACGATGGTACCATGCTTTTGCACCCCAATATTGACTGAGAGACTCAGTGGTGTGATCTCAGTAGCCTACACTCCTGGCAGCTGGAGAATGAGCACTTCTGTCCTGAAGGGTGGATTTGGGTGGTGGACTGAACATCCACTAAATAATTACCACCTTATAGTCCCTTCCCTGGCTCCCTATAACTCTCAAGATAAACACAGCTGCCCAGTTGCGGTGACTCACGCCTGTAATCTCCCAACACTTTGGGAGGCTGAGGCAGGCAGATCGCTTGAGCCCAGAAGGCTGCAGTGAGCTATGGTGGTGCCACTGTACTCCAGCCTTGGTGACAGATCAAGACCCTGTCTAAAACAAAAAAGATAAACACAGCTTTCATGACCCTCTCCTACCACCCCCCACCACACCCCTCTTCACAAGAGCCTGCCACCTCTCACTCCTCCGCAGAGGTACACATCCTCCTCAGAGGCTGGCCAACACAGTTTTCATCCTGTGCTGTTGATGTCGTCTGCATCCATATCTGCACACTCTGCCCACCACCCCAGGTTGAGGCCAAGTCTAGCAAATCCCTATCTCCTCTCCTGAGCACTAAGAGGTTCTGGGTAGGCTGGTCAAGACTGGTTGAGTACAAGTACACCCCACCCCCCCGCCCCTCAGGGAAGTGTCGCCCAGCTGTCCCCACCCTCTGTGCAGACACTCTTTCCTGTTGGGAATAAAATGCCAGAGACTCAGCTTCCTTCCTTTCTGTTGATGGCCTTGGGGAGGGAGGAGCCTCGGTGGGAAGAAGGGGCTTCTGGGTGGGGAGTGGGAGAGAGACTTCCTTGGGGAGAGGAATTCAGCTGCACGCTGGAGTCAGCTGGAGTTGCCCAGGCCCTGTGAGCAAGTGGCAGGCGTGCCCAGCTGCATTGGGGAGAGGGCTGTTCTCAAGGCCAAGGTCATTTTTGGAGGGAGAACTGGACGCCTGATCAAATCTGGTAAGTTCTGTACCAAACTGTCCTGTGCAGCTCAGAGCAGGACCAGGGTCCAGTGGAGGCCTGTGCCCACTCTGTCTCGCTTGACATCTGCAGGGGCACGACTGGGAAACCTAGCAGGCAAAGCCTCCCAGGTGCCCTCCGCATCACACCCGCTCCCTCTCACTTCCCGAGGGGGCCGGGAAGAACCTCCTTCCTCCTCTCAGAAGGGCTTAGACAGAGGCAGCAGCTCACAGGGGCATCTACTCTGCCTGCTTGCCCCGGGCCCACCTCAGCTCTGGCTCCTCCAGGCCCACAATGGACTCAGCAGCCAAGGATGAGATGCAGCCGGCGTTGTCCCCTGGTATGAACCTTTTGGGTGGACTAGGGGAGGAATGATGGCAACAAAGATGGGACTGGCTGGGCGCAGTGGCTCACGCCTGTAATCCCAACACTTTGGGAGGTCAAGATGGGCAGATGACCTGAGGTCAGGAGCTCCAAACCAACCTGGCCAACATAGTGAAACCCCGTCTCTACTAAAAATACAAAAACTAGCTGGGCGTGATGGCACGCGCCTGTAATCCCAGCTCCTCGGGAGACTGAGGCAGGAGAATCGCTTGAACCCGGGAGGCGGAGGTTACAGGGACCCGAGATTGCACCACTGCACTCCAGCCTGGGCAACAGAGCGAGACTCCATCTCAATAAACAAATAAACAAACAAATAAATAAATAAATAAATAAATAAGAAAGCTGGGACTGGGGTCGTTGGGCCCTCCTCCCTGACTACACGGCTGCCCAGGCTCTTCCTTCCCAGGACCTGAGTGGCCAGAGCAGGAGCGGGCAGAGCAGCTGGCCCGGGGTGCAGCGCTCAAGTGGGCCTCAGGCATCTTCTACCGGCCGGAGCAGCTGGCCAGGCTAGGCCAGTACCGCAGCCGCGAGGTGCAGCGTACCTGCTCCCTGGAATCGCGCCTCAAGGTGGGCATGGGGCAGGGGGTGCGGGTGCTGGGACTGTGCTGCAGGGCTGGCCCAGCCTCATGGCTCCATCTTTCCACAGTCAGTGATGCAGTCATACCTGGAAGGCGTGCAGACTGGTGTGTGGCAGCTGGCCCAGGCCATTGAGGTGGTGCAGGGAACCCGGGAGGCCCTGAGCCAGGCCCGTGGGTTGCTCCAGGGCATGTCCCAGGCCTTACAGACTCTAGAGCCCCTACGGGAGCGGGTTGCCCAGCACAAGCAACTGCAGGCCCTGTCTCACCTGCTGCCTCGGCTGCGGGCAGGTGAGCATGCAGGGACCCTGGGCCTCAGCCTCCAATAGTCAGTCCACAAACACCCATCCCTAATCAAGGGGCTGGGGCACTAGATGGGGAACTGCATAGAGCAGCACACCAGGGACCTCCCAGACAGTAGCCCGGGCTTCCCATGGCCTATGAGGCAGCTCATCCTGGGATTCCCACGTGTGGGATGCTTGAGTCAGGACAGACACCCAGTCATGTGACTCTGGCCACCTGGTTATCAGTATATTCAAACTCTTCCCTAACAGAGTGGCTGAGCGAGTACTGGCAGGACCCCCCGATTTCCCCTGCCTTCCCTCCAGGATCCTCAGCTTCCTCATATTCCATGAGTTCATGGGTTGACCTCTGGCCCACCAGGTCTTTAGGACATTGCCAAGATCCTCTTAGATTGGCCAGTACTCTACTGGTTATTTATTTATTTATTTATGGTTTTTTGTTCATTTTTTGTTTTGTTTTGTTTTTGAAACAGAGTCTCACTCTGTCACCCAGGCTGGAGTGCAGTGGTGTGATCTCGGCTCACTGCAACCTCCATATCCCAGGTTCAAGCAATCCTCCTGCCTCAGCCTCCCCAGTAGCTGGGATTACAGGCATGTGCCACCATGCCTGGCTAATTTTTGTATTTTTAGTAGAGATGGGATTTCACCATGTTGGCCGGGCTGGTCTCAAACTCCTGACCTCAAGTGATTCACCCACGTTGGCCTCCCGAAGTGCTGGGATTACAGGCATGAGCCACTGTGCCCAGCTTACTCTACTGGTTGTTAAATATTTTATGCATCACCCCCGCCCTGGGCCTCAGTATCCCCTGCTGTACACATTGAGGCGGTGGGAAGGCTGAGACCCAGGGCCGTCTCCTTTTCACTCTCATTAGTGCCGGCTGCAGTGTCCCACACACAGACTCTGATTGATGGCCAACAGTTCTTGGAGGCATATGTGAGCCTTCGGGAGCTGGAGCAGCTGCGAGAGGATACGTGGGCACCCCTGGGGGGCCTGGAGTTGCCAGTCTTCCAGGGGCTGGACCTTCTGTTCGAGGCACTGGGCCAGGCTGTGGAAGCAGCTGCAGGGGCCGCAGGGAAGCTGGCACGGGAGGACCCAGCCCTGTTGGTGGCTGCTGTGCGTGTGGCGGAGGTGGAGACTGGACGAACAACCCCCCTGGGCCAGGTCCCCCGGGACTGGCGTCAGCGCTGTCTGAGGGCACTACAGGAGGGCCTGGAGCAGGCCCACTTTGGGTCACCTCTGCTGCCTGCACCAGGGGCCCTACCAGGGTGGCTGGAGGCTCTGCGAGTGGCCCTGCCAGTCGAGTTGGCCACAGCTGAGGCACTAGTAGCGCCTTGCTGCCCGCCACAGTACAACGTGGTCCAGCTATGGGCCCACACGCTGCATAGTGGTTTGCGCCGCAGCCTGCAGAACCTCCTTGCAGGGCCTGAGCTAGAAGCTGCGGATGCCTTCGCCTTGCTGCACTGGGCACTGCATGTGTACCTGGGGTCAGTGCCTTTGGGGCAGCGGGACATGGGGGATCAGAGGCTGGGGGCTTGGTGGCTTGGTGTGACACCAGGCCACCTATCTCCAGGCAGGAAATGATGGGGAGCCTGGAGTTGGGGCCTGAGGCTGATGTGTCCCAGCTGGAGCCCCTTCTGACCTTGGAGAACATTGAGCAGCTGGAGGCAACATTTGTGGCCAACATCCAGGTGAGTAGTTGAGGCACAGGTCCAGAGAAGTCCTACTTATCTGCTGTGGGCCTTTATCTGCAGAGTGGAATGTCTACCCATCTCCAGCAGGGTCAGATCCCTGCTACATTCCTTTGCCCCTGGCCCCTCCCCCCAGGCAAGTGTGTCTCAGTGGCTGCAGAATGCACTGGATGGGGAGGTAGCTGAGTGGGGCCGGGAGCATGGGCCCAACACAGACCCGTCTGGCTCCTATTACTCACCAATGCCAGCCATTGTGCTGCAGGTAGGTGGGAAGTGGCCAGACAGGCAGGCAGCCTCCATGGGGCAGTGGGGAGGAGAGGAAGGAGGGAGGCTTTGCCGATGGCTGCTCATTTCTGCCTGCAGATCCTGGAAGAGAACATTCGTGTGGCCAGCCTGGTCAGTGAGTCACTGCAACAGCGAGTGCATGGCATGGCACTGTCAGAACTGGGCACATTCTTGAGGAGGTTTGCTGAGGCACTGACCCATTCCTGATCCCTATCCCTGCTCCCCAGGCAGCCCAAAGGGGCTCTGAGTGAATAAGACATGTCACAGGGAAAGGGCTCTTTCAAACAAGGACTTGGGTATCTTGGAGGTGGGACAGGAGTACCAGGGACTGGGGCTGTGGGGATGCCAGCATAGCAGCAAGTCCAGGAGCCACCTCTGCCCATTGCAGCTTCAGTGATGCTCTGATCCGATTCTCCCGAGACCACTTCAGGGGGAAATCAATGGCCCCTCATTACGTGCCCTACCTACTGGCCGCCCTCAACCACAAGTCAGCACTCAGGTACCAGAAGGCCCCCAGGGAACCCCACCTTCACTAACCCCCTATTGAGTACCTATTATGTATGGGCTCAGCCCACACTAGGACACTAGGGACTTTGGACTCACATCGCCCTGGGGTTCCAATTCTAGTTCTGCTAATTACTAGTTGTGTGACCTTGGATGAGTTACCTAATCTCTGTGAATCTCACTTTTCTCATTAGTATTATGGGGGTACTAATGGAATGTTCTGAGAATCACATGAGATAACATGTAAAGTGGCCACCATAGTGCCTGGCACATGGTGTCAATTGTTCATTCGTCCAGCAAATATTTCAAGGCCCTACTCTGTGCCAGTAATGTCTGGGGTTACAGCTGTGTGTATACACGCACACACACACACACTCCCTTCCTCTTGGGTGGTATGTTCTTTTTGGTGGGGGCAAGGAAAACAAGTGATGATTTTTTACTCCCTCCTCACTGGGATACTTCCCTTCCTTTACGAATGAGGAAACAGAAACCGAAAGAATGTTTTCCTCAAGGACGCACCGCGAATTTGAGGCAGGTCTCGCTGGGCTGTGTCCTTTGCAGCTCGCCAAGCGCCCGTCTCCCAGCCCTGG
This sequence comes from Homo sapiens, assembly GCF_000001405.40. Taxonomy (NCBI): domain Eukaryota; kingdom Metazoa; phylum Chordata; class Mammalia; order Primates; family Hominidae; genus Homo; species Homo sapiens. The sequence goes on along the minus strand of NC_000016.10, from coordinate 67,185,641 downwards.
TCCATGCCTGGGACCAGAAGTGCAGAGAGCCGCTGTTCTCGCTCCCTCCCGTCAAACACTTGCCCCACAAGGTGGCGCCGGAGGGTCTGGACCACCGAGGGCCATGCGGGCCTTGGCCTTGGTCCTGAAGCCGTAGTTTTGCTTGGTCCAGCTCCTCAGTGTCTGTCCTGCAGCTGGACGGGGCGCCTTCAGGGGCCTTGGCTCCAGTGGAAGCTGCGCTGGACGAGTTGCAGAGGAGGATCTACCGCTTGGTGTTGGAGGCGCTGCAGGCGGAGCTCCAGGTGAGGCCTCCTTCAGGTCAGGATGGGAGCAGGTGGAGAGGTGGCGGTACAGCTACGTATGGGGGTCTCCGCGGCAATGCCAGATCTGGATCATTTCCCCAGCCCCTGTTCGCGGATCTGCCCTCGCGCCAATGGCTGTCGAGCCCTGAGCTCCTGCAAAGTGTGTGTGAACGGACGGGGCGCTTCTGCCGGGACTTCTGGCGCGTGCGGAACCCCACGGTTCAGGTGGGTTGGGGGAAAAGATTGGGGAAGGGGCGGCGCGGGTGAGAGGCGACCTGCACCCGCCTGATTGCCTCCCCGCAGCTGCTGCTGGCTGAGGCCGAGCGTGCCGTGGTGCTCCAGTACCTGAGCGCGCTGATGCAAGGCCGCCTGGTGTGCCGCGGAGCCGACGAGAGGACCCAGGCGGCCGAGCGCCTGCGGCACGATGCTGCCCAGCTTCAGCAGCTTTTCCTCAGTTTGGTGAGAGCTTCTTGGGCGGGCAGACGGGCGAGAGTCTCAGTGGCTGGGTGGGAGAGAGGGCTGGCGCGAGACCCTACCCCGACGTGCTCAGGGCCTGGAGGAGAACGCGCACTGCGCGCCGGTGCTGCTCGCCCTGAGGGAGCTGCTAAACCTCCGCGACCCCGCGCTGCTGGGCCTGGAGGTGGCTGGCCTGCGGCAACAATTTCCCGACGTGAGGTGCGGACTGGGGGCCAGAAGGGAAGAGAAGCCGGAGGGCGGGGAGGACGGGGCTGACGCGCCTCCTTGGTGCCCCTGCAGCGAGGACCACGTCTCCGCCCTCTTGGGCCTGCGCGGGGACTTGTCCCGGGAGCAGCACCTGGCCGCGCTCAGCTCCCTGCAGGCTGCGCTGCCGCCGTCGCCCCGCGCGAGCCGCCGCGTCCTCTTCAGCCTAGTGCCCGCGCCCGCGCTCGCGCCGGCCTCCTGCCTGCCCTCGGGGTCCTGCGCCCGAGCCCTGCTGCTCGCAGAATAAACCACGGCTGCCGGACGCCTGAGTCTGTGTGTGTTGGGGAAGGTGGGATGGAATAAAAGTGCCCACGAGGGTTGAGGGAATTCTTGCAGAGTGACACGCTTAAAGTATCCTGGCTCCCGTCCTGGTACACGGGCTGCGCCCCGCCTATGCAGGCATCTGCCCTCTGTGCAGACTGCGTTCCCGAGGCCGCGGGCTACGCCCCCACGTCTCCGCGCCCAGGCCGTGAGCAAGAGTCTCCGCCGCCCTGGCCGCCTGGAGCCCCTGAAGCCCAGCAACTCGCTGTGGCCTTGGGAAGGGGGCGGGCCCAGGACCACGAACACCGCCCCCTCAACCCTGCCTGGCTTCGCTCCCAGTGGCCTCGGGGGCGCGCCGCCGCGGAGACTGACGCGAAGCCCCACGCTTTCGTAAGAGCGTGCGCGCGCCCGAGGACGTACGTCATCGGCGACGGCTCCCGCCGGCTGGGCGTCCGGTGGCCGGTGTAGCAGAGCGGGAGCGGCGGGCGGCGAGCAGAGGAGCTAACAGGTGGGGGCACGGCACGCGGACGGACCCCCCCAAAGGCCGGGAGGAGGCGCGCGACGCGACCTTTCCTGATCTCCCGGAGAAGCCTCCACTCCATTGTCTCCTGGCCCCACCCTCCATTGGGCACGCCCTTCACCTTATCCCCCACCACTTATTGGCTGCAGGTCACGCCCCTCCTCTATTTCTGGTTCCCCATTGGCTCTTCACCTTGTCCTCTCCGGGGCTTCTCTCCGCACAGGCCACACCCTCTCATTTGTCACTAGACCCCGCCTTAATAGTGGGGGGCTCCTCCCCCATCCATCCTTCATTCATTATGCACCCAGTGCTGGGTGCTTGGTACACGGGGGTGAATCAGACCCCATTCCTGCCTTCGGGGAGTTCAGGGGATTGTGGGAGGACACGGACCTAGACTCCAACAGTGACAGCTCTGAGTAAAGAAGTCGCCGAAGCAGTGGGACACTAGACGCGGGGAAGGCTTCCTGGAGGAAGTGAGGCCTAAACTGAGCCTTGAAGAATGGTTAAGAGTTTGCTCCAGGAATATATTGCAAAGGCATTCTTGGCGGAAGGACCCGAGACGTGAAAAAAACAGGCGTATTCTGGTAATTTCGAGGAGGTATGTCGAATGAAAGAAGGGGAGATGGAGGGGACTGGGCCAAGCAGAAACCTGTAAAGGGGTGAGGAGTCCAAAAAACTGTACAGTTAGTTAAAGGGAGTGAAGCCTGGGACCTGAAGTCTTTTCAAGCAGCTGGTCATTAGGCAGGGTAGAGAGGAGTGGAGAGGGGGAAGATGAAGTCTAGATAGGGAAGCAAAGTGCAGGGAAGGAATAATTCTAGTTCTGAAAGAAGAGCTCTTGGATTCATTTATTTATTGAGCAATTGCTGCGGGCCAGGCACTGTTCTGGGTTCTGGGGACACAGCTGTGAATGTTGGAAAAGATAAAACAGATAACTATCAAATATACCTATCATACAAATATAAACTGTACTGAAGTACACTCCAGATGGTGATGACTGCTACAAAGAACAATAATTTGGGGAAGGGGAGATAGTGGAGAGGGGAGAGGAGGTTTACTATTTTATTGAGGGTGTGTTAGGCTTTTCTAATAACATGGTATTGATGCAGAGATTTGAGGAAAGTGAGAGAGTGACCCATGCCATTATACAGGGGGAGGAACATCCCAGACAGAGGACATATTCTGTTTGATATGCCTATTAAACATTCAAGTGATGACACTGCAGTGAAGATGGACATGATGGCATGTGCCTGTGGTTCCAGCTAGTTGGAAGGCTGAGGTGGGAAGATTGCTTGAGGCCAGGAATTCAAGACCAGCCTGGGCAAATAGACAGTATCTCAAATTGCACTGAAATTGGCAACACTGGTCTAAAGTTTATGGAAGAAGTCTGAGCTAATGTATGTAAAACCACAAGAGTGGATGAGAACATCTAGGGAGTGAACGTAAATGGAGAAGTTTCCATAGGCAAGTCCTGGAGCATTACAGTATTAAGAGGTCAGGGAGACAGGGATGACCAGCAAGGTAGGAGGAGAACTAAGTTCGACTGTGTTTGGAAAACCAAGTGGACAGCATGTTTCCAGGAGGCAGTGACTTTTTTTTTTTTTTTTTTTTTTGAGATGGAGTTTCGCTGTTGTTGCCCAGGCTGGAGTGCCATGGCACAATCTTGGCTCACCGCAAACTCCGCCTCCCGGGTTCAAGCGATTCTCCTACCTCAGCCTCCCGAGTAGCTGGGGTTACAGGCATGTGCCACCACGCCCAGCTAATTTTGTATTTTAGTAGAGACGGGGTTTCTCCATGTTGGTCAGGCTGGTCTCGAACTCCCGACCTCAGGTGATCCGCCCGCCTCGGCCTCCCAAAGTGCTGGGATTACAGGCGTGAGCCACCCTGCCTGGCCTCCAGGAGGTAGTGATTAACTGTATCGGGTGCTGATCAATATGAAGGTCATTGCTGGTCATTGGTGACCTTGATCAGATCAATTTGGATGGAGTGCTGGGAACAAAAGGCTAATTGGAGTGAATTTAAGAGAGAACAGGAAAAAAGGAACTGGAGACTGGGTATAGATGACTCGAGGTATGTGCTGCAATAGGAGCAAGTGGAGGGAGATGCAGCGGGGCTGTAGCTGGAGGAGTGTGGGTTCTAGTGAGGGTTTTGTTTTGTTTTTTAAGATGGAGAAGTAACAGCATGTGTTTATCCTGATGGAAAGAGTCCAGTAGAGAGGAAGAGATTGATGATGTAGGAGAGAGGAGAAATGCTGGAAGTGAGTCACTGAGCAGGCAAGGGAGCTCAGCAGCTGGAGCCTCTCCAGGTAGTCTCTGGGGAGGGTTGGGATTGGACTGAGTCCTGGAACAGAGTCGGGGTGAGCGCCCTGACACTGGCTTTGGATGACCACTGGAAAGATCCCTCAGATAGGGGACAAGCCAGAGATTGGCTTGGATTTGCTGAAGCTTCCTTCTGCTTCCCAAAAGCAGATTCTAATTTGGATTTCAACAGATGGCTCAGAGGAGAGAGGGCATTCTGGGGGGTACCGGCGTAAGCATGGGGCCCTCAAACATTGAAACTGACTGAGGCCAAATAGGCAGGAGGATATGGGTAAAGCCAGGTGGATGGGCAGGGGTGGCACTGAGAAGATGCCATAGGCTGAAGGCAGTCCCTGAGGTCTTCTCACCTACCTAATCTGCCCAGGCAGCTGAAGCTGCACTGTACCACCTCCCAGATTAAGTGAGTGAGCACAGAGATTAGAATCACGAGTAAGGGGCTCAGTCCTTGCCTTCAGGAGCTCAGGCTGAGAGGATTCCAGTAACCACCACCTAGGTGGGTGTTTAAAACTCTTGCTTTCGGCTGGGTGCGATGGCTCATGCATTTAATTCCAGCACTTTGGGAGGCTGAGGCGGGAGGATCACTTCAGGCCAGGAGTTGGAGGCTGCAATGAGCTATGATCATTGCACTGCACTCCACCTTGGGCAACAGAGTGAGACCCTGTCTCAAAAAACAAAAACGAAAACAAAAGTGCTTTCTTCCGGCCCAGCATATTTGGGTGAGTCTGCTGGAGGCAATGGACGCTGCAGCCAATCAGACCCCTGGTAGCAGAGCCTGGGCCCACCAAGGGCCCAGCAGAGGCAATGTGGAGTACAGGGCCTGCTGGTCGTTTGGTCACACCCACTCATGCTGGTCTCCACATGCCCTTCTGTGTCCCCAGAGGTCGACAGTGTGGGGAGTTGGAGTGACCCGGCTGGATGTGACCCCCAGGACAGAATGGTGCTGGACTCAGGGGCTCAGGCGTATGATCAGGCACCCCCCAGCCCGCCTACCAGTCCCCCATCCCTGCGCCATAGGCTGAAGCCCTCAGACCGAGATGGGCCACCACTGTACCCCTGGTCTCAGTCCCTGGCCTTGCCCCTGGCTCTGGCAGTCCCCCCAGCGCTGCAGCCCCAGCCTGAGCAGCAGCCGTTCTCACAGATGCTCCTGGGCCACCGTGGCCACATGCGTCGCAGTGAGAGCACCTACTCTGTAAATAGTACTGGCCGGCGGGGGCGTGGCACCCTGGGACGGCCTCCACCTGGACGGGGACGGAACCCAGGTGGGGGCACCCTGCGGCCTGCAGCCTCCCTGCCTCACATTGCTAAGACTCAAAGGGATGCAGGCCATATTGCCAGCAAGAGCCCCTGCATGTTGGTGGCCCTGCGGCCAACCAACATGGACCGTGAGCGAGACAAGTTCTTCCAGTCCCATTACACCTACAATCCACAGTTTGAGTACCAGGAGCCCATGCCCACGGCTGTGCTGGAAAAGTACTGCGAGGCCTCTGGACAGTTCATCCATCAGGTCAGTCCAGCCTCCCCACCGTATCCTGGCCCTGACCACCCAAGGGGCTTGTCCTGACCAGCCACTGTGGCCCCGTGTACAGGCAGTTGGCATCATTGAGGCTGTTCTGGAGAAGTTTGGAACCTATGAACACTTTGAGGCTGCCACTGGGGGGCAGCTGCTCACCAAGTGCCAGATATGGTCGATTGTGCGCAAATACATGCAGAAGGAGGGCTGCGCTGGGGAGGTGAGCTTGCCTGCAGAGCCCTTCCTCTACATGCCCCAAATCAGGGTGTCTTGTGGGCGGTCCCAGGTCCAGCTCCACACCTGACCCACCCCTGCCCCTGCCCCAGTGAGGTGGGAGCTGGTTCTGAGCAGAGGTGATGAAGGGTGGGTGCCCTGGCCAATTGTCTGGCCTCGCTGCCCTGTGGCATCATTGGGTCCACCTGCACCCTGGCCCCAGGCTGGTGGCCATGGCTCAGAGCACTGCCACCTGCAGGTTGTGGTGCAGCTGAGTGAGGACCTGCTGTCCCAGGCAGTGATGATGGTGGAGAACAGCCGGCCCACATTGGCGATCAACCTGACCGGAGCCCGCCAGTACTGGTTGGAGGGCATGCTGCGGCATGAGATAGGTCAGGGTGTGGGTATCCGGGCAGATGGGTAGGCATGAAAGGGGCCTGGGAGCTGGGAGGGGTGGGAAGGAGGGGCCCCAATAACTCCCCTTTTTGTTTCTCCCCCTTCCCTCCTGAGGTCGGGGCTTTCCCTTCCTGAGCAGCCACCTCCCGCCCTCTGCTTACAGAGGTAGGCCAGAACATGCCTGCCCATGCTCTGGGCTCGCTCTCATCTCTTGGTCCTTTCGGGTATATTTTTCTCTCTCCACTTCCTCTCCGACTTCTCCCAACAGTGCGGGCAAGGCTGGTCAGGCCCTGACCGGCCAGAGAAAGAACCCTCAGGGTCCCACCAGGCCAGCCACCACGCTGGCCCTCCAGGGTGGATGGAAGGCCAGGTCCTGGGAATGGACTTGACTTGAGGACACATGGCACCTGGTTTAGGAGGGGACTGGCCAGTTTGGGCAGGGGGGTGCAGGGCACTAACCACTATTCCTATCTGTCTGTCCCTCTTCCTCGAGAATCCTGTTGCTCTGGGCAAGAGTGATTTTTACCGGGGGCATCAGCATGACTGTTCAAGATGATATGGGCACCCAGGATGTTGGGCAGGGTGGTATATGTATTCTTGTGCCCAGGAGGGCTGGGGGCAATGTCAGTTTGGGAGAGTTCGTGCACGTGTGTGGGTGCGTGGGTGTAGGGTGGGGGGCGGATGGGTGGGAGAGGATTCATGTATGTGAGCCTCTGTGGATCCTTGGGTGCGAGTCCACAGGAGGAGGAGCTTCACGCTGCCTGGGGCTGGGAGAGCCTGTGTGCGAGCCTGAGTTCAGGAGCATGAGGATGGAAGTGTCGCGGCCAGAGCCCCGGCCAGATGGAACAGGGCCAGGGCTGGGCTCGCAGGCGGGTCCCCGAACGCCCCGCCCAGCGCCGCCTCCCCTCGCCTTCCCCGCAGGCACCCACTACCTGCGGGGCGTGAACAACGCGCGCCAGCCGTGGCACAACGCGGAGGGCCGGCTGCGGTACGGGCTGCGGCCGGCGAACCCCACGGAGGAGGGCCTGGCCAGCCTGCACAGCGTGCTGTTCCGCAAGCAGCCGTTCCTGTGGCGCGCTGCACTGCTCTACTACACCATCCACCGCGCCGCGCGCATGTCCTTCCGTCAGCTCTTCCAGGACCTGGAGCGCTACGTGCAGGACGCCGATGTGCGCTGGGAGTACTGCGTGCGCGCCAAGCGCGGCCAGACCGACACCTCGCTGCCAGGTGTGCGCCAGCGCGGGGGAGGTGCCTAGAGCCGGGGTGGGGGCGGGGCTTCGGGCGAGGGGCGGGGCTCACCGCCCTCCTGCCCTCCCAGGTTGTTTCAGCAAGGACCAGGTGTACCTGGACGGCATCGTGCGCATTCTGCGACATCGCCAGACCATCGATTTCCCGTTGCTGACCTCACTGGGCAAGGTGAGGGGCTGTGGACCTTCAGAGGTCCCAGCCAGCTCCCTGCCTTGCTGTAGAATTCCCTGAGCCTCGGATTGGTGCTAGACCGAGGGCTGGGTGTCAGGCCTGTGGTGGTAGGGGGGAGCGTGGGTGGAAGTGAGAACAGGAGATGAAATGACTCTGGCAGCAAAACCAGGTGCTTAACGGAGGCTGCAGGTGTATGTAGATACTGCATCTCAAAGGAGATGAGCATTCCAGGCCAAGGGAGTGATCAGGAAGGCCAGGGGAAGAAGGCTGCAGAAATGGCCAGGGACCAACTCCCTGGCACTGGCATTTGTGCCAGGCCGAGGAAAGTAGATTTCATCTGAAGCAACGGGGAGTGAGAGGAGCTTTAAGCAGAGGAGTGACTCTGATATTTGCTTCAGAAGGCTCCTTCTGGACATCATATGGGAGGTGGATTGGAGAGAGGACTAGGGAAGGGAGTGCAGGGGCACGGAGGAGGCCTTGCCTGTCACTCCTGCAGAAGGGATGGTGGTCTGGCCTAACCAGGCAGTGGCCGCTGGGTTGGAGATGAAGGGACAAGCTGGAGAGCTCTTCAGAGAGGGGAATACTTTTAACTCAGCGGCTACCCTGATGGGAGGGTGAGAGTCCAAGCCCCCTCCCGGGAATCTGACCTGGGTGACTGTAAAGAGGGTGGAGCTGGCATAAGCTGGCACTCAGGAGTTGACTTTTGGACATGGGGCCATCCTGAGGGTTATCCAGGGGAAGACATTAAGGAGGCAGTTGGATGCCCATGTTTGGAGGTGAGGGTCTGAGAGGCTGGGCTGGAGAGAGAAGTGGGGTTGTAGGGCATCTATGACAAAAAGAAACTGTTGAGAGAAAGGGCAAAGATGAAGGATTGAGTCTAGAGGTATAAAACGTTGTAGCTAATTGTGGATCAGGAGGGGAGAGGAAGAAGTCCCGGAGCAAAGGCTGTGAGCTGTAAGCAGTGGGCTGGGACCAGCTACCTGAAAGCCAGGGGCCACTGCCTATGCCTGATGCCCGGCTTCCTCCTGCAGGTGTCCTATGAGGATGTGGACCACCTGCGGCCCCATGGGGTGCTGGATAATACCCGGGTGCCCCACTTCATGCAGGACTTGGCACGCTACCGGCAGCAGCTGGAGCACATCATGGCCACCAACCGGCTGGATGAGGCGGAGCTGGGTCGCCTGCTACCCGACTGATGTCCGTTGAGGGCTGCAGTCAGAGGCCCTGGACAGAAGCTCCAGATAGGCCCCTAGAACATGAAGCAGTTTGCTCTGTGCGTCCACGGCCTAGGTGTTTCTTGGGGGTGTTGGGAGGGCAGGAGCATTCCTTGAGGAGGAGTGGCAACATCAAAGTGTTTGTGTCCCTTGCCAGCCTCCCTGGGGTCTGGGGACCTGCAGCAGCATGTCTGGCAAACTGAGTCGCCCTCCTGCCTCCAGCTCTCTGTTGAGCAGAGGGAAGGCATGGGGGCAGGAAGAGAGCTGAGCATTGATGGGGATGGGGGTGGTTTGGGAATAGAAACTTGTTCTTGCATGAGATGGCTTTGGTTGTCCCAGTACTCCAGTCTCTCCCTTCCCTTACCTGGCCCCTTGGTGCTCCTTCAGCATTTGTGCTGTCTACCTCTCACTGGGTCCTGGTGGGGGTCGGGCTCCCTTCTCCTGGGGTGATTGATGGCCTGAGCCTGGGGTCCTGGTAGTAGAGACCCAGCTGGCCTGGGGTCTGCTTTCCGACATTTTGCCTCTCTCACTGGTCATGTATTTATTCCATATTTATATGGTCTACTTCCTGTGGCTGGGAGCAGCAGCTCCTGAAGGTTCCGTGGGGGTGCGGGGGGTTGGACAGGACACTCCTTCTTGGAAGGCACCAATTTTCCCAGCCCCACTCCCATTACACACACACACACACACACACACACACACACACACACACACACACACACACACACACACACACACTGATTCAGGCCTTGAGAGTCAAGCCCAAGAGCTCCCTTGGCCCTGTTCCCCACTCCCTCCACTGGCCTCTGCTGTTCCTGTCTTTGCTCACACCCTCACAGCTGCTCTCTGGCAGAGGTTGGCATAGCCTAGGAGCAGCTGCAATTGCACCTGAGGGACAGGCCCTAGAGTTTGGTGGCCCAAGTCCTGAACCCCTCTTAGACCAGGTGAGGTGCAGAGGTGGTTGCTGCTTCCAGTTTCCCTTCAGACTTAGCTGTGTGAACCCCACTCCTATCCTTTGGCCTTAGTTTTCCCATCTGTAAAACTCAGAAACGCAGTTGGAAAGTCCTTATTCATTTAGTAAGCGAATATATTATAATATGTATAGAGCGCCTTTTGTGTAAGTCACTGGTCAGAATCCTCACTGAGCTCCCAGTCCAGAGAGAAGCCAGACAATTAAAACAGTAATGACAATGATGTGTGTGGCCTTTGTCTACTCAAGGTCCCTTTCTGCTCCCCTCTTCTAGTCTCACTTCCCAAGGCTGTGAGCTCTAAGCCCTCCCTATGTGGAGAGAAGTCACCCTCCCCTTGCTCCATGTTCAGCTCAGGAACTTGCGTGGGGTTGAGCTGGTACCTACATATGCTGCCAAGTGGCTCACCAGGGGAAATGGGTTGTGTATGCGGGCAGGAGGGTCAGGTCCTTGTCCCACTAGGGGGCTAGGTTTGGGATCTCCAGGGTGCAGCCTGGACTCCTAAGGGCAGATTAGGGCTGAGGACTGGATGATGCTCGTGGTGGGCTTGGGCCTGCCCAGGTCCCTGGGACTCAGAGGTACCCACCCTAAGTTCCTGGGCAAACAGCCAGAATCGTGGAGAGAGCCCAGGTCCCGTCCGACCCTCCGGAGTTTATTCACTTCCAGCGGTACTGGGCTGGACCGAGCCTTGGTGGCATCCGATTCAGCTCCAGCAGCATCCCAGGTCCTATCCAGCATGGGCGGGGCACCGCCTGTCAGAGCTCTGGCCTTCAGGAATCTAGAGATGACGGGAACAGTGGTCAAAGAGGTGGGGTCCGGCATCCGCTTCCCAGGCCATGCCCTCCCGCCAAGCCGGCTCAGGGTTTGGGCGGACTCACACCTTCGGACTCGTCCCTTTCCTCGAAGTCGGGCTCGGGCTCTGGGTCCGGTTCTGGCTCCAGTTCCGGCTCTGGTTCTGCTTCAGCCTCGGGTTCCAGCTCTGGCTCTGGCTCCGGCTCCGGTTCAGCCTCTTTAGAGGCCTCAGCTTCCAGCTCTGGCTCTGGCTCCTCCGGGGTCCCGGATTGCACCGCCTCGGAGCCCTCAGGGCCCCCGGCCTCGTCAGGGTCTGAAGCTCTGGGCAACCCGGGGCATGTGGTCCCCGAGCCGGGTGCCTCCGGCGTCCAGTGGCCTGGGCATGGAGGGTCATAGCTGCGGTCCCGGTAGCCTGGGGCGGAAGTGGGAGTGACTGAGGCTCAATTTACCCCTGTGCGGTTTCACACTCGCCTACTTCTAGCGGAGACGACAACCCTGCCCTCCCCGGGCCTTTTGTCTGCCCCAGCCCCGTCCCTGCTCTGCCCTAGGCCCCGCCCCGCGCGCTCACCCGGACCCACGTGCTGCCAGTCCCAAGCGGGGTCCGGCGCGCCCGCGGTACGCTGGGCACAGCGTAGCAGCTCCTGGCAGGCGGCCTCGCCCTTGCCCTGCACCAGCAGCAGTAGGCGGCGCACCCTGCGCTCGGCATCAGGCAGTGCATCCAATGCCTCGTACTCTGGCCCGGTGAGCACGCCCCGCGCCAGCAGCGCGTCCAACAGCAGTCCCGAGTCCGCCTGCAGCGTCTCGACCAGGCGTTTCCGCTCGCGGTCGATAGTCTCTGACGGCCGCTCCTGCGCGTTGCCCATTGTCGGGGCTGCATGGGGAAAGGGGAGAGAAGTAATGGGGGGTTGCCCTCCCCGCTGCCCTCGCCGCCTCTGACCACTCCCTCAATGCCCCCAGTGAACACCCAGGCTGGGGTTTAAGTTCACCTCGATCCCAGCCGCCGGACGGCTCCGCAAGCACAGGACCTGGAGGCCAACACGGGGAACTCGGTGTCCTCCTGCCTCTCCAGACGCTCTGTCCTGTCTCCTCCTCAGGCTCCTCCTTCTGTCCCCAAGCGTCAGCCGTGGCTCTCCTCTCCTCCCCTGCCTTTCCCAGGACTGGCATCTACTCTCTGAATGCCCTCCCCAACCAGGACGTCCTGAGCTCCACCCCCGGCAAATCCGAGGCGAGTTCAGACCCCGTTTATCCAAACTAAGGTCTTTCTCTCAAATCTGCTTCCCCACCTAACCAGGCAGAAAAACCTAGGATTGATGCTGATACTCCACACCCAGCTTGCAGACAAGTCCTTTCCAGTCTGACTGCTGAATATTTCTCTCACCATCCTCACCACTTACTAAGTCCAGCCTTCTGCCTCCTGCTTTGGCCCTGCAGAACCCAGGATCAGAGCTCCCTGCTTCCATACTCTATCCTCCAGTCCCCTCTGAACCCAGAGCACAAAGTGCTGAGAGCCTCCCTGCCCCTCTCCCCTTACCTTGACCCTGATATCCAACTTTCCAGGACAAGCCCCGCCTCTACACCCTCCCACCAACACCACCACCATAGTGCAACCCCAATGTAGTCTCCTGGCCCTTCCTGGTCCCCTGATTCCTGAGCAGAGATACCAGAATCTTCTTCAGGCCTAGCTCTGACCAAGATCTCTTGACATCACCTGAGACCCACCTGTCTCCCTACTGAAGCCCTAACTCCTAATGTGACTGTCTCTCTGCTGACCCACCTGGCTCCCTGCTGACCTGGGAATTACCTACAGACATTTGTTGTTTGATCTTGAAGTACCCAAGGCCTAGCTCATACAGGATACCGACAAATACTTGCCGAACTTGGACTGATTTTCCTCCATGGATCGCACTATTTTGAGAGACTTTTTTTTTTTTTTTTTTGAGATGGAGTCTCGCTGTTGCCCAAGCTGGAGTGCAGTGGCGCAATCTTGGCTCACTGCAACCTCCGCCTCCCAGGCTCAAGTGATTCTCGTGCCCAGCCTTTTTTTTTTTTTTTTTTTTTAGAGGTGGGGTCTTGCTATATATATTTTTTGTATTTATTTATTTTAGTGGAGACGGGGTTTCACTATGTTGGCCAGGCTGGTCTTGAACTCCTGACCTCGTGATCCACCTGCCTTGGCCTCCCAAAGTGCTGGGATTACAGGCGTGAGCCACCGCGCCTGTCCTGGTCTTGCTATATTGATCAGGCTGGTCTCGAACTGCTGGCCTCAAGCAATCCTCCCATCTCAGCCTTCCAAAGTGCTGGGATTACCAGCACTTTGTGAACCACCATGTGAACCACCATGCCTGGCTCTTGAGAGACTATCTCTACCAACAGCGGCTATTAGGGAGAGTCAATCTGCTTTATCCATTTTTTTTTTTTTTTTTTGACAGAGTCTCACTCTGTTGCCCAGGCTGGAGTGCAGTGGCACATTCTCTCATCACTGCAACCTCTGCCTCCTGAGTTCAAGCGATTCTTCTGCCTCAGCCTCCCGAGTAGCTGAGATTACAGGTGCCCGCACCACGCTCAGCTAATTTTTTGTGTTTTTAGTTGAGACGGGGTTTCACTATGTTGGCTAGGCTGGTCTCGAACTCCTGACCTCGTGATCCACCCACCTTGGCCTCCCAAAGTGTTGGGATTACAGGCATGAGCCACCGCACCCAGCTGCTTTGTCCATTTATTGTCAACCAAGGATTATGGCCCATTCCTGTGAGTGGCCTGACCCAGCCAGCAAGACCCCCGGCATTAGGAGGCAAAGACATCAGGCCTTGAACCATGCCCTCAGCCCACCCCCACCCTGATAATAACTTCTTCTCCTCCCCGCCTTGGCTTTGTTCACACGGCATCCTCCCATCTCTTCTTCCCTTTGCTGTCCCTCCTCTGCCTCCTTCTCTGGCTCTAGGAGGCTCGGCCTTCTCTGGGAGAGAGGATTTAGTCCTAGCCGCCATCCTGCCTCCCAGGTCTTTCTCAGTACCCTCTGGTGTCACACTATACCTCCCCCGTCACTTCACACCCTGGCTTCCTCCCATTGAAGCCCTTCCCCACCAGGCCGAGACCAGGACTACCCCCTGCCCCTCCATCTCCCTTTATGTCCCGTATGTGATGAATCTTGCTTCTCCACTTCTCAGTGAGTCTCCATCAGCTCCTGCCTTGCCACCCCACCATCGTCACCTCATGTCCTGTAACAGTCCCTCTGAGCCCCTCTCACTCCCATTCTGCCAGGCCCGATAGCACAGTGACTTTGACAACCCTCTGGGCTAGGATTGCTGTTCCCATTTTACAGATGAGGAGACAGGCTCAGAGATTCAGTGGTAAAACTGGAATCTTACTTGCTCCAGCCTGAACTATGAGGAACTGAACTATATTTTCCTGTCTAGCAGAATTCCATCCTAAATACCTATCTACCTCCCCCCCACACCCCACTGCCCATCAGAGACAACCCAAAATATCTGGTCTGGCTACTCTAGCCTCCTCCCACCACCCTGGACAGCCAGGCCCTTCCCAGCTTCCCTCCACCAGCCAGGGATCGGAGAACTCACTATGCCTCTGGCACCTCGGAGCCTTTGCTGATGCTGATCGCTAAGACTGGAATCCTTTTCTCCTCCCTCCGCTCCGTGGACCTATCCATCGTCCAGGACTCAAATGTTCCCTTGTCTACACCAATGCCTAAGTGTCCCAAGGGCTGGTGGTTCCTTCTTCTGTGTACCGTGAACAACACATGCCCTCACTAGTGCATTAACTGACATCATTGCACTGTGTACACGCAGACTCTCCGCTTTCTTCAACTGAGTTTTCCAGAGTGTCCCTCCAATCGGTGGGCAAAGGAAGGGAGAGGGGGACAGCACCTACTCGGGACAGACACAGGGAGGGTGCAGATTGGATTGGCCCCTCCTTCTCTCCAACCTAAGTTGTTTTCATGTTAGCCGCCTCCTCCTATGACCCCAAGTCCTGCCCTTTATCCTGTCTGGGGGTAGAGACTCCAGCTGGTCTGGGCCCTCCCTTTGAGGCTCACACAGCTCTCAATACCGAAGTTATTTAGCGGCCAGTCCTTCGAGGGTGACAGGTCCGATTCTTCCCAGAGAGCCAGGTGGCGGGGCACGGAGCTGGGTCCCAGCCCCCAACCCCACCTCGCTGCGCGGGCTCTTTGGCCAGGAAGCCAGGGTCTTGGGACAGTGAAGAGCCTTTGCGCATGTGCGACTGCACGGATTTTCCCCCCCCGCCCCTTACCTCCCTCCACCCAGTCCCAGAGCTTGAGAGTCCTGCGGCAGGGCGGGGCCCACAGTCCTACCCACCCCGCCCCCCCGACCCCCGAGCGCCGCAGCGGGTGGTGGGGCGCTGATTCTGCCCAATCTCGGTTTCCCTTCCCTCCCACAGCCGGGAGTGGGGCTCCCGGTCTGGCCCGTTTTGGGCGTCCCCACTCACGGGTCAAGCCTCGGCGGGGCAGGAGATGACGGTGCAGAAAGGGCCGGGCAGGGTGGGGGTGGGTGCAGCAGCTGCGGCGGGGGCGGGGCGGCCAGGGCTGCTGGGAATAGGGAGGGTGAGGGTTCTTCCCCGGGCACTAGGAGCCACACCGCGGAGGCCGCGCGCTGGCTGGGGACGTGCATGTAGTCAGCTTTCCCTCCCCACCCGGGGCGCACCAGGAGATGAGGCCAGGAGGGGGCAGTTCGGCCCGCGGCCCCACACGTCCAGCGCCCACTCAGGGCCTGCCAATTTCCAGGTGCTTTCCATCTATCTTGTCATCGACCCCTCTTCTCTGCCTGTCACAGAGGAAGTTCAGAGAAGGATACCAACTCACCAGGATCACAGAACGCATGCATTGCAGAGCTGAGCGCGACCCAGAAGCCCCCGCTTCCCAGAGATTGCAGCGGCCCCGCGCCAGCCCTGGACCCGGGCCTAAGCAAGGGAGCTAGGCACCGGATCCCCAAGCACCTCCACCCTCCTGGGGTTCCTCTATTAAAAACCTAGTATCTGGACGCTTCTACAAATGCAAAATCACCCCCCACCCATAACTCCTGTGCTCCCTGGTCGATAGAGAAAAGAGACCAGAAACAGAAAAAAAAAAAACGGAGTTTATGTGCAGGGATAGTCGGGGTAGTGGAGAGAGGCCATTTAGTAGTGGGGGCTTCGCTCACCCCCGATAGGGGGCGCCAGGAAGCCAAGAAGGATGTGCAGCGGCGGACTGGTTCCAAGCCCCTTCAGAGGCGCGGGGTCTTAGGGGGAGGGACTGGCTTCCGGGCCCAAGTAGGAGGCAGTCCGGCTCTCAGGAGTGCTATAAATGGTTAAAGCCCCAGGCAGGCCCAGGGCTGGGCCTCCCAAGGCCGCCTGGACATCCAGCAGGAGTGGGGCCCCGAGCGTGGGGTCCTTCCCTAGGAGAAGTGGGACTGCGCTCACCAGGGGAAATGTTCCCCCTCCTTTCTTCAGGGAAGGAGAGCCCTGCCCGCCTGCCTTCTGCTCAGTTAGGATAAAACATCCATTCTTAACCTCCCCACTCTCGCCCAATGGTGAGGGCATGGGTGGCTCAAGGAACGCTCTGCAGTGCAGCCTGAACTCAGGATTTCCCTGCAAATTGCAGATTGCCCCCTCACTCAATCAAGGTAGCTCAGCCCAATCACGGCGTCCTCCCAGGTAGGAGTCATCACAACCATTACCTGGGCTTGGAGAATTTAACCCCTTGACCGCCAGCTCAGGCTCACCCCGCTCTGGAACCAAGGGCTGCATCTGCGTGAGAACCGCAGGGAGCAGCTGGGGAGGGGACCTAGCAGCTGAGGGGGACAGCTGGGAAATCACTGTGACAATTCTTCTAGAGACACGGCTTTGGCTCACAGAGAACAGCTATGGACCAGAGGGCTTGACTCAGCCACCCCTGGCCTCTGCCCTCCCCGACCCACTTCTTACCAAGGACAGCTCCATGTCCAAGTCCATCAGGGTCCATTCTCGCCCTTGGAGACTGGGGCCCAGCACCTGAGGAGAGCTCTGGGTCAGTGGTGCCCTCCCCAGGCTCCACAGAGAGCTAGACCCCACCAGGTCTCATGCCCCTGTTTCAGCAGAAGGGGTACTCACATCTAGAGGCCCTGCAGGTTCCACACTTTCTTGAGGGGGCTGAAGCAGCATCGGAGGCAGCAGACTCTCTGGGCTCCTGTCCCCGCTTTCCAGGCCCAGAGGCCCCCTGTGCAGACAGAACTGCTTTTGGCCTGCAGTGTCCACCCCGCATTAAGTTCCCAAGGAACCCAGATGCATCAAGATTTTAATCCCCCAATCTTTAGAAAATGATAGGAGAGGATCCCCATCCTCTCTCCACCCCCAACCTCCCCACTCCTGCCATAAATGGCACAGAGAAAGTGCCTCTGCTTCCTACCTGGGACCTGAAGTTTGGGTGGTGGAGCTGGGGCTTTGGGACCCTTCCCCTCCCTATGCAAGTATCAATATCCATGCTTCTTTCTCTTCTTTCTTTATTTCTTTCTTTCTTCCTTTCTTTTTTCTTTCTCTCTCTCTCTCTCTTTCCTTCTTTCTTTCTTTTCTTTTTTTTGGAGACAGTTTCACTATGTCACCCACTATGTCACTATGGCACTGTCTTGGCTAACTGCAGCCTCCACCTCCCAAGTTCAAGCGACTGTCCTGCCTCAGCCTCCTGAGTAGCTGGGACTACAGGCAAACGCCACCACACCCAGCTAATTTTTGTATTTTTAGCAGAGGCGGGGGGTTTCACCATGTTGGCCAGGCTGGTGTTGAACTCCTGACCTCAAGTGATCTGCCCGCCTCAGCCTCCCAAAGTGCTGGGATTACATGCATGAGCCACCTCATAGCCACCAATGCTTCTTAAACTATTGTGTACTTTGCAGTCACCCCAGGGAACTCATTTCATATGTAGGTTCCTAAGCCCTTCCGCAGATGCTGAGTGCCCTGACTGGGAGGCTCTGCTTTCCACAGAACTCTGATGCTGGGGCCAAGAAATCAGGTGAGTATCATGGAGTCAAATGGCTAGGAAGCTTTGTGGGCTGGTAAGGGCTGTTCTATCACAGGGCTCATGGGCCAGCTGGGGCTCTGCTCACCTGTCAGGTATCTCCCTGGGATCCCCTGGTTCAGGCTGTTGGGCATTCCTGGGCCCCTCGGGGCTGAAGCTCCCTTTCCCTTCCAGGATGGCCTGCACCACAGCCACAGGCAGTGGCGGGGGGGCTGTCACGCAGAAGTCACACTCGTTTGGGGCCAGGGCCAGCCCGGCCTCGCCATCCCCCCCTGGACTGGCCGGCTCTTCTTTGAGCAGTGCCAGGCCCTTCTCCCTGCACCAGAGAAAAGCTTCAACCAGACCCTGGCACTGACTTCTCCCTCTACCCCTACAGCCATCTGGGCTGCCAGGCCCTCCCCCACAGGCCCCTCAGGGGCAGCCCTGTCCCCCTTACCTCCTGCCATCACTGGAGGGAGAAAGCCTGGTCCCCTCAGGGGATGGAGAGTCTTCTGGGATGTCAGAGATGATGGGGCCCCTGGCCCTGTGAGGGCTAAGGCCCAAATTTGTCTCTGGGAGAGGCTGTAAGTAGAAGGCTAGGCCCAGCCCTTGGCCTGTAGGCACAGGGAGAGCCAGAACCCCACCAACACCCACCTGGGCCAGGTCTAAGGGAGAAGGTTTGAGGGAGGAGGCTCAGTCCATGCTGGAGGGCCTGGGTCTGGTTGGGGGGAAGGCTGGCTTCCATCTTCTCTTCCTTTTAGGGGATGGGGAGAAGGAACAGGCTCTCCATAAGCCCAGCCATGCCCTTGGGAAGGGGGAAGAAGACAAACCTACCGACTGGATGAAGTAGGGGTCCTGCAGAAGGGCACCAGGTAGAGGGCAGGTGTTGAACTTGGCAGGTGTTGGGCATGAGCTCCCCTCATCCAGCATCAGGGACCTGTGTGGTCGATCAGGGCACAGGCAGGGGTGGGGCAGGGTCAGCCCCCATGCACCTCGGCCTGCACTTCCCTCCCTCCCTCAGGCCCCAGCAGCCAAGTCAGCAGAGCTGAGGCCTGTTGCTAGGGTGTCAGTCACATGCTGGAGGTGGAAGGGGCTCCCCCTAGAGATGGGGGCCCTTTGTGGGTAGAGAGGGGAGGGAGGGAACCTGGTTTGAGCCCCAGGGTCTCAGCTGTTGGGAAGCCTTGCCGGAGGGGGAAGGGGCTGCTGGGGTAGGAATTTGGGAATAAGGTCCTGGAATGGGAGGATCTGGGAGTGGGGATACCAGGTGGCAGAGTTGGGGGGAAGTGGATCCTAGATGGGGTGAGGAAGCCTGTAGCGCAGGGGGAGGAATGAGGATTCCCGGTGAAGGAGTTTCCAGAGGAGAAGGGGTCCTTGCAAGGGGACTTCTGGGGGGTCTTGGAAGTGGGTGTGGGCCTTCTTGGCTTTCTCACTCACAGCTTTCTCTTGCCTCCTGCATTGCTCGGCCCCGCCTGAAGTGGCCCAAAGAGACACTGGATCAGCTGAAGAGAAAGCAAAGGTTTAATTCATACTTTGGACACAGCCCCCCCACCCCCGCACTTCCAGGTGAGGGAGGAAGGCTTAACAGGGGCGCCGGGGGACTGGGCGGTGGAATGGGGTGTCGAGGAGTGGGAGGGAGAAGCGAGGCTTGGGGAGAGGAACACCTTGCCAATGACCCGGTGCTGCTGACCGTGGCTCTGCCGAAGTGTCACCACCTCCCGCCACAAGATCTCGTTCTGCCTGAGGAAGGGGTGGGAGGGTGCTGAGGCATCTGAGAGTTCGCCCAGTCACCACCCCCCACAGAATGGCGAGGCTGGGGACCCAGGAGACCACCCCGCTGACTGGCCATCCCAGAGATCGCCCATAAGTCTAGATGGAGGCGCCAAGGCAGGAGAGAGGAAGGGGCTGCCCAGAACTGCTGGCCGGCCAGTTATGGTCTCATCCCGAACCCCCCACCCCTGTCCCCTCTTTCCCCGCCCGCCCCCGCACTGCCTGAGCTCCCGCAGCCGCGCCTCGGTGCTCTCCTGCACTCCCCGCAAAGCCTGCACCTCGCCCAGTAGTCGACCCAGGTCCTCCGGGCGCCAGCGGCCGTCGTCGCCGCGCAGCGCGGGCACCTGCAGGCGGGAGGCACCGTCGGGACTGGGTCGCAGGAGCAAGGCAGGCAGTCCCAGCACCCCTCCTCCTCTTTGCTCATTCCCGCAGGCCGCCCCCACCTTGCGCCGCACGCGCTCCAGTAGCTGCTCGCGGCCGCGCACGAAGCTCGGGTGCTGGAACTCGACGTGGTCGCGCTCCGGCCTAAGCAGGCCGCCCTGCTCGATGCTCACCACCTTCCGAAAACCGTCTGGGGAGTGGGGCGTGGGGGCGTGGGTCGCCCCATCCCCGGCACCGAGTCCCCCATCCCCGCTCCCCGCCCGGCCGTAGGGACTCACACATGTTGAGTTGGCGCACGAAGCTCGCCATGTTGCTATGCTTGAAATACTGGGGCAGCACTTCCTTGGCGAAACGGCTCTGGTCGCTTACGAGGAAACTGGTCCCGCTCTACCAAGAACGCCGCCCGCCCACCGTGCGGGCGGAGACCAGGAGGGTGAGCGGTGCCCGCTCACGGCCAGTCCTGCGCTCCAGCGCGCGCACACACTCATGCTCACTCTTGGGTCCAGGCCTGCCGCTTACGGGGATATGGGTCGAGGCCAGGCCAGAACGGGCTCCGAGGCCTAGCCTGGAGCGACCACAGTGAGTCCCTACCCCCAGCCAGACCCTGACTCCATACTCAGTTCTCAGAAAGGAGAGGCTGACGGGGTTCCCAGCCCCGCAATGTGACCCTGAGCTAGACCAGCCCTTCCCATCTCCCGGCCTCTGTTTTCCCATCTGTCGGATGGGGTAGGGTGGGAACTAAATGGCCTCGAAGGTCCCTCGGACTCTAGGTCTTCAGAAGGCAGGCTCCTAACCCTTCTTCGGCCGCAGAGGAAACCCCCCTCTCGCACACCCCCTCCAAGGTGAACTTCTCTGAATGGCCAAATCCGGGGATCCACGGCCCAGTCTCAGGAGGGGGTTGGGCGGGCATGGGTGTTCACTGACGTGGAGGGACCCCGGGACCACAGGGGGAATCGAGGGGCCCCGGCCCTCACCGGGCTCCAGCGGATCAGGTGGTCTGTGCCTGGGTCCCCCACCAGCGCCCATAGCTTGCCGAGGAAGGCAGGCACGGGGCTGGGGCCTGGCTCCGTGGGCAGCGCAGCTGGCGCTTCCTGCATGGTGCAGTCTCGGCCCGGCTCTGCGCTCGGGCCCGGCCGCTGCGGGCTCGTCAAAGCCGCGGAAAGTGCTGCGTTTGCCGCCCGCTCCGCCCTACTCCGCCCCGGGGCGCCGGGTCAGGCGGGGGCCACGTGCAAGCCCGCGGGGCGGGGCTCGGACAGCGGCCGAGGCACCAGCAGGCAGAAAAGGCTGGCTGGATGGGATGTGTGGAGTGGAGTGGAGTGGAGGGGTGGGGTGGGGTGGAGTGGGGTGGGGTGGGGTGAGATGAGTGGGAGACTTGGGTTCGAGTCCCACCCCTCTCGGTCCCTCTATTTCCTTCTTTGTTCTACAGGAGAAATCGCCGGTGCGCGACCTGGTGTGGGCTGGGCAAGTCCTAGAAGGTAATGGCCAGAGGCACAGTGAAGCCCCAGGCAGGGCAAGCAGATAGGAAGGGGGGGCAGGGAAGCACGCCCCCTCCCGCCGAACCCCGGGACGTAGTCATTCCAAGGGTGTGAGTGCCCCGACCCTGACCCCCCGCAGCTGTGTCGTCCAGAGGCTCTTGAGGAAACCCAACCTCTGCCGGGATGGCTCCTCCGGTACCCCGCGCGTTCCCTGTCCTTCCCTTTCAGATCCGACCCCGCCTTTAATAGGACGCAGAAACACTGCAGGATTTGTTTATTTCACACTCACCCTTGAGGCCCGGCCCGCGCCCGTGCCCTCCCTCTCCCTGCGCCGGGGCCGCGGAGCTGCAGAGTCCGCAGAGGGGTGGAGGCAAGAGAGGGGGGCAGTGTGTCCAGGACCGAGCGGGTGGGGCGTCTGCAGAGGGTGAGAGCAGCGAGTGGTCTCAGGGCGCCCAGGACTGGTCCCGATGCCATCACAGTTCCCAACTCGGTAAAGACCCGGGGGGCAACAATCCCAAAAGAAGGCACTAGCACTCGGGGCGCGCCTGGACACCCCCCCCGTTCCCTCTCAGAGCGCTTACGTCCACGGGGACGGGGGAGAGAAGTCGCCCAATCACGCCACGAGCGTAGGCCTCCAGGGATGCGGCTCGCGCGTGAGCTTGAGGGTATAGGTGCGCAGGCGCGGGCAGTGCGCGCGGAAGGCGTCCAGCACCGAGTGGCTCACCACGCAGAAACAATGCACCTCGCGCAGGGCCGCGCAGCGCGCCGCCAGCTCCTCCAGCGCGGCGTTCAGCTCGGCCGAAGCGGCTGCGCGCACCTCGAGCGCGCACAGGGTTGCGGCGTAGTGGTGTGCTGCGAAGCGCACTGGGCCTACGGTGTCGCCTGAGAGGTTGAGGCGCAGCGCAGCCACGGGGACGGCTGGCTGCAGGACGCGCGTCACGCTCTCAGCGGGCAGCGCGGGCTCCAGCTCCAGCTCCACTGCCAGCCCAGGGTGGCGGCGGCGCAACGCGACCCAGGCTTCGTTGGGCAGCGGGGACGCGCGTGCATCTTCGGGGCACGCGCACCGCAGAGCCAAGAGCGCGAAAGGCGCTCGGTCTGGCGCCGCCAGTGCTTCGAGGATGGCGTGCGACAAACTGGCTAGGTGCAGGCCGAGAGCGCGCAGGCGCGGGCAGGCCTCCAGTAGCTCGAGCACTGAGCCGGGACCCACGCTGCCCACTAGGGTACTGTTGTCCAGAAAAAGGCTGTGGAGCTCGGGACAGCTGCGCGCCGCCTGCAGCACCAGCGCGTCGTCCAGTGTGAAGGACAAGCGCCGCAGGTCGAGGTGGCGTAGCTGGCTGGCCGCCCCGCATACAGCGTGCACAGCCTCCAGGACGTCGCGGCCCGCGTCGAAGAGCGG
This sequence comes from Homo sapiens, assembly GCF_000001405.40. Classification (NCBI taxonomy): domain Eukaryota; kingdom Metazoa; phylum Chordata; class Mammalia; order Primates; family Hominidae; genus Homo; species Homo sapiens. The sequence goes on along the minus strand of NC_000016.10, from coordinate 67,163,037 downwards.
TTTTTCTCCGCGGCACTCCAGGCGCAGGCCTCGCAGCCCCGGGGCACGGCCCGCCAGAACCATCAGCAGCTCGATGGCCGCCCGGCGGCTCGGCTTCCTCGATGGCTCAAATTCCAGCCGTAGGTTGTGAATGTGGTCGAGGCAGGCGGACAGATAAGGTGGCAGCATGCCTTCCAGCTCACATTCGCAACTTGGGTTAGAGCCGTGCAGAAAAGGCCTCAGCTGAGTCCCTGCGACCAGCGGAGAAGCCTCTACCCACCCCTTAGCTGGGGTTCCAGCTGCCATCCCATTTCCTGCCTCCCTCCCCACGTCTCTGTTCAGACCACGACTGTTGCCCCAAAGGAGGGAACTCGCATCCTATCCTTTTAGAAGATTTCAGTGGCGTCTGCCACAGGATGAAACCTGGACATGGAGAGCCAATGATATTTTAGGAACTGGGCTTTCTCAGCTGTCTCTAAGGAGTCTTGGCATGGCCTCCGGACTGCTAGGTTCGAATTCTGCCTCTGCCATTCCCTAGCTGAGTGACCCGTGGGAAGTGATTAAGTCTCTTTGCCTCAGTTTCCTATCTGGGCAATGGAGGTAATGATAATACCTATCTACCACACAAGGTTTTCATAAGGATTAAATTAGTTAATATATGTAAGGCACTTAAAAACAATGGTTGGTATATACTAGGCAGTCAATACGTCAGCAATTATTATTATTATTTTGAGATAAACTGTTACTCTGTCGCCAAGCTGGAGTGCAGTGGTGCCATCTCGGCTCACTGCAACCTTTGCCTCCCGGGTTCAAGCGATTCTTGTGCCTCAGCCTCCCGAGTAGCTAGAATTATAGGCGCCCACCACCATGCCCGGCTAGTTTTTGTATTTTAGTAGAGACGGGGTTTCAGCATGGTGGCCAGGCTGGTCTCAAACTCCTGACCTCAGGTGATCCACCCGCCTCGGCCTGCCAAAGTGCTGGGATTACAGGCATGAGCCACCACGCCCGGCCAGCAATTATTTTTTAATATGGGGGAGTCAACCTGAATATCTACCTAGCCCACGACTCCACGGAGAAGGTGAGTGGGCGGTGGGGAGAGGAGTGTGGAGGAGCAGGCTCACCTGATTTTTGTGTCGTGCCACACGGCGCTGCAGGTAGCAGCGGCGGCCCAGGCCCTGCAGACCCTGGCGGCGGCAGCACGGTCTCTCAGGGACAGGTGGCGGAAGATGAGTGCCAGCACCTCCTCTGGCAGTCCCTCTCCAGGCTCGGCCATGGCCCAGATCCGGCTGGGGTGGGAGGATCCGCCACTCCCAATAGCTCCGGCCTGGAGAGAGACGGACGTCTCTGAGGTCGGGAAGGCGCAAAGTGTTGCAGGAAGACCGAGCTTAGGTGTACAAATGCTTGTGGCCTGAGGAACTGAGGGCCTCTCAGACAGCGTGGGGCATCAGATAACCCCGAAACTTGTTCACAAAGCAGATTTCACCGCCTCACCTACTAAATCAGGCTCTCCGGAAAGGGTAAGGCCCAGGAATCTGCATTTCAACAAGCCCCTGTGACTCCACAGGTTCCACGTTGAGAACTCCCCTCCCACTTTTTTTTTTTTTTTTCTTTTTTTTTGAGACAGGGTCTCGCTCTTTACCCAGGCTGGAGTGCAGTGGCGCAATCACAACTCACTGCACCCTCAGTCTCCCGGGCTCAAGCAATCCTCCCACCTCAGCCTCCCGAGTAGCTGGGACTACAGGGGCACGCCACCACGCCTGGCTAATTTTTGTAATTTTGTTGCAGAGACGAGGTCTCGCTTTGTTGCCCAGACTGACCTCGAACTCCTAGGCTCAAGCGATCGGCCCGCCTGGGCCTCCCAAAGTGCTGGGATTACGGGCATGAGCCACCGCGCCCGGCCTGAGAAACCCCATCTTAACCCCGCCGGTTAGTAGAAAGTGACTACAGGGTTAATAAGGCGGGAGCGTTAATGTAGGCTTTTCTTTGTCAGGGACCATGAGCCAATCAGGAAGCGAGGCGTGGGCGGGGCAAAGCTGGATCCACCCCTGGAGGGGAGGCTCCTTCCCCGCCTCCGCCTCGCCGGGGAGATGTCCCGGGTGCTTCCTAAGACAGCCCCACTGGATGAAAAAAAACTTGGGTCTCTGGGACCTGACGGTTCTGGGGCCTGAGGGGCTCAAGATTTAAGTTCCGACCCCTGAGCAGCCCTGGCTCCCGCTGAGCAATTTGGGTTCGGCTGGAACTCCGCAGACCCACCCTGGAGCGCAGCCTTTAGAGGGGGATGGGTTACTGGAAAGTGTGCGTCCTCTTTGAAGTTGCCAATCCTGTTTGTTTTTGTTTTGTTTTGTTTTGAGACGGAATCTAGCTGTGTCGCCCAGGCTGGAGTGCAGTGGCGAGATCTCGGCTCACTGCAAACTCCGCCTCGCGGGTTCAAGCGATTCTTCTGCCTCAGCCTCCCGAGTAGCTGGGACTCCAGGCGCGCGCCACCTCGCCGGGCTAATTTTTGTATTTTTAGTAGAGACGGGGTTTCACCATATTGGCCAGGCTGGTCTCAAACTCCTGACCTCAGGTGATCCACCTGCCTCGGCCTTCCAAAGTGCTGGGATTACAGGCGTGAGCCACCGCGCCCGGCCGCCAATCTTGTTTTAAGGTTCTTAAAGGTTTGTGTACACAAGGCTTCACACTACTCGCCAGTTAATGTTCCCATATCTTCCGGGCTAACAGTTTCTCCCGGAATTTGTGCCACGTGTTTCCTGGGGCTTCAGATACGTTCGGCCGGGCTTGTACCTGGGACCCATGGGCACCCCGTTTTGAGTGCCCACTGGTAGCAGCGATCTTGAAGCCGGATCCCCAGGGGTACCAGAAAATTCTGGTCTCCAGGGGGCGCCCCCTTGATTTACCGAAGTCTGGCAGCTGTAGCTCTTACGAGCCCCCCGCCTCGTAAGAATCGCAAACCCCCAAAGTCGGGTCTTCCTGCCGTCTAACCTTGGGCGCTGGTGTCTTACCTGCTCGGCGGACCAGATGGGCTTTGCCCGGGGCAGGGGACTGGCAGCAGAGGACAGCGGACGGGAAGCAGCCACCGGGAGCCCGCGGGGCGGGACGCGCGGGCGGACGGGGCGGCTCGGGCTAGGGCACCGCCCCAGCGCCTCCGCGCACACCCGGAAGCGGCGGAGTAGAGCGGAGCCTGGCGGGCGTGGGAACCCAGGCCCCGCCGAGGCGGCCAGGTTAGTGCAGCAGGTGGGTGGGTGGGCTCCCCGGTGCGGGCGGGAGAGGAGGTGGATCTTGGCTCCGAAGCGTGGGCGCGGCGCAGATGTCACCGGCGGCTGCTCCAGCCAGCTGGTGGCGGCGGTCTACTGAGCTGTTCGAACACCGTGGGAGGCGGGGGACGGTACGGAATTTGGCCCCCGCAGGCTCCTCGTCCCTGCCAGCACTTTCGAGGTGCAGTAGGGCCCTGCAGGAGAGAGGGTGGGGGAGAAGGGGCTGGTTCTGAATACTTTCCTTGAGCGGAGACCCCCTTGCCCACCCCAGCCGATCGCACGTGCGAAACCCCAGCTTGAGGGTGGGCTAGTGGGAGCCTGGGAAGCTCCCCTCAAGCGCTCGGGAGCTGCGTAGCTGAGTAGGGGGTGTGCCCGGCGGGTCGCAAGGAGTCACAGGCTTTCAGTTCTGGGCCACGCCCACAGGCTGTCTCTGTCCACCCAGCCAGAGGTGGGGCTGCCCCCGGGACTGTTAGGTGTTCAGGGGGCACCGTGCGTGGCTCGTCCCTGGAAACAGGCGCAGAAGTTGTTAGGTCGGTACCTAAGCGCCCCACAGTCTCCGGCCACCAAACTTTCTCAGGACCCAGCCTGGAAGCCTCAGCCCCGCCCAAAAAGGGACGACTCCTGGTGGGTGGGGCGCGGGGCTTCCCAAGGAGGGGCTTCCGTGAAAGAACACGTAAGAAGAGCTGCCAGTCGGCGGATGCGAAACTAGGGCCCTGGCCTCTTTACCCTGTTAACTCGACCTCCAGCCTGGTTCACCTTCCCCATCTTCTAGTACTAGTGAGTGTGAGAAAGCATCCCCAGTCTCCAGGTTCCCAGTACTCCCCACCTCCCCCTCGACCCCCACAGACCTGATGGGCAGACAATGGTCCTGTTCGGTCCCCACTTCCACCCCTTGGGGTGGGACCATAACCAAGTCAAGCACTCTCAAGTCAAGGGGCCAGAAAGACATGAAAGAGGGAATGTTTCCAGGGGAAGTTCCCACTCTCTCCTACTCCCCAGGCCACTTTCGAAGGACTCCCCCCTTATCTCACCTCCGTGGCTGGCTCCCTATTATGGACCCACTTGTCACCTGCAGAGTTTCCTGTTTTTTCTTGTTTTGCTTTTAAAGAAAACAAATTTATTTTGCTCTTTTAATACAAAGAAAATATGTCTACTTCACATAAAGCAGAAAATATTGCTAAATACAAAGAAAATAAAAATCACCCACAATCCTTCCCCACCCCCACCTACCTTCCTTCATCCTGCCCAGAGATAAACAAAATGCAAACTTCCTGTTACTATCCAGACTGTGGTTTGGCGTAAGTACACAAGTATTAATGTTTTCTATGAAAAGATTAGAAGGCTGGGTGTGGTGCCTCACACCTGTAACCCAGCACTTTGGGAAGCTGAGGTGGGCAGATCGCTTGAGCCCAGGAGTTTGAGACCAGCCTGGGCAACATGGTGAAACTCCATCTCTACTAAAAATACAAAAACTAGCCAGGCATGGCGGCGTGTGCCTAAAGTCCCAGCTACTTGAAAGGTTGAGGTGAGAGGGTTGCTTGAGCTGGGAAGGTCAAGGCTGCAGTGAGCTGCGATAGTGCCACTGCACTCCAGCCTGGGTGACAGAGCAAGACCCTGTCTCAAAAACAAGACAATTGAAAAAACAAAGGTCGAGAGTAGTGCCTTACTCCTGTAATCGCAGCACTTTGGGAGGCCAGGGCAGGAGGACAGCTTCCTGTTCCTCATGTAAACAGATGGCAGCTGGGCCACCCCATCTGTCCTGCCCCATAGCTAACACTCAACACTCCTCTTAGCCCACCATATATAAACCCTGATGAGAGTACAGGAGTGTGACTGATGGGGCAGGAGGTAGGGCCTTGAGCCCATGATTATAGGAAAAGGGTGGGTAGGAAAAGGGTGAGGTGGGGAGAAAGAGGAGGCAGTTTTCTACTTGCTGTCTCACGGGGTAGTAACTGGGAGACCATTGAGCTGTAGGTCAGTGCAGTGGTTCCTTGGCTGGGAATTTTGCCCCCGCTGGTCCAGAGCTAGGTTTTTGTCAGAAGATGGAGGAAGGAGATACTATACTAGCACCAAGGGGCCCTGGCTTTTTCTGGACAGGGAAGGAATAGAGCAATTTGTGTTGGAAATGACTGGAGCCGAACTCCAAGGGCTTTATAACAAAAAGGAATTATTTAGCTCACATAACTGAAAAGTCCAGTGTGCAATGGCTTCAGGGACGGCTGGATCCAGGGGCCTAGTATGCTTAGGAATGCACTTCTCCATCTCTTGACTCTTTCTTTCTGTGTCAGCTTCATTCCCAGCCAGGCTCTTCCCAAGCAGTGCTAAAGGAGAGCTACCTTTTCCTTCCAGTTCAGCCCCAAGGGAAGGGAAAGTAGTGCCTCTTTCCTATTGGCTCAACCAGAGTCGCAGCGTTGATTCTCATGGGTCCAACTTAAGTCCTATACCCCGCCCTGAACTAATCACTGCAGAAATGTGAATGGAATATGCAGATTGGCCAGGTCTGGTACACAAGCCCGACCTGGAACTAGGGAGTGGGACACAGGCACATGGATTGAGAAGAGGGAGGAGGGAAGTCCCCAAAGGTAAGTCAGGCTTGGGGAGAGAATCTGGGTAGATGCAAACTACAGGTGCCCTTCGAAGTGAAGACAGGAGGTTTAGTCTTAGGCTGAGGTCCTCCAGAAATGCTGGGCTCAAGTCTACTCAGAAGGCAAGGCCAGGATATGGGTCTGGTTGGCTTTGGGGCATGGGCACCATCCAGAATGAAGATGTCTCTTGTCCGCATTGGTAAGAGAGACACACAGGCCTGAGAAGGAAGCAGAGAAGCCCCATTGCAGGATCTGCCTCTGCTCCCCCTCCACTGTGACCTTGGGCTCTTTCTCCAAGAAGGCAGTGGAGGGACAGTCCTCACTGCAAGCCTGGGGCGGGTGGGACTCTGTACAGAGCCAGGAGCTCAAGGGGCTTCCTGTGAGATGGTGAACTCCTGTCCCAAGTATGCCAACCAGTGGTGGGGACAACTGAACCATGTGGGACTTGAGGCTACTGTGGTGGGGACAGCTGAACCACGTGGGGCTGGGTAGTTGTCTCCAGGGTGGAGGGAGGGGGGATGAACTGGATACCTGACTGTCTGCATCTCCAGGAGGTGAGATGGCAGCTGGGCAAAATGGGCACGAAGAGTGGGTGGGCAGCGCATACCTGTTTGTGGAGTCCTCGCTGGACAAGGTGGTCCTGTCGGATGCCTACGCGCACCCCCAGCAGAAGGTGGCAGTGTACAGGGCTCTGCAGGCTGCCTTGGCAGGTGCGTGGATGGGCGGGCATGTGGAGAGGAAGGGGTGGCCTGGAGCATTTTGTGGGTGGGCCTGGGTTTAGCCACCTTTAAGAAGAAGATTTGGGGTGGGAGGAGCAAGACGGAGGACCCCTGGCTGTGCAGACTCTCTTCTTTGCTTGTGGCATGACCTTGAGGATAGGCGTGTGTTCTCGAGTCTGTGTATGATTTACCAATTTGTGCACTAACGTCCTTTGCTCCATCCCCGCCCCCCTCCACCAGCCGGCTCACTCCTTTCTACTAATTGTGGATGTCTCTCTCCTCTTTTCCTCTCTTACTGCAGCACTCCTTGCTCAAGACCCCTCCCCAGTACCTACCCTTCCAGGCCCCCCTTTCCCATCTCAGGGCAGAGGCCACAGGAGGCTGAAGCGGGTTGGGGGATCTGTTCGTGGCCTCAGAGCGGCGAGAGCCCCTCTTCTTCCCGAGCAGTGGGAGTCGCGCTTGGTGGAGGCCGAAGACCTGAGACCTCTCGCCCTCCTCTGCCCTGCTGGCCGCCTACCCAGACGGCTTGTTTGCCCAGGGCACACGCCCCCTTTTCTGTGCTTCGAAGTCCCTCTCTTTTGCCAACCCTCATTTGGGGCGTGAGAGCGGGGGTTAGGTGGCACCCACTCTGTCTTAGGGTGCTCCCTGTGACAGATCCTGGTCTTCTTTCTGGGTTATTGCTGTTTGTATCCCAATTTTGCTTCCCAGCTGGGTACTCTGGGGTAACTGCACCCTAGGTCAGGGGATGGGACGCGGGGCTTCACCACGGGCTTCGCCCCTCCTCCGGCCGTTTGGAGAACGGCCGAGCTTGGGGACCGCCCGGCGCCTGACCGCCCGCCTCCGCAGAGAGCGGCGGGAGCCCGGACGTGCTGCAGATGCTGAAGATCCACCGCAGCGACCCGCAGCTGATCGTGCAGCTGCGATTCTGCGGGCGGCAGCCCTGTGGCCGCTTCCTCCGCGCCTACCGCGAGGGGGCGCTGCGCGCCGCGCTGCAGAGGAGCCTGGCGGCCGCGCTCGCCCAGCACTCGGTGCCGCTGCAACTGGAGCTGCGCGCCGGCGCCGAGCGGCTGGACGCTTTGCTGGCGGACGAGGAGCGCTGTTTGAGTTGCATCCTAGCCCAGCAGGTGCGGCCGGGCTAGGGTCAGGATGGGGTAGGGCGGGGATCCGCGGTTAAGTCCCCCGTGACGGCACGTTCCATTCCCCTAGCCCGACCGGCTCCGGGATGAAGAACTGGCTGAGCTGGAGGATGCGCTGCGAAATCTGAAGTGCGGCTCGGGGGCCCGGGGTGGCGACGGGGAGGTCGCTTCGGCCCCCTTGCAGCCCCCGGTGCCCTCTCTGTCGGAGGTGAAGCCGCCGCCGCCGCCGCCACCTGCCCAGACTTTTCTGTTCCAGGGTCAGCCTGTAGGTGAGGCGCAGGTGGAGAGGCGGGGTCACCAGGAGGTTGGAGTCTGGGGAGGGGCAGGGGTCGTTGCCGGGTGGGGATGGGTGGGACCGGCGCTGGGGGTCCCCGCCCTCACCCCGTTTCCCCACTCCCTCTGCAGTGAATCGGCCGCTGAGCCTGAAGGACCAACAGACGTTCGCGCGCTCTGTGGGTCTCAAATGGCGCAAGGTGGGGCGCTCACTGCAGCGAGGCTGCCGGGCGCTGCGGGACCCGGCGCTGGACTCGCTGGCCTACGAGTACGAGCGCGAGGGACTGTACGAGCAGGCCTTCCAGCTGCTGCGGCGCTTCGTGCAGGCCGAGGGCCGCCGCGCCACGCTGCAGCGCCTGGTGGAGGCACTCGAGGAGAACGAGCTCACCAGCCTGGCAGAGGACTTGCTGGGCCTGACCGATCCCAATGGCGGCCTGGCCTAGACCAGGGGTGCAGCCAGCTTTTGGAGAACCTGGATGGCCTTAGGGTTCCTTCTGCGGCTATTGCTGAACCCCTGTCCATCCACGGGACCCTGAAACTCCACTTGGCCTATCTGCTGGACCTGCTGGGGCAGAGTTGATTGCCTTCCCCAGGAGCCAGACCACTGGGGGTGCATCATTGGGGATTCTGCCTCAGGTACTTTGATAGAGTGTGGGGTGGGGGGGACCTGCTTTGGAGATCAGCCTCACCTTCTCCCATCCCAGAAGCGGGGCTTACAGCCAGCCCTTACAGTTTCACTCATGAAGCACCTTGATCTTTGGTGTCCTGGACTTCATCCTGGGTGCTGCAGATACTGCAGTGAAGTAAAACAGGAATCAATCTTGCCTGCCCCCAGCTCACACTCAGCGTGGGACCCCGAATGTTAAGCAATGATAATAAAGTATAACACGGATTTTGATGTGAGAAATACAAGTAGTAGTGGCTTACACCTGTAATCCCAACAATTTGGGAGACAGAGATAGGAGGATTGCTTGAGCTCAGGAGTTTGAGACCAGCCTGGGTAGTCCCAGCCACTTAGGAGGCTGAGGTGGGAGGATCCCTGGAGCATGGAAGGTTGAGGCTGCAGTGAGATGTCACTGAGCTACTGCACTCCAGCCTGGGTGACAGAGTGAGACCCTGTCTCAAAAAAAAAAAAAAAAAAAGAAAGAAAAAAAAAGAGAAGTTGTGGAGGATGGAGGAAGGGGCCTAACCTGGGCAGGGGACAGGGGGTAGGCTTCCTGGAGGAGATGAGTGTGAGTAGGCATAGGGGTGGGCTATCGAGAGAAGGGCAGTGTTCGGGGCACAGTCTCAGGCAAGGGCTTGAGGAAGGCTTGTGGGTTTTTCAATGAGGCCAGTAGGAAGCCTTTGAAGAGTTTCGGGAGTTAAGACTGGGAGGTGGTTGTTTTTTTTTTTTTTTTAATTTTAATTTTTTTTCAGATGGAGCTTCACTCTTATTTCCCAGGCTGTAGTGTAATGGCACGTTTTTGGCTCACTGCAACCTCCACCTCCTGGGTTCAAGCAATTCTCCTGTTTCAGCCTCCCAAGTAGCTGGGATTACAGGCGCCCACCACCATGCCCAGCTAATTTTGTATTTTTAGTAGAGATGGGGTTTCTCCATGTTGGTCAGGCTGGTCTCAAACTCCTGACCTCAGGTGATCCACCCACCTTGGTCTCCCAAAGTGCTGGGATTACAGGCATGTGCCACCGCACCTGGCCAAGACTGGGAGGTTGATGAGGATGGGGGTGGGGGAAATGGTGGCCCCAGGCTGGGGCAGTAGCAGCAGAGATGGAGGGAAGGGGATGACCACCAAAGAGCTGTGTGGGTGGAAGAGTAACAGGCCTGGTGACACTGGGTGAGGAATGGCTGAGAGAGGGCCCCAAGTTTCTGCCTTTGCCAGTTGGATGGTGGGTGGGACTGCTTGCTGGGATGGGGCCCTGGGGGGAAATGAAATGCTTGCTCTGTTTGGGACAAGTTGAGCATGATGTTCCTGCAGTGCATCCGGGGAGAGAGTATGAGGGTAGTTGGGTCTGTAGTTCTGAGTTCAGGATGAGGGTTCAATCTAAAGATTGATGAATAGACAGGTGGGGAGTGGGTGGGGTGGCCCCAGGGGATGTCCTGAAGGACACCAACCAGAATGGGAACAGCCAAAGAGGAAGGAGGAAAACCAGGAGATTTGGAAACCAGGGGATTACCCACCCACTATAATGGAGCGGGTAGTCAAGACCGAGGAGTGTCTGTTGGACTCAGTTAAAAGGAGCTTACCAGTCAGGGGTCTTTCTGAGTCATGGTGGAGGCAGCCCGAAGCTTTATCACAGGAGGGAATGGAAGGTGAGGCCGCGGAGAAAGCTGGAGCAGAGGACTCCTGATTACTTTGTGACCAAAAAGAGTAAGGCTCAGGGTGGAGATTTGGCTTTTTTTTTTTTTTTTTTTTTTGGAGAGAGTCTCACTCTGTTGCCAGGTTGGAGTGCAGTGGCACGATCTCGGCTCATTGCAGCCTTCGTCTCCCGGGTTCAAGTGATTTTCCTGCCTCAGCCTCCCAAGTACCTGGGATTACAGGCACGTGCCACCATACCTGGCTAATTTTTGTATTTTTAATAGAGACAGGGTTTCTCCATGTTGGCCAGGCTGGTCTCAAACTCCTGGCCTCAAGTGATCCACCTGCCTTGGCCTCCCAAAGTGTTGGGATTACAGGAGTAAGCCACCACGACTGGCCTTTTTTTTTTTTTGAGACAGTCTCGCTCTGTTGCCCAGGATGGAGTGCAGTGGTGTGTTCTTGGCTCACTGCAACCTCCACCTTCCAGGTTCAAGCAATTCTCCTGCCTCAGCCCTCTAAGTAGCTGGGATTACAGGTGCCCACCACCATGTCTAGCTAATTTTTGTATTTTTAGTAGAGATGGGGGTTTCACCACGTTGGCCAGGCTGGTCTTGACTTCCTGACCTCAAGTGATCCACTCACCTCAGCCTCCCAAAGTGTTGAGGTTACAGGCATAAGCCACCACACCCAGCCAGAGAGGTGGCTTTTTAAGATTGAACATTGGTGGGAAGAAGCCGTCAGGAGCAGATATAGCCCTTGGACAGAGGATGGGGCTGGGTTCTTAAGAGACCAGTAGAGGCTGTCTATTCCAGGCTCCACCACATGGGCTGGGACCAAGAAAGAGAGAGCTGGCAGCTGAGCTGCGCAAGGACTTAGCTCTCCATTGCAGAGCACCTCTGTCCACCTGCATCCCAGAGCAATCCTTTAGCCAAGGCCTCCGCCAGGAGTCTTCCCAAGCTGTCCCCATCCTTGCCAGCCCTGTCTGACCTGCAGCTGCACAGGCCTGATCATTTCTACCTGCAGTAGGCTATGCTGGGGACCAGGGGACTCAGAACTGCACCTGGCTTGGGCTCAGGTCCATTAGCCCCCGGGGAGACAGGCTGAAGTGCTTGCCTGTGAAATTAAAGCAGACTGGGTTGGCCCCCTGTTCTGTATCCCAGTGGATGAATGAGCGGGGCAAGGACAGATAAAATAATCCTGGCCTGAATTTCAGAAGACCTGGGGGCAGAGCTTTCTGGCCTTTGGATCCTGGGCAAGTCACTTAACTCCCCGAAGAGCCCCCCAGTGTCCCCATCTGGGCATGAATGAGAGCTGCTGGCAGAGTTGCCCTGAGGATTGGGTGGGCTGCCTTGTTTGTCCCGTGCGTGTGTTTACTGGGGGTGGGGAGCATGGCAGAACCAGGAGTAAGAAGACAGCCATGTGTCTCGGGGGCAGCGTATGCACCCTGCCTGATGGAATCAGGGCTGCTGAGGAGAGGCCCGCCCGGGATGGTGGCCAGGTTCATGCGCATTTGGAACCGGCCTGCTCAGGGGCTCCTAGCAGCCCAGGCTCCGCCCCACTCCAGAGACGCGGGAGTGGGGAGTGGATAGTTGGGGGAGCTAACCAGGGGAGTTGATGCTTCTTCCCAATCCCCAGAAAGGCGAATTTGGGGTGTGAGCACCCAGACCAGCCCTTCCCAGAGGGACTGAGAGTGAGGAGGCTCCCTCTCAGGGATTAGTCCCCACTCTGAGGCCGGAGTGCTCCTGGCGCCGGGGCGGAGCTGAGCTCCAGAAGTCTGGGCGCGCACAGCTGGAGGGTCACGTGGCACGGCACCGGTCCCCCTTCCTGCCAACGCTGCATTTGGCTCGGGCCCGGTCCATGGCGGCCCCTCGGACCCTGCGCTGAGCCCCGGAGGCCAGGGCGTCCGGGGCTGCGCCACTTCCGAGGGCCGAGCGTGAGTGTCGGGACCCCAGGGCCCGACATTGAGGGGATGGCAGGGTGGAAGGGATTCGGCCTCAGCGCGAGGGAGGCGGGCGGGGGAGGGGCCGAGGCTCCCAGTCTCCCTGCCCGGCCCTGGGTCGCAGTCCTGGGCCGGAGCTGAGGCCGCGGGGGAGTTGGCTACATGGGTGAACTTCTTGTCCCTTCAGGCTGCCGGTCCCGGCGGTGCGACACGGCCGGGAGGAGGAGAACAACGCAAGGGGCTCAACCGTCGGTCGCTGGAGCCCCCCCCGGGGCGTGGCCTCCCGCCCCCTCAGCTGGGGAGGGCGGGGCTCGCTGCCCCCTGCTGCCGACTGCGACCCTTACAGGGGAGGGAGGGCGCAGGCCGCGCGGAGATGAGGAGGAGGCTGCGCCTACGCAGGGACGCATTGCTCACGCTGCTCCTTGGCGCCTCCCTGGGCCTCTTACTCTATGCGCAGCGCGACGGCGCGGCCCCGACGGCGAGCGCGCCGCGAGGGCGAGGGAGGGCGGCACCGAGGCCCACCCCCGGACCCCGCGCGTTCCAGTTACCCGACGCGGGTGCAGCCCCGCCGGCCTACGAAGGGGACACACCGGCGCCGCCCACGCCTACGGGACCCTTTGACTTCGCCCGCTATTTGCGCGCCAAGGACCAGCGGCGGTTTCCACTGCTCATTAACCAGCCGCACAAGTGCCGCGGCGACGGCGCACCCGGTGGCCGCCCGGACCTGCTTATTGCTGTCAAGTCGGTGGCAGAGGACTTCGAGCGGCGCCAAGCCGTGCGCCAGACGTGGGGCGCGGAGGGTCGCGTGCAGGGGGCGCTGGTGCGCCGCGTGTTCTTGCTGGGCGTGCCCAGGGGCGCAGGCTCGGGCGGGGCCGACGAAGTTGGGGAGGGCGCGCGAACCCACTGGCGCGCCCTGCTGCGGGCCGAGAGCCTTGCGTATGCGGACATCCTGCTCTGGGCCTTCGACGACACCTTTTTTAACCTAACGCTCAAGGAGATCCACTTTCTAGCCTGGGCCTCAGCTTTCTGCCCCGACGTGCGCTTCGTTTTTAAGGGCGACGCAGATGTGTTCGTGAACGTGGGAAATCTCCTGGAGTTCCTGGCGCCGCGGGACCCGGCGCAAGACCTGCTTGCTGGTGACGTAATTGTGCATGCGCGGCCCATCCGCACGCGGGCTAGCAAGTACTACATCCCCGAGGCCGTGTACGGCCTGCCCGCCTATCCGGCCTACGCGGGCGGCGGTGGCTTTGTGCTTTCCGGGGCCACGCTGCACCGCCTGGCTGGCGCCTGTGCGCAGGTCGAGCTCTTCCCCATCGACGACGTCTTTCTGGGCATGTGTCTGCAGCGCCTGCGGCTCACGCCCGAGCCTCACCCTGCCTTCCGCACCTTTGGCATCCCCCAGCCTTCAGCCGCGCCGCATTTGAGCACCTTCGACCCCTGCTTTTACCGTGAGCTGGTTGTAGTGCACGGGCTCTCGGCCGCTGACATCTGGCTTATGTGGCGCCTGCTGCACGGGCCGCATGGGCCAGCCTGTGCGCATCCACAGCCTGTCGCTGCAGGCCCCTTCCAATGGGACTCCTAGCTCCCCACTACAGCCCCAAGCTCCTAACTCAGACCCAGAATGGAGCCGGTTTCCCAGATTATTGCCGTGTATGTGGTTCTTCCCTGATCACCAGGTGCCTGTCTCCACAGGATCCCAGGGGATGGGGGTTAAGCTTGGCTCCTGGCGGTCCACCCTGCTGGAACCAGTTGAAACCCGTGTAATGGTGACCCTTTGAGCGAGCCAAGGCTGGGTGGTAGATGACCATCTCTTGTCCAACAGGTCCCAGAGCAGTGGATATGTCTGGTCCTCCTAGTAGCACAGAGGTGTGTTCTGGTGTGGTGGCAGGGACTTAGGGAATCCTACCACTCTGCTGGATTTGGAACCCCCTAGGCTGACGCGGACGTATGCAGAGGCTCTCAAGGCCAGGCCCCACAGGGAGGTGGAGGGGCTCCGGCCGCCACAGCCTGAATTCATGAACCTGGCAGGCACTTTGCCATAGCTCATCTGAAAACAGATATTATGCTTCCCACAACCTCTCCTGGGCCCAGGTGTGGCTGAGCACCAGGGATGGAGCCACACATAAGGGACAAATGAGTGCACGGTCCTACCTAGTCTTTCCTCACCTCCTGAACTCACACAACAATGCCAGTCTCCCACTGGAGGCTGTATCCCCTCAGAGGAGCCAAGGAATGTCTTCCCCTGAGATGCCACCACTATTAATTTCCCCATATGCTTCAACCACCCCCTTGCTCAAAAAACCAATACCCACACTTACCTTAATACAAACATCCCAGCAACAGCACATGGCAGGCCATTGCTGAGGGCACAGGTGCTTTATTGGAGAGGGGATGTGGGCAGGGGATAAGGAAGGTTCCCCCATTCCAGGAGGATGGGAACAGTCCTGGCTGCCCCTGACAGTGGGGATATGCAAGGGGCTCTGGCCAGGCCACAGTCCAAATGGGAAGACACCAGTCAGTCACAAAAGTCGGGAGCGCCACACAAACCTGGCTATAAGGCCCAGGAACCATATAGGAGCCTGAGACAGGTCCCCTGCACATTCATCATTAAACTATACAGGATGAGGCTGTACATGAGTTAATTACAAAAGAGTCATATTTACAAAAATCTGTACACACATTTGAAAAACTCACAAAATTGTCATCTATGTATCACAAGTTGCTAGACCAAAATATTAAAAATGGGATAAAATTATACATTTTTCTTCTCAGTTCTTTTCAAAAGGATTAATATTTTTAAAGCACATATATGCTACTTTCCATTAGCAAGACCCATGAAGGGACTGAGCAGCCCAGCCTTCCTTGAGCCCCCAGAGGCTTTGAGCCATGAAATGGCCCAGCCAGGGGCCAGTGCCCAGGGTTGGGGCAGAGAGCCAGCCCACAGTGCAGAACAGAATGCTGAAACACAACAAAAGTAGGAAGATGTCTTTGGCTAAAACTTTGGCATTAAATAAAAGAGGCAAACAGGATGGAAACATGCAGCCCTGCCAGCCAGGATGGGGCAGAGCAGGGGCACAGGCAATCTTGAAAGCTGACTCCAACAGGGGTGAGAACCAGGCCTGGGCATGTACCTGGATGGTAGAAAGCTGTGTTTCAACCAGTTTGGTGTGCCCAGGCAGGGAGCGCGTGCAAGAAAGGAACAGGGAAGGGCAGGTGGGCCACCCTGGCCACAGCCAGCTCATCAAGTAACTAAAGTGGATGTAGTGCAAATGTCGCAACCAAGTACTATGGACACGCTACCTGCTTGCCTTAAGGGTCATGTGGCAATGTGGAGCCAAAGGCAGGACCTTGTCCTTATCCTGGGTGCCTGTGTCCTCAGTCACAGAAAGAGCCCCAAGTCTTCCCAATGTGCATGGGACAAGGGTTGACCTCTCCTGCCTCCTTGTTAGTTGAGAGCTCCTGGGTCCAGGAATCAAGGCTCAAACTTTGTGCTTCTCTTTGCAGTCTGTGTCCCCTGCTGGCACCAGCAGGCCAAAGATGGACAGAAGAATATCTGGGCCACTCAGCCCATGGCAGAGCACCCAGCCTGAGCCCAACCTCAGAACATCACAACAGCCCTTCAGCACTGGCCAGGTGTCCAAGAAAACCCACAGGGTGGTACAGAGGCCCACTGAGCAGGATGTGATGCACAGTTCCACGGGACAGAGGGGCATGGGTGGTGGTGTCCCTAGGGGAGTTCCGCTGTTCTCAGGTGGCTACCAGGCCTGGGGGGGCCATACAGGGTCACCGAGGCAATGTGGTTGTTCTGCATGACCTGGTGTGAGAAGAGGACAGTGGGTCAAGGGGGAGAGGTAAAGGGATGTAGGCAGATCCTGTGCATGAGGGCTGGAGGTTGTGTGACATACCTGCACCTAATGGCTGGGTTTCCCGACTCCTCAACCTCCCCTGGTTCATGCTAAAGGCCCCCCTCTGCCTGAGATCTGCCTGTTTCTCAATGGTTACACACAGCCTTTACCATGGCCACGTGTCCAGTCCTTCTGGAACTGTTAAGTGTCTGCTGGAGATACTGCATCCACAGGGAAAACAAGGGCAGCTTGCTGTTCTCCCAAGTCAGCAGGGCCTCCAGAGCCACTCACTCCCCTACAATGCATTTGTTCACATGCCACTGGAGGGCCCCCAACACCCTCTGCTGGGCCCCACTTGCCCTGTGGTTCCCTTCCCTGCTATAATCATGTTGTCAGATAGAAACTTGGGATCCGTTACCTCCCATCTTGTTGGACACAGACCACTGCTTCGGCCTCTGTGACCCCAGATTTCTCAACATCATTTCTGAACCTTCATTGTTAAGTGTGGGGAGGCCAGGTATGCAGCAGACACGGTTGCTGAAGAAGGATGAATCTGCCCACTATGGCAGTGATGCCCTCCCCAATTTCCCTCCATCATTCACCTGGCCCTGCCATGACCAGCAACCCCCCAGGCAGTTTATTTCTAGGGCTTCCACAGCTTACCTCAAAGATCATTCGCTGAAGACCAAAGCAGAATGTGGAACCAAATGGGTTGGTGTTGTTTGGGGAGGAAGACCTGAGGCCAAAGAATTCAGAATTAGAGAGGCAGACAGAGGCCACGGCCTTAAAGCAAGGGATCCAGTCTTTTCTGGGGTATGGGATACTGGCCAGTAGTCTCTCATGGCTGTGAGTGTCTGTCTGTTTCCCACACAGGCCTGCAAGATCCTAGGGGTAGGGATGGTCTCACTCAACTCAGAATTATACATACAGAGCCCAACAGGACAAAAAAGTTACTGTGGAACTGGACTAGGGTGGCGAGGAGTCAAGAGGGCCCTCTTGAGTGAGAGAATCTCAGGCAGCATGGCAACCAGGAACGGGGCTGTGGACTTCAGCAGGCAGCAGCTCAAAGCTCAAAGGGAAAAAGAGCCCAGGCCAGCCAGCCAAGCCCTCCTTCCTTATTGAATAACTGAGGGTGAGAAGGCCCCCATACCTAGAGGTAGGCTTGGGAGAGGGGAGCTACCCCTGGGGACATTCTCTCTATCAAAGATGAACACACAGAACAGTTGACTCAGTCCTAATGTGCAGAGTGGGGCAGGAAGTATGCTTGTGGCAATATCAGAAACTTCTGTAATTTTTAAGCAACATCCACTGTGCCAGGCTTCCCTGGGCTTTCTGGGCTCTGAGGAGTCAGGTGGGGTGGCCGGGGACATCAAACTCCCACTCACCTGTGCAGGACAACAGGCTTCTCCACAGGGTGGCCCAGGAGCTCCTGGATGTTGTCCCACTGCAAGAGGGATAGAGGGGAGCAGGGGTTAGTAGGGACATGAACATGTCTGTGACCAATGGCTGGCCTAGAGGACACAGCCCCATACTGCCTGCAGGCTCATGTCCACCTCATTCTCAGGCTATGCCAGGTAGGAAGATAGGTGCTCACCTTGCTGTAGGTCGTGCATGTTTCTGTCTGACCATCTGCGTTTTCTGAAAAGAGAAGACAGTGGGGCAGATTTGTAGCTGGCCCAGCCTACCTGTGGCCCCAGCCCTAGGTAGGAACCAGACCTGGTGTCCCTTTGCACTGGGGTTGGAGTACATGGGGAGGATTAACAGGCTGTTTTGGAGTTCCAGGGTGGAAGAGGATGGAGGGGTGAAGGGAGGTCAGTCAGGTGTGAGCAACAACAATTGGCAGTGGGTGGCAGGCAACAAGGATGGGCTGGGGCCCCCTGGATGATCATCTGTAGATAAGAAACTCTCCCCTCCAGAGGCCGGCAATCCCACAGTCATAGGAAGAGGCCTCAAGGGCCTCTAGGAGACTCAGACCAAGAACACTGCAGCCCCCAGAACAATGAGCCCACCCCAGAGGAACTGAGGCCATGGGCAGAAGCTCCACACATCCAACCACTGCTTCGATCTTTCTCCCTTTTCATAGTGGAAAACAGACTCTAAAACCCCTCCCTTACCCTGAGAGCTTTCACTACTCACCTTTCTTTATGGCTAGTGGGATCTTGAACTCACAGCGATGATAACTAGAGAGAAGGCAAATGGGTAAAGGCTGGGCCTCCTAGAAGGCCTGGCCACTCCCATATTCCAACCCCACACCCCAGGAGAAACAGAACCAAACACACCTGCCCAAAGCCCTGGCTCTGAGTGCCTGACAGTGTTCACTGGGGGAGGCCAGATTTAGGCACGGAAGTCGAACAGAAAAGATCTTGGCCCTGGGTTCTGGAGAGCCTATTACCTTGGATAAGACATCAAGCTTTCTGAACTTATTTCCCTATTTGTAAAATGGGTTCAAACAGAGAGATGTAAGGCATTGGACCCTGTGCCAGGAACACAGCAAGCACTCAGGAAATTCACTTCCCATGAAACAGCAAGAATTCAGGTGTAGATAAATTAGTGAACACCCAAAGCCAAAAGCTCTTTCCTGGGGTTTTCAGCCCAAAACTCACTTCACAGAGGGGAGGTACAGACAGGTGTACTCACATGTTGAAATTATAATGCCCAGGGTAATTGGTGTGTAGAACAAACTTCTTCACTTTGTGTGTATTCGCATCAAAGAGGATGTCCTGGGATAGAAAACAAGGGTACTCAAGGAGGGAATGTTACTGAGGCAGGGCAGAGGCCTTTCCAAAGGCATGTCCAACTTGGGACATCCAGTGCACTCCACAGCAAGAATGCCTGCAGGCATCACCTTTCTTCCAGACAACAGTCCAGGGGACAGGCCAAGCAGCTTTTAGACATTTTCTTTCTTCTTTTTTGAGATGGAGTCTCACTCTGTCATGGAGGCTGGAGTGCAGTGGCACTGTGTCAGCTCACTGTAACCTCTGTCTCCTGGGTTCAAGCAATTCTCCTGCCTCAGCCTCCCGAGTAGCTGGGATTACAGGCGCCCACCACCACGCCTGGCTGTTTTTTTTTTAATTTATTTTTATTTTTAGTAGAGACGGGGTTTCACCATGTTGGCCAGCCTGGTCTCAAACTCCTGACCTCAGGTGATCCGCCCACCTCGGCCTCCCAAAGTGCTGGCATTACAGGTGTGAGCCACCGTGCCTGGCCCCATACCTTATCTTTTCTGTCATGTGTGTTACCTCTCAACACACTGTACTATCCATTTTAGCTCTTTGTCCTGCTAAGTGGCTTTCTTCCCTCTGAATATAAGCTCCGTGAGGGCAGGGTTGTCCGTCTGTGTTCTTCACTGCTGTATCCCGAACTCCTAGAGTAGTGCCTGGCACACAGTAGGTACTCAATAAAGATTTACTGAATAAAGGTGCTTTACAAACTTTCAAGGCAGGTTCCTCTTTACAGATGAGGAAACCAAGGCCCCAGGAGGTGCAGTAAGTCACCTAGCGTGGTGCCCAGATGGTAAGCAGCAGAGCCAAGAGAATCCGAGGATGCAGACTCAGGACTTTGGGAGGCCAAGGCAGGAGGATTCCTTGAGTTGAGAATACAGGTGCACACCACCACGCCCGGCTAATTTTTGTAATTTTAGTGGAGATGGGGGTTTCACCATATTGGTCAGGTTGGTCTCGAACTCCTGACCTCAGGTGATCCACCCACCTTGGCCTCCCAAAGTGCTGGGATTACAGGCGTGAGCCACCATGCTGGCCAAGTCACCTGGTTCTTGAGGGGCTGAAGGCCACTTGACTATTCTGAATTCCACAATCCATCAGACCCTCCTGGCTTCCATTACACCCTCTGTGGGAGTCAGCAACCCCAGGAACTGAAGTTCCAGCCTGACCTCTCTCTAGGACTTGGACCTGGATTTGATGCCACCCAGTGAACACTTCCCTCCTATCCCCTACCCTTTCCAGCTTCATATCCATCCAGCTGCTTGGGCCCGTGACCTCAGGGTAACCTCTGACTCTACCCCTGTACCCACAGCCAACTAAGTCCTACTGAGGCCAGTCCATTCTCTCCATCTTCCCTGTCACCTATTGATGGCAGCAATGGCCCATCTGGAGTGGCCGCTGCAAGGATGCCGACTGGAGCAGAGGAAGTGTGGCCGGGACCTCTGTTTTCCCATAGAACTATGCAGAGCCTATGGGAACTGGGAACAGGTGAGAGCCCTGGCCTCTACTAAGTTGGCAGGGCAGGAGCCCATGCTCCTGGGTGTAGCTGCAGCCTCCCAGCTGCAGCTCCAGACCCTGGCATCCCTGCACTCTCAGGGGCCCAGAAGGCCCCTTGCCCCGGCAGGCTTGAAAGTGCCTGCTCCCACTACCTAGCCTCTCCCCACTCCCGGTGCCTGCTCTGGGGAGGGGCAAAGTTGTGGCTGAGCCCAGGCGCTGTCACGAC
The DNA here is from genome assembly GCF_000001405.40 of Homo sapiens. Lineage (NCBI taxonomy): Eukaryota > Metazoa > Chordata > Mammalia > Primates > Hominidae > Homo > Homo sapiens. The sequence goes on along the minus strand of NC_000016.10, from coordinate 67,142,570 downwards.
CTGGTTGGGAGTGCACGCACTCAGGGCAGCACTGACACACTAGCCCCCTGCCGCCTCGGCATGAACAGCATGGGCACCATGGATGGCACGCTGATGGTGGTAGGAAGCAGAAGGGCTCCTGGGCAGAAAGGGCTTGGTCTGAGGTGAAACCCCACCTTCAAGCCTGGGATGGCCTGAGGCCTGGGGGCCGGGCTGCCAGCTCTGGGTAGTCTGTGGGTGGAGTGAGAATTTATGGTGCTTTTTCCGGGCCTGCTCATGGACCAATCAGCATGCACTTCCTCCCTTCTGAGCCCATAAAAACCCTGGATTCAGCCAGACTTGGACAGATGTCAATACTACCAACTGTGGGAAGAAGCTACCCACTTCAGGACTCCTTGACTCCTCAGGATGACCTGCCTACAGAAAGAAGCTACCCACTATGGGTCTTCTCTCTGCTGAGAGCTGGATACTCGTCAGGATGACCTGCCTGCAGAAAGAGCTACCCACCATGGGTCTCCTCTGAACTGTTCTGTTGCCCAATAAAGCTCCTCTCCTTTTTGCTCACCCTCCAGCTGTCTGCATACCTCATTCTTCCTGGCCGCAGGACAAGAACTCGGGACCCACCGAATGGTGGGACTGAAAGAGGTGTAACACAAATAAGGCTGAAATGCCCTGCCCCGCTTTCCACATTGTGGGTGACAAGAAGAGAAGAGCTGCAGCCCTTCAGGAAGCCCAGACCTAGGAGCTCCCCGAGCCAGAGCTGTGACACCCTGTTTGGGGCTCTGTGTGGTTCTTGGTGTCCCCAAGCTTCCGGGTGCCACCGCATTCTCCTTGTCCAGACATGGGTGCCCGCAATGGAAGCCGCTTGCGGTACACGTGATCTAGCCTCACCCTTACGTGGAGCTGGTGCCTATGCTGGCGCCTGGAGCTGCCTGCCCCACCACAGCAGTCAGCATGCCTGGCTGGGCACAGTGGCCGGATGCCACATTCACTCGCTCACACACCCCTTGCCACTCCATGCCTGGCTTGCCCTTGGCAGGCATGGGATCCAGGCTGGTAGCATGAGCTAAGCGCAGCCTGCCAGGCTGAGTGAGCTGAATGAGCCCAGCGGGAGCAAGCAAAAATTGGGGCAAAGGTGCCACCGGCCAAAGTAGTTTCCAGCTGGAAAAGCAACACCCTAAGTTTCTTGAGATACTATCATCACTGGCCCTTGAACCAGAGGTCCAGCTGCAACAGCACTGTTCCCTCCTGCCGCCATCCTACTCTCAGGAGTTCATGACCGGACATCAGCTCCCCTACTACTCTTGGCTCCTGTGTTTGGTCTTTCCCACTTAGGCAGACTCAGTCTCTCCTCACTCCCTCTGTGAAATCTACTGTTTGCTACCTCAGGACCTCAGACCGTAGAAGGCTCAAAGGTTACAAGACCCATGGTCCAGGCCAGCCCTGCCCTCTTGAGATGTTTCCTGCTGAAACACTGTTTATACAATAATTTCTCATGTATGCAACTCACCCACCAGCTGGACTGTCCGCACTGGCCAGCTACCAGCTATATCCAGCTCCCTGGGTCCATAGCACAGGGATACAGCAATGCCTCTGGGGTGGTCCTCTAAAAATATACAAGCACACCCCACTGTCTCCAATCCTTTTCAGTCTCCATTTTGTGACTCAAGAAGAGGGTCCTATGCTTTACAAAAGGGCAGCTCTCCAAACAGCTTAATCTGAATGATTTCCAAGGCCTCCATCTGTGGAACATGTTTCCCTCAGAAAAGAAGTCAACAGGTACCAGGGAACCTAGTGTTCCTGAGCAATCCTGGTTGCAGGCAAGGTCTACTTTGGAGTACCAGAGCCTATGCAAAACAACCCTGGGCAAAGACAGCTGGGGCTAGGTTCCCCAATGTCCAGGCATGGTTCCAGCTGCATGTGGACACACAGATCTGCAAAGATGCACTGCCCACCCCAATAGAAATGAAGGGCTTCTCTGAGGAATCACAACTTACCACTCCAAGAGTGAAGTAGTTAAAAAAGTAGTCATTACACTTCGATGGAACTTGTTTATGAGGGGAAGGAGAATGAATTTTCATCTGTAGGGAAAAAATAACCATAAATTAAAATCCATCCCTCTAATATAGTTCTGGATTAACTGAAAGTCTACAAATTGTGTTCCATGTGTAACATTAAGCTGCGGAACAAGCAAGAGTGGGGAGTCTCAGCTGCTGGTGCTGACCAATCTAGGAGGAGAGGGGGCCAGCTGTCGTTGACTAGGGACTGTCTTGGTCTCTAAGGAAAGGTAGGCACTATGGAGAGGGACAGAGTCAGGGTAATTGGACTACAGGGGTTAGAAAACAGTTTTCAATTTACTTTACCATTAGCTTTACTTAGAACAAGTTCTATGGGAAAATAGCAAACAGTTTATACTCAATATTAAATTAGTGTTGATTAAAAAAAAGGAGGAGACTGCAACATAATTCCCCTACCTTGTCTTCTGATTTATAGAAGACTTTGTGTGGAGAGCCAAGCATGCTAAGAACATCTTGGCAGGAATCACCAAAATACACTGAACGTTCAAATACCCGCATCTTGGCATCTGCTAATAGGCCAGGTCCACAACCTGCAAAAAACAAGACAGAGAGGTTGTCAGGTTATGGTTAGGACCAGAGACCCTCTCTGGGGGCCCCAGAGAAGCTACTGGCTGCATGCTACATTATTAGGTCTGGCAAGGGGCAAGACTGCATGCAATCAGAAACATCAGGTCACCAGGGCTTAAGACTGTACAAGAGATCGCTATTCAAAATAATGCCAGGGACTTATTCAATCCCCCACATGTGACATGAAGCTCTGGATACTTCATTCACTTATTCATTCACTACTTTATTGCCTACCATGGGCTAGGACATTGTGCTAGATGTTGAAGAAACAAAAGTGAACAAAAACAGTGCAGTTTCTGGCCAGACGTGGTGGCTCACGCCTATAATCCCAGCACTTTGGGAGGCCAAGGCGGATGGGTTGTTTGAGCTCAGAGTTTGACACCAGCCTGGGCAACATGGTGATACTCCGTCTCTACAAAAACATACAAAAATTAGCTGGGCATGGTGGTGGGTGTCTGTAGTCCCATCTACTTGGAAGGGTGAGGTGGGAGGATCACTTGAGCCCAGGAGGCAGAGGTTGCAGTGAGCCAAGATCACACCACTGCACTCTAGCCTGGGTGACAGACTGAGACAGTCTCAAAAAAAAAAAAAAAAAAAAAAAAAGGCAGTGCTGTTTTTTCTCCATAAGCTCCATCACTGGAGCTTATGTGTGCTGGAGAAGACCTTAATCAGATCATCACACAACTATGGTAAGATGCAAGGATTTATGTTAAGAGGTACTTCTTGGCCGGGTGTGGTGGCTCTTGCCTATGATCCCAGCACTTTGGGAGGCCAAGCGGGGTGAACTGCTTGAGCTCAGGCGTTCAAGACCAGCCTGGGCAACATGGTGAAACCCTGGCTCTACAAAATATAATATAAAAATTAGCCAGGCGTGGTGGCACACTCCTGCAGTCCTAGCTACTTGGGAGGCTAAGGTGGGAGGATCACTTGAGCCCAGGAGGCAGAGACTGCAGTGAGCTAAGATCACACCACTGCATTCCAGCCTGGGTGACAGAGTGAGACACTGTCTTAAAAAAAAACTACAAAAGTACTCTCAATGGTAACCCCTAACCAGAGACACTGAACCTGTAAAACTGCTCTATCAACAAGTAGAGTGAAGCATGCATTACTTGTCTCCCTAATTCTACACAAACACCTGACAGAGCCCTCCAACCCAGACAAGAGCCATTATCACTCAAAAGGGACAAACCAGCTAAGTGGAGGAATAAAAGACCTTCTGATTTGCCAAAAGTTTATTCTTTGGGAAGAATCTTTAAGCTCTGACTTTTTCTAATAAAACATTTCAGAAATGATTACAGTTAATGACACACACACAAACACACAAATGTAGAAGTGGTTGTGGCACAGTAATAGATACACCAACAGTAAAAATTTCCCCATTTTGTGGAGGGGGAGACAAGGTTTTTGCTCCCACCACCCAGCAAAAAAAAAAAGGAAGCCAAGAATCTGAGAAGGATTGTAATTCTTGGTGCCATGATAATCACTGACACCATCTTACTCAGCACAAGGCTTTACAGTTGTCAAAGTTCTCTCATGTGTAACAATCCATTTTTTATATGCAGAAGCTTCAGAGAACCCAAATCTGAAATAACTAAATACTGAGTTCAACTAACCCAAGAATCTCTATTCTCAGCAAGTATACACTGAGGGGGAAATAAAGGCTTAGGCAAGCCTTGGGTGACCTATAGAACCCACCAAAAGTCCTGTCAAGCTGGACTCTGGGCCCAAAGTATCCAGTGGCCTAACACATTTCTTCAGGCACCAGATACGTGTGGATGTCAGATGGGGGCTGTAAGGAAGGCACCCTTCAAAGGTAAGTCTTCTGTCTCCCTCTGCTTGAAGTATATCCAGGTATAATTACTAAGAGTTTCAGCTACTTTTTAGATTGTGATTCCCCAAAGTGTATCTTTCTACAAATTATTGTGGAGACCAGATGGCTGAACTGACTCCCTGCATTAAAAGCATCACTGCAGCCATATTCCATAAGGAAGGATATGAGAAATGAGTGGGTTGAGAAACTTGTGCTTGCCACAGGAAACTCTCAGTGAAGACGATAACCCTTTGAGGCCCTGACTTAACAAATCATTTGCCCTGCTGACAGTGTAAGCAGTGAGCAGTGTGACTGCTGGGAATGTGCTGTACAAGGTGGCAGACATAATTGGCTGAGAGCCCACCCTCGACAGGCTCCTCCTGCTGTCTCCTGGGATGATTAATGACCCTGATCCTTGACCACCCTGCTGTTTCAAGCAGTGATCCTCTTGGGAAAAAACCACACTAAATCACTTGACTTTGCTGCCACATCTCAATTCTCTCAAAAACTATAGCTCAGGCTGGGTGCGGTGGCTCACACCTGTAATCCCAGCACTTTGGGAGGTTGAGGCGGGCGGATCACTTGATGTCAGGAGTTTGAGACCAGCCTGGTCAATATGGTGAAACCCCATCTCTACTAAAAATACAGAAATTAGCCTGGCGTGGTGGCACACGTCTGTAATCCCAGATACTTGGGAGGCTGAGGCATGAGAATCGCTTTAACCCAGGAGGCAGAGGTTGCAGTGAGCTGAGATCACACCACTGCACTCTAGCCTGGACAACACAGCAAGACTCTGTCAAAAAACAACAACAACAAAAAACCCCAAAACCATAGCTTAAGCATGACACTCCTTTAAGTGGTTGTTCTGTCTTGGCTAGAAAATCACATTTTAAGAAATTCGTAACGTGAAGGTTGTGAACTGTCTAACTGTTCACAGAAGTGGGCTCAGAGTTCATATACCAGATTCTTTTTTTTTTTTTTTGAGAAGGAGTCTTGCTCTGTCGCTCAGGCTGGAGCGCGGTGGCGCTATCTCGGCTCACTGCAAGCTCCACCTCCTGGGTTCACGCCATTCTCCTGCCTCAGCCTCCCGAGTAGCTGGAACTACAGGCGCCTGCCACCATGCCTGGCTAATTTTTTCTATTTTTTAGTAGAGATGGGGTTTCACCGTTAGTCAGGATGGTCTCAATCTCCTGACCTCGTGATCCGCCCACCTCGGCCTCCCAAAGTGCTGGGATTATAGGCGTGAGCCACTGTGTCCAGCCTATATACCAGATTCTTAATAATTAAGAACCATTTGGGAGGCTGAGGTGGGACGACCGCTTAAGGCTAGGAGTTTGAGACCAGCCTGGGCAACATAGGGAGACCACGTGTCTACAAAAAAATAGAATTAGCTGGGTGTGGTGGTGTGCACCTGTAGTCCCAGTTTCTTCGGAGGCTGAGGCAGAAGGATTCCTTGTGCCCAGGAGTTCAAGGCTGCACTTAGCTATGATGATGCCACTGCATTCCAGCCTGGGTGACAGAGGGAGACCATGTCTCAAAGAAAGAAAAAAGAAGCAAAAAAAAAAAAAAAAAAAAAAAAAAAGGAATCAATGCCTCAGAGACTGATGCAGGAACCCAATTTACGAATAAATGCTGGTTAGGCAATGAGCTCCACGAAGGTTCTCAGCTCTCTTTATGGGAACAAACTCCACGCTGAAGCTCCCAGTCCCGTTAAGCACGATCCACAACCCAAAGCAGCTGAAGTTGGCCAGGCATGGGAATGTCACAAAATGAGGCATGGATCCTGGAGGGACCAGCTACTGAAGGTGGCACTCTTTTTTTTTTTTTTCTGTGAGAAGGAGTTTCGCTCTTGTTGCCCAGGCTCCAGTGCAATGGCGCTATCTCAGCTCACTGCAACCTCCGCCTCCTGAGTTCAAGCGATTCTCCTGTCTCAGCCTCCTGAGTAGCTGGGAGTACAGGCGTGCTTTACCACGCCCAGCTAATTTTTGTATTTTTAGCAGAGATGGGGTTTCATCATATTGGTCAGGCTGGTCTTGAACTCCTGACCTCAGGTAATCCACCCGCTTTGGCCTCCCAAAGTGCTGGGATTACAGGCATGAGCCACTGCACCCGGCCAACTATTTCTTTTTGTTGTTGTTGTTCATGGTTGGCAAAACTCTGGCCAAGGTGTGGCCAAACCACAATTCAACAAGTCCCGTCTGCTTGCCTACGTTGAGAACTTGGCATAAAGGGTAGAAAAAGGAGAGCCAGGCATGGTGGTGCGTGCCTGTAGCCTAGTCAGGAGGTTAAGGCAGGATTGCTTGAGCCCAGGAGTTCAAGGCCACAGTATTCCAATGCACACCGGCCTGGATAATATAGGGAGAAAAGCTGGGTGTAGCGGCTTGCACCTGTAATACCAGCACTTTGGAAAGCCAAGGAGGGAGGATCGATTGAGCCCAGGAGTTCAAGATCATTCTGGGTAACACAGCAAGACCCATCTCCACATAGACAAAAATTAACTGGGCATGGTAGCACATGCCTGTGGTCCTAGCTACTTGGGAGGCTTAGGTGAGATCACTTGAGCCCAGGAGTTTTGAGGCTGCAGTGAGCTATGATTGCACCACTGCACTACAGCCTGGATGACAGAATGAGGCCATCTCTTACAAAACAAAACAAAACAAAACAAAAAAAGGTAGAAAAAAGGGGAGAGCTGGCCAGGTGCGGTGGCTCACGCCTGTAATCCCAGCACTTTGGGAGGCCGAGGTGGGCGGATCATGAGGTCAGGAGTTCCAGACCAGCCTGAACAACATGGTGAAACCCTGTCTCTACTAAAAATACAAAAATTAGCCGGGTGTGCTAATGCGTGCCTGTAATCCCAGCTACTTGGGAGGCTGAGGCAGGAGAATCACTTGAACCTGGGAGGCAGAGGGTGCAGTAAGCTGAGATCGTGCCACTGCACTCCAGCCTCAGCAACAGAGTAAGACTCTGTCTCAAAAAAAAGAAAAAGAAAAAAACAAAAAAGGGGAGAGCAGTAGCACTGCAACCCACAGGATGCATCTCCAGGAAACACTTGGGAACTGTCACAAAGCTATATAAGCACACAGCAGGCCTATGTGCATGCTGAGAGAAGCAGTGCTGTTGCTTATTAAGATTTGCTAATTATAAGACTATGTCCAGTCCCTTGACAAAACTAAACAAAAGCTTTAACCATAAACATCTGCATCATTTGTCTTCTACCAACTATGTGGCAATGGACTGAATGCTTTTGTTCCCCTAAAATTCATATGTTGAAATCCTAACCACCAAGGTGATGGTATTAGAAGGTCAGGGCTTTGGGAGGTGATTACATTATGGAAGCAGAGACCTCAGGATTGAGATCAGTGCCGTTAAAAAACAGACTCCAGGGAGTTAACTAGCCCCTTGCACCATATGAGGATACGGGGAGAAGTTTCTTCTATGAACTAGACTGCAGGCGCATCCAGATACTGAATCTGCCAGTGCCTTGATCTTGGACTTCCCAGCCTCCAGAACTGCAAGAAATAAATTTTTGTTGTTTAGCAGCCACTCAGTTTATGGTATTTTATTATAGCAGCCTGAATGGACTGAGACACACCCTAAGCACGTGGGATTTTAGACTGTCTCAACATGGGTATAATGCGGAATGTACCAACCTCAAAGCCAGTCACTGACCTGCAGCAAGTAGGCGAAGTCGTAAACCTGCAGGTCCAGTTCCATCTCGAAGAACATCTACACTCTCAGCATAGACATTGCCCAGGAAACAGCTCAGAGGCATCATGGGAGCCCTGGGGACAGACACAGAATGAGCAGAGGCTTGGTTCTTTCTCCCAGGCAGCCCAGGCCTTAGCAAGAAACTCATGCTCCTTATACTTACTTGGTATCCTGCAGGCTGTTGCCACTGTAGATGTACATTCGTTTTACAGTTGCTCCATGGGGTATCTGGAGAGAAGCCAGGCCATGGGCAAAATTGGGCTGCAAACAAAGGTCAAGAGTTTTACTTAGGGCACAACAGGTGATGGGACTCAGGCTCTGGTCTTCCCTGTCACTCATGGTCTTCAAGAGCTGCTCAGGTCAAAGGGTCAAAGTACACCCTTAAACCTGGCTCTCTGGCTCTGGGTCAGTAAACTCCCCAAAACCATGTAAGTCCACCTTTAATTCTGCTTGGTTTTCCTTTTCTTTTTTTTTCTTTTTTTTTGAGACGGAGTCTCACTCTGTCACCCAGGTTGGAGTACAGTGGCATGATCTCAGCTCACTGCAACCTCCACCTCCCAGGTTCAAGTGATTCTCCTGCCTCAGCTTCCTGAGTAGCTGGGACTACAAGTGTGCACCACCACAACCAGCTAATTTTTTTTTTTTTTTTGAGACGGAGTCTCGCTCTGTCGCCCAGGCTAGAGTGCAGTGGCATGATCTCGGCTCACTGCAAGCTCCGCCTCCCGGGTTCACGCCATTCTCCTGCCTCAGCCTCCCAAGTAGCTGGGACTACAGGCACCCGCCACCACACCCAGCTAAATTTTTTGTATTTTTAATAGAGACGGGGTTTCACCATGTTAGCCAGGAGGCCCGCCTCGGCCTCCCAAAGTGCTGGGATTACAAGCGTGAGCCACTGCGCCCGGCCTGTTTTTTTTTTTTTTTTTTTTTAATATTTTTGGTAGAGACAGGGTTTCACCATGTTGGCCAACGTGGTCTCGAACTCCTGACCTCAAGTCATCCGCCCGCCTTGGCCTCCCAAAGTGCTGGGATTAGAAGCATGAGCCACCATGCCCGGTCAGTTTTCCTTTTCTTCATAGGGGAAAATGCAGAAATGCTTCCTTAATTAAAATAAGTCTTATGAAAGCTTATCATTTTCACAGCCCCTAGGATGAATGAAATGTTTGCAAAAACAAAGGTAACTGAAAATCCAGAGGATGAAATCTCCAAATTCTAGGCCACCAGGAAAACTGTTGATTAGGAGCTTGAAAATAAGGAATGAATGAACTTATCTCTGAAAAGTGAGCCTGACCTCACTCCATTGTGGGAAGTATCCTCTTCCTCGGAATGCCAGCCTGAGCATTGTTCTTCCTCTGTCAACCCACCCACTCTACCACTTTACCCTGTAGAGCTCAAATACATGGAAACCAAAGAAAGTCTGCCTATCTAATACCCACTCCTCTATTCCCATCCCATGACACCATCTGCTGAGCCATACCACAGACACATACAACAAACACCAGGGGACAGGAAGGGCTAACCTCATACTTTGGAGCCTCAGTCCATGAGTCTAACTGAAAAGAGAAAGACAGTCCTCTGAAGTTGAGATGGAAGAGCTGCTCAGCGGAGTTGTACACTGTTGGGGGTGGGGGAGAAGAAAATAACATGGTTGACTGGCATCTGAAATGGCTAACATAAACCAGCCTGGCAGGGAGTAATGACTGACAACACCTTCCCTGTGGCTTGTTTCTAAACTGGCCTACTAGGTTGAAAACAAGGGGGAGGATGTTTCCTTCACACCCAAGTACCAACCCCACAATCCTATGGGAGCCTGACTCCAGGAAGTGGGGTGGGATGGCACTACCGGGCAGGTTTATTGCTATGAACTGCCACTGATGACCAGAGGAATCAGATGGACTTGGCTTACCTCCAGGATGGGTTGCGCCAAAAGACTGGTCAATCTGTTCAATGGTAGGAGCTATGGCCTGAGAATTAAAATGCACGCCACTGAAAAACAAAAATATTTTTTAATACTAGGCTTCACAAGATGGGCCCACAGATCATGTGAGATAGTAGCTGGGAGAGTTATTTTTAAGACACAGGCAGGTGAGTCTCTAATTATATCAAAATACAAAGCTTAATTAGAGAACTTTTAAATAAGAGCATTAATGAGGTCAGGAGAAGGTCAGTTCTCATGAGGCTGATATACAGAGTTGATCCTCTGGGGCTTTATGACACCAGTGACTCTTAAGAAAAGGGTAGAGAAGAGAAGCCACCAGACCCTGAGGTATGAAGGCCCCAGTAAAACTAAAAGACAACTAGAACCTGCAGGGGCCAGTGGTACCACACATTTGCTTGTCTACTCCTCTATCAGCAAAACTGCCTGAGCCTGCCCCAGGAATCAGGTCCTCTTCACACCCTCAAAAAGGGAAAGGGAAGCCAGTTAAGGAGACTTACTGAAAGGAGTATTCTATCGCTTGAACCCAGGAGGTGGAGGTTACAGTGAGCTGAGATGGCGCCACTGCACACCAGCCTGGGTGACAGAGAGAGACTCCGTCTCAAAAAAAAAAAAGAAAGAAAGAAAGAAAGGAAGGAGTATTCTAGATTTTTAGATGCAGGCATGCTGCCTTGCCATAATGGGGGCGCAACAACTTTGGACTGTGCATGTCATCCCCGCTGTAATTCTAAAAAATACATTATAGCTCTAAAATGGTGGTCTCTTTGGCATTCTCTTCAGCATAGGCTTTGGAGTCAGACCTATCTGGTTTGTCCCACCTCTGTTACTCATGAAAACATGAAAAGAGGTGCCAAGAGAGGCTGTCAGCGGGAGGGCAGCTATGACCCAGGAGACTGTCACATCACCTCTGAGCTGAGGTCTGGCTTTGTCAAGTGGATTAAGTTAGATGACATATACATGAAGTGTTAAACACATCACATATTCTTAATGAGGTTTACTTCTCTTCTCCAGGAAACTGAGCAGGCTTGAAGGTTGCCTCAGGAATTCATGGCACCAGGCTATAATTCACATCTGTGACAGATGTGAATCTTTACTAACTTATGAAGATAGTAGATATGGCCTGTCTATACCAAGTGTGACATATACCAGCAGGGGAGAAAACTTACCAATATTTTAACTTTACTTTAGTCAAATCACATACTTCGATCACCTAAAAAAAAGTTTAAGAGTTGTCAATGCTCTGAAAGTGATGACAGACTAAAAATGATTAAAAATACATTTATAGAATAAATAGTAAAAAAAAAAAAAAAAAAAACTATTACCAATAGAAATTTTATGGAAGCACTGCATGTTATCTTTTGTTCTCATTTAAAATTTTTTTAAAAACTTTTTGTAGAGATAGAATCTTAGCAAAACTAAAAAACTATGTTGCCCAGGCTGGTCTCAAACTCCTGGGCTCAAATGATCCTCCTGTCTTAGCCTCCCAAAGTGCTGGGATTACAAGCATGAGCCACCATGACAGTCCTTTGTTATTTTGAAACCAGGGAAAAAACCAGTTTCCCCTTCAGCATAACCATAGCCAGTGTCCCCTTCAGCATAACCTCTTAGCTTCCCTCTCCTAGTGGACTGCTCAACAGATGTCCATGGATGCTCTGGGTCAAGGCTCTTACATGCAGTCCACTTCTGGGTCAGGCTGGAGCACACACCACCCTATAGGACAATGATCTCTTCCACAGACATGAAGCTTGTTAAGGCTCTGCTTTGGGCACTAAGCCCCCTTCCTCCCATCTCATATTTTGCTGCATTTTAAAACCCAGGTCGGGTTGCTTTAGAAAATAGCTTATTTTAGCCGGGCACGGTGGCTCACGCCTATAATCCCAGCACTTTGGGAGGCCCAGGTAGGTGGATCTCCTGAGGTCAGGAGTTCCAGACCAGCCTGACCAACATGGTGAAATCCTGTCTCTACCAAAAATACAAAAATTAGCTGGGCGTGGTGGCACACACCTGTAATCCCAGCTACTGTGGAGGCTGAGGCAGGAGAACCGCTTGAACCCAGGAGTTGGAGGTAGCAGTGAGCTGAGATTGCGCCACTGCACTCCAGCCTGGGTGACAGAGCGAGACTCCGTCTCAAAAAAAAAAAAAAAAAAAAGGCCGGGCACGGTGGCTCACGCCTATAATCCCAGCACTTTGGGAGGCCGAGGCGGGCGGATCACAAGGTCAGGAGATTGAGACCATCCTGGCTAACACGGTGAAACCGTGTCTCTACTGAAAAATACAAAAAATTAGCCAGGCGTGGTGGTGGGCGCCTGTAGTCCCAGCTACTGAGGAGGCTGAGGCAGGAGAATGGCGTGAACCCGGGAGGCAGAGCTTGCAGTGAGCGGAGATTGCGCCACTGCACCCCAGCCTGGGCGACAGAGCGAGACTCCTCCAAAAGAAAGAAAGAAAGAAAGAAAATAGCTTATTTTGAAGTTGATTTTGTTTACAAAACAAAAAGATGGAGGGGGAGGTCTATCCCATTAGAAAGCAAGCCATAATATTTGTCACACAAGTGTGACAGTATTCAGTTATGTCCCTGATGAAGAGGATCTGGTTGAAACAAGAAAGCCTCAGGACCTTTGTGAAGCTTGCTCTTTAATGGGTTCAGCCTCAGATGAAATTCTAAGAACTCAGGGCAGGGCAGAGATAAAGGAATAGGCATCACCTAACACTCCGCCATCAGTGGTGCCAAGTAATAAGCACTATGAAGTCCTCCATGCAATGGTGTCAAGGGCTTGGCAGCCAGCAGCACAGGTAGGGGCTCGGAGCACCATCTACCATCCTCCAGCTGGGAGGTTTTGCTCTCATTGTGGAGACACAAGCAGAGCTGGCTCAATATCTGTTTGTCCTGCCAATCTGAGCCTGATTGTGGAAGAGGCTGTGGGGCATTGTATGCAGGAACATCTGGCACTGCCAAAGAAACTGAGACATAATAGATAGTAGGTTCGCTTTTGGCCAGAGACCCTATCCCTAACTTTATTTAGAGACCACAACACTGAACCAAATTGGATACCTCTTGACTATAATGTAGCTCTTTTGATCCTATCTGCTAGAAAGAACTGCTCCCTCTGCTAGGCCGTCACAGCACTGGAATGAATCCTTTCCTCCATACTTGTGTATTCTGTTAAGTGGTCCAATAAGTTAAGCCCCTTGAGGGACTCATTAATTTGCATAGGGAAGGTGTTCAATTCATGTTAGGCAATTCTGCCTGGTATGAAGCTTGAAAGCATGAAAAGAAGTGCCAGGAGGGGCTGTGGAAGGAAGGGCAGGGGAACAGCTATGATTCAGAAGATAGCCAGTGTCCCCTTCAGAATATCTGGGCATGGGAATATATCATGCCAAACTGGCATGCCATTTCACTGAGGCCAGAGCCTTGTCTAGCAGAGAGCCTCTACCTTCAGCCAGAAGCCCTCCTGTTCATAGCAGGCACAGGCACTCACCTCCCTCACTTCTATCCCTACAGCTGGCCAGTCATCCCCCAAAGCTTCCCACCACCCGCCCTGTGGAAGTGAGCCTGCACGATGTTCCTCCTGTATCACTGGCACCCCACCTGCCAACAGCTATACGGGTCCAACACATATAGGTGCTTCGACCCTGCCTGATCAATGGGAAAACAGTGGACCAGAGCTAATCACAGGGCACGAAGCAGCACTTGTGGCAATGGACCCAGAGTGCTGGCCATCCTGGAGTCCTTCATGTCACTAGGAGCATCAATAAGCAGATTTCATCTCTTGGAGCTTGCTGCACTACAGGGACAAGCAGCTGGGAAGGCTAAAGCCCATGATTTTCCATCTCTGGGCTACAGAAGCTCCTGATTTCCCCAGAGGGGAAGAGATGTGGCAGCAGCCAAGATAAAAATGGAAAAGACAGGTGGCTGTAAAGGTTGTGACTTATAAAGCCTCATTCCACAGGGCTGTCTCTCTTAGGCTTGAGGCAGGGGGTGGGAAGCAACTATAGGAGGCAGCATCAGAAGAGGTGGATTCTGAAGGTGTTGGATGGAAGGGCAGGAAGATAGGTCAGGTCAGGCTGGTGCCAATCAAAAACACCTGGGTGATTACTTGCTCAGTTTCCAGAAGACTCAGGCAGGACCCCAGTCTCTCCTTCATGGGGATCCCACAGAAGGCAGAAGAGGATTGCCGGTTTGATTTTATCTCCTTTCCTATCCAAAGGTACCTCCCATTCCTCATATTTCTGTACATTTCTTCAGCTTTTCTTATTTATTTCCCAGATCCATCAACAGAGCCTAAGTGGTCAGCCACCACATATTGCCAATATCCAGTTAAAAGCCTGGCATCAGGTAGACTACTTATCCTCTCTGTCCCTCGGTTTTCTTGCTAGTAAACAGTACCTACTTCACAGGCGGGTTAGGATTAAACTAGAAAACGCATGTGAAACACCCAGCCATGTGCCTAGCATATACTAAGCACTCACTAAACATATGACATTGTCTTCACCATGCTGTGATTTTATGGGCTGCTGGACATCCCTTTTGTTGCCCATTTAGGTTACTTCCAGCTTCTCATTACCATGAAATACCGTTACCTTCCCCCAGTGTTTCTGGGTTACATTTTCTAAAGTGGACTTTTACCAAGTCAAAGGGAAATGACTACTTGTAAAGAAATTTCCATGTTACCAGATTAATTTCCCCCCAATTTTTTTTTTTTGAGACGGAGTCTTGCTCTGTTGCCCAGGCTGGAGTGCAGTGGTGCGATCTCAGCTCACTGCAAACTCTGCCTCCCGGGTTCACGCCATTCTCCTGCCTCAGCCTCCCAAGTAGCTGGGACTACAGGCGCCTGCCACCATGCCCAGCTAATTTTTTGTATTTTTAGTAGAGACGGGGTTTCACCGTGTTAGCCAGGATGGTCTCGATCTCCTGACCTCGTGATCCACCCGCCTCAGCCTCCCAAAGTGCTGGGATTACAGGCGTGAGCCACTGCACCCGGCTCCAATTTGTGATTATGCGATATTGAAGATCATCCTCTGCCCTTTCCCAGTGTGGAACTTCTGGCCATGGAGACAGGATAGAATGAGGAATTCTAATTCCACATACTGATTCTCTTTCCATGTTTTGTTTTCTCTCCTTAGCAGTTCACTTGTGACAAGGATGATGAGAACTGGTAAGTACCCAAGTCTTTTGGAAAGGCTACTCCATAACCCAAGAAGGACAACAACTCTGGCATGCCACTGCCCAGGGCCCATCCAACCTCATGACTTTGAGGCATGACTCTGGTGTCACATGACTAACCTGTGAGGCCCAGGCATTTGTAAACAGGGTATATCAAAAACAGACTGAACTGGGTGCGGTGGCTCATGCCTGTAATCCCAGCACTTTGGGAGGCCGAGGCGGGCGGATCACGAGGTCAAGAGATCAAGACCAGCCTGGCCAACATGGTGAAACAAAAAATTAGCTGGGCGTAGTGGCACGCACCTGTAGTCCCAGCTACTGAGGAGGCTGAGGCAGGAGAATTGCTTAAACCCGGGAGGCAGAGGTTGCAGTGAGCCAAGATTGCACCACTTCACGCCAGCCTGGGTGACACAGTGAGACTCTGTCTCAAAAAAAAAAAAAAGACTGGGCTGGTCATGGTGGCTCACGCCTGTAATCCCAGCACTTTGGGAGGCTGTGGTGGGCGGATCACAAGGTCAGGAGTTCGAAAACAGCCTGGTCAACATGGTAAAACCCCATCTCTACTAAAAATACAAAAATTTAGCTGGGCGTGGTGGCGTGCACCTGTAGTCCCAGCTACTCAGGAGGCTGAGGCAGAAGAATCGCTTGAACCCAGGAGGTGGCAGTGAGCCAAGATCAAGCCACTGCACTCCAGCCTGGGTGACAGAGCTAGACCTCATCTCAAAAAAAAAAAAAAAAACCAAAAACAAAAACAAAGAAAACCAGACTGGACTCAAACAGGTGTTAGCAAATTGCACTCAAATGCCAATTAAGATAGCCCTACATATTAGTAAGTTGTTTTTTTACATTTCCTCCCCAGGGTTAAAGAATCAACTCATTGCTGGTATTGTTAACCCAAGCCCCAGCATTCTAGGAAGAACAGTTTCCATTTTCTAACCAAGTTACAGTGTTTGACAAAAGAATGAAGTAAAACTATCTTGTTTTCCTACTGGACATGAAAGCCCCCTCCCCACAGCATGTTTCCCAAATCTTCAACACTCTTTCACCTTCCCCTCTGGAGCCTGGGAAAGCAGCCCTTCCCAGCCTCTTTCTGACCATCCCAACCCACTTCCATCTTCCCTCTTTTTAGGGGAACAGGCACAGCTTCAGTTCCCTACATTGTAGTGATCTCTGAACCAAAGAAGTCCACACCTACTTATAAGTTTTGAAACATCTCACAATAGCACATACTAATTAGCTCCAGAAAGACTGGCCCAGCTGGACATGAAACATTAGTTGTCATTTATAGTTACCTTAAGTCTCTGATTGAAAGCATCAAACATTAGTTTGATCCCGTCCTGAGTCAGGTTAAGAATGAGGTCATGGCTTAGAGGAGACTACAAAACAAAAATAAAATACATTCTGAGTAACTGATTTATTCACTAAGCACCTACTGAAAGCCTTACAATACAAATGCAACACACAAGGAATATCTAAGTGCAGACAGTCCCTCTCTCCTCCAGCTAATGGTGCTTGGAAACCAGAAAAAAACTGCTGCATGAACATATGGTGTTTTTTACTTCTAGCCTGCAGCTGCTGTTTCTTAATATCGGCTGAAAAGAGCCTCTCCCTTCTGGGCTTGAGTAAAAATACCTGGGGAAAAGGGACAAAGTTATATGAGTATACAGGTCATTCTCCTTTCAGGCTCCAGGGTCCACATCTGCAAAATGAAGTTCACTGCCATCGAACCTACAGAGCAGTTGGTGAGGAATACAGGTCATGTGAAAAGGCCTAGTCCAGGATCTAAACTCAGCAGATATTGCTTATGCCTATCAGCTGAACCTACATCCATTCACACTCAGGCTGTTTGTACCATCCACAGGGAACACATTTTTATTCTTTGATGGTTTAGATCAAATTCTAGGACAAAGAAATATATTGTGATCTGATTATGAGATGACCCTCTTATCCTTTTTCTCTCTCCCCCCAGCCTCCCATCCCATTTCATTTGTGCTTCTTCCTGAAAAGCCGAAGTCTAAGATCTAAAGAGTCATATTTCTGCATTTGCCCCTTCTGAATCCTGGGGGAGGGGAGTAGCAGAACAAAGCAGTGGACAGAACCCTGGTGACCTTAGGTAACTCTCAAAACTTCTCTGAGCTCTGGTTTCTTCATGGGAATACTTTCATCCCTTCCCTCCAGGGTTGTTATGAGGACAGAGATAGTAGGTCAGAAAGCATCTAGCCCAATACCTGGCACACAGCACTCTCCTCTTGTGTCTGCCCCATCTGCATGCTTCTGGTCCAATGCAATTAATTCAAGGATTCAATGTCTGAAGATTCTCCACAGCCCTGATTGAGGCTGCCCAATAGTAGAAGGAAAAACACCATCTAAAACCCCACCCTTCTTTAACACATGGCTGCTCAAAAGGTTTAGTTACTTTTTTTTTTTTTTTTTGGATGAAGTCTCTCTCTGTTGCCCAGGCTGGAGTGCGGTGGCACAATCTTGGCTCACTGCAACCTCCACCTCCTGGGTTCACACCATTCTCCTGCCTCAGCCTCCCGAGTAGCTGGGACTACAGGCGCCCGCCACCACGCCCGGCTGACTTTTTGTATTTTTAGTACAGATGGGGTTTCACCGTGTTAGCCAGGATGGTCTTGATCTCCTGACCTCGTGATCCATCTCCTGACCTCGTGATCCATCTGCCTCAGCCTCCCAAAGTGGTGGGATTACAGGCGTGAGCCACTGTGCTCGGCCAAAGGTTTAGTTTCTTTATAGAGCTTCTCAAGTTAGACAAAGTGAATGATGGAGATATGGCTATCAGAGACAGACATAGGCTGGAAGGCCATAAGCCACTGCTGGTGTTGGCCTCATTGGAGAAATTCTCTCCTAAGAGTCTTTTGGGATTAGGGCAGGTTGCTTCCTTCCAACCCATTGATCCCCACAAAGCAGCAGGCCCAGATAGTACCATCATGCTTGGCAAAAACTAAAGGAAGAATGTTGTATTTGCTAGTAGGTCTATATGAATGTCTAAACCATTAGGTCTCAAGCAAGATAATGGAACAATGAACTATGACCTTGGATTACCAGTATCAACCCAGAACACAAAGTTCCATTTTGGAGAGAGCCATTCCATGGAATAAGCAGAGTGAAGCAACATTTTAGTCTCTTTCAGGAATCTTGCTTGGAGGAGGCATGTGCCAGGATCTGGATTTTCCTATACTTTCCCAAGATCTGATCTTTTTTTTTTTTCCTGGCATTGTTATAATTCAGGATATAACCTAGCAATTTTCAAAAGCAATCAAATTACTCTCAGAGTCAATGTTTTATTAATACTTTATATCTCTAAAACCAAAATACACATGCACTATGTGGTATTTAAGCAGGTTCTTCCAGTAACCTAGCTGTCCTTCACATGAAGCAGTTCAGTAAAATCATCTGCTACTAGTTGTTAATATCTTTTCCCTCTAAGAAAGATGGGACGTACTTGACATTTCATTTCCAAGGTGTGATTTGCATAGAGACAAGAACATATTTCTGAAATGTTTAATGCAGACAAAATGTTTTCTGCATTTGGGAAACAAAGAGACAAATGGGTAAGGAAGGGAATAAAGTAGGCAGAAGAAGAGGACAGGACCCAAATTTAAGAAGCATCACATTGGCTGGGTGCGGTGGTTCATGCCAGCACTTTGGGAGGTCGTGGCAGGCGGAATGCTTAAAGCCAGGAGTTTGAGACCAGTCTGGGCAAATATAATGAGACCCTGTCTCTACAAAAAAATTTTTTTTGAGATGGAGTCTCACTCTGTTGCCTAGGAGCGCAGTGGCACGATCTTGGCTCACTGCAACCTCCGCCTCTCAGGTTCAAGTGATTCTCCTGCTCCAGCCTCCCCAGTAGCTGGGATTACAGGTATGCACCACCACACCTGGCTAATTTTTGTACTTTTAGTAAAGACGGGGTTTCACCATGTTGGCCAGGCTGGTCTCGAACTCCTGACCTGAAGTGATCTGCCCGTCTCGGCCTCCTAAACTGCTGGGATTAAAGGCATGAGCCACTGCACCTGGCCAAATTTTTTTTTTTTAATAGCCAGATGTGGTGGCATACACCTGTGGTCCCAGCTACCCAGGAGGCTGAGGTGGGAGGACGGCTGGAGCCCAGGAGTGGCAAAACTAAAGGAGGAAGGGTAGGGGAGGTTCCAGTGAGCCATGATCATGCCACTGCACTCCAGAATTGGTGACAGAGCAAGATGCTGCTTCAAAAAAAAAAAAAAAAGCATCAGATCAGAGTTCTGAGAGACCATCTCCTTTTGATCCTCATCCAAAGATTATCCTAGGCTGGGTGTGGTGGCTCATGCTTGTAATCCGAGCACTTTGGGAGGACAAGACGGGCGGATCACTTGAGGTCAGGAGTTTGAGATCAGCCTGGCCAACATGGTGAAACCCCATCTCTGCTAAAAATACAAAAATTAGCCAGGCATGGTGGCATGTGCCTGTAATCGCAGGTACTTGGGAGGCTGAGGCAGGAGAATCGGTTGAGCCTGGGAGGTGGAAGTTGCAGTGAGCCAAGATCGTGCCACTGTACCCCAGCCTGGGTGACGGAGCAAGACTCTGTCTCAGAAACAAATAAACAAACCCAAAGATTATTCTATTATCAAGAAACTATACTGTTTTACATAAAGATAACCAGATTACTTATTAATATGCCACAACTCTCATGAATTAGAAATGAGAAAAGCAGAGATCTAAATCAGGATTCAGACTCAAAAACCCATTTTTTTTTTTTTTTTTTTTGAGACAGGGTCTTGCTCTGTCACCTAGGCTGAAGTGCAGTGATACAATCATACCTCACTGCTCATGATCCTCCCACCTCAGCCTCCTGAATAGCCAGGATTACAGGTGTGTGCCACCACTCCAGGTTAATTTTTTATTTTATGTTGCCCTGGCTGGTCTCGAACTCTTGGACTCAAGCAATCTTCCTGCCTCGGCCCTCCCGAAGTGTTGGGGTTAGTGGTGTGAGCCACAGTGCCTGGTCAAACCCATATTTGCTAATGTGTTAAAGTTGCTCAGAAGATATTGGGGAAAATCAGCTTAATGCTAACACTGTTTATACCCAAATACTGGAATAACAGACAATGATGATGGTGATATAAGAAATACATTTTGGCCGGTCACGGTGGCTCACGCCTGTAATCCCAGCACTTTGGGAGGCTGAGGTGGGAGGATCACTTGAGTCCAGGAGTTTGAGACCAGCCTGAAAAACACAGTGAGACCCCATCTCTACAAAATATAAAAATAAATTAGCCAGGCCTGGTGGCATGAACCTGTGGTCCCAGCTACTCAGGAGACTGAGGTGGGAGGATCACTTGAGCCTAGGGGATTGAGGCTGCAGTGAGTTGTGATCATGTCACTACACTCTAGTCTGGATGACAAAGCAAGATACTGTCTCAAAAAAACTAAAATAAATTTTCTTAAAAGTTAAATAGGCCAAGCCTGGTGGCTCACGTCTGTAATCCCAGTACTTTGGGAGGCCGAGGCCGGTGGATCACCTGAGGTCAGGAGTTCGAGACCAGCCTGACCAACACGGAGAAACCCTGTCTCTACTAAAAATACAAAATTAGCTGGGAGTGGTGGTACATGCCTGTAACCCCAGCTACTCGGGAGGCTGAGGCAGGAGAATCGCTTGAACTCGGGAGGCGCAGGTTGAGGTGAGCCGAGATTGCACCATTGCACTCCAGTTTGCGCAACAACAGCAAAACTCTGTCTCAAAAAAAAAAAAAAAGTAAATAAATTAATTTAATTAACGAGAATCCACTTTGGCACTGATAATCCATGGTGGTTTAAGAAACCCCTGCCCACTCTTGGCCAGGCACGGTGGCTCACGCTTGTAATCCCAGCACTCTGGGAGGTCGAGGCGGGCAGATCACGAGGTCAGGAGATCGAGACCATCCTGGCTAATGGGGTGAAAACCTGTCTCTACTAAAAATACAAAAAAAAAAAAAAAAATTAGCTGGGTGTGGTGGTGGGCGCCTGTAGTCCCAGCTACTCGGGAGGCTGAGGCAGGAGAATGGCGGGTGAACCCAGGAGGCGGAGCCTGCAGTGAGCCGAGATTGTGCCACTGCACTCTAGCCTAGGCGACAGAGCGAGACTCCATCTCAAAAAAAAAAAAAGAAACCCCTGCCCACTCCTACAAGTCCCCTGTTCTGTCATAGGCACCACATGCCCACTCCTACAAGTCTCCTGTTCTGTCATAGGCACCACATGAATACTCAAGCACTTGCTTGGAGATTAAGCATGTCTTCTATCAGATCCCTCAAATGAGGGTCTCACTAGGCTGGTAGAGGGGTACAACATGGCAGAATGTAATCTCTGGGTATAGGTAACAGGCCCAATTCTGACTGTGCTCCAAGTCAAACTGAGAAGCCTCTCAGAAATTTTGCCTACCTACAATTTACAACATTCTTCATGTCAGAAATAAGCTGTCATTTGCTTTAGGATCTGAAACTAATTGGAACTGAAATAATCAAACTAGTACTCAAAGGGTCTCAGAAAAGTCACTGGGGACATCCTTTAGCCTCTGTAGGCTCAAAACTATTCCCTGAGGCTTGTGACACACAGGACACCACAAAGGCTGTTCAACATGGCAGCACATGGTCTGTGTCACAGAACTGCAGGTTTCAGAGAATTCAGTGGTGGGAAGATTGCTCTTTGAGAGAGATAAAGGGGTGAATTATATCTGTTTCCTTTCAAATCTGGTATGCCGTGCTAGCTAGAGATCTGCACTGCAAAAATCCTGAACACAAACTAACCAACAAAAGCAGAAAAGACAATTTTAAACACGGAAGTGGAAGGTAAGCACTCTAAAAGACCAGAGACAGCCTCTGAAGCGACCTACCACTGAAAAGTCCCTGTTTAAGGGCCTGTAGGCAAGTTGAGCACAGACAAAACAAAGGTTCAATTACTACCGCTCTTCCAAACCTAGCTGTACTAGATAATCAAGAGCAGAAGTTTCAGAATCAAAGAAAAGGTACTTGATAACTGGCTGGTGCTAGAGATTCTCCCATTCGAACACAGCTATCCTTGCCAGTCAGCCTATCCCAAAGCATCAGCTCTGGAAGTGACTCACTACCGAGGGATGCTATTTCAATAAACAAATCAGCCACCACTCACCTGTTCACTGTAGAGAACCTGGACGTTTTTGATGATGCGACAGTGCTTCTGAAGAATGGCTACTGCCTGAGCCAGAGGCATTCCTGAAATAAAGCAAGACACCTATGTGGTTATTTTGGCTATCCATCTATTGACATCTACCACTTCACTAGGCACTGGTCCCTGCAGTAAAGCCTGGGGATGTTTGGGGGCTACTAAGGTCTACAGATACATGAGTAAATAAGAGTTCAATAAGCAGTAAGAGCTACAATAATGTTAAGCAGCAAGCACTAAGAGAATACTTGGACGGTGCACAGGTGTCCAACTCTTTGAATGCAAGGACTCTTTTGCTTATCTGTGGTGGTGGATATCACAAAAATCATGCATGGGCCGGGCGTGGTGGCTTATGCCTGCAATCCCAGCACTTTCGGAGGCCAAGGTGGGAGGATCAC
Organism: Homo sapiens; assembly: GCF_000001405.40. NCBI lineage: Eukaryota > Metazoa > Chordata > Mammalia > Primates > Hominidae > Homo > Homo sapiens. The sequence continues at coordinate 67,119,763 of NC_000016.10, read as the reverse complement.
TTGAGGTCAGGCATTTGAAACCAGCCTAGCTAACATGGTAAAACTCTGACTCTACTAAAAAAAAAAAAAAAAAAAAATTAGCCAGGCGAGGTGGCTGCCCTTGTAGTCCCAGCTACCCGGGAGGCTGAGGCAGGAGAAATGCTTGAACCCAGGAGGCGGAGGTTGCAGTGAGCCAAGATCACGCCACTGCACTCGGCCTGGGCAACAGAGCAAAACTCTGTCTATAAAAAAAAAAAAAAAAGATGCGTATGATGCATGGACCCTTTTTACATTTTTATTTTTTTTAAGCTCATTAACTATCATTAGTGTTAGTCTATTTTATGTGTGGCTCAAGACAATTCTTCTTCCAATGTGGCCCAGGGAAGCCAAAAGGTTGGACATGCATGGAAGGGGATGGGAGGCAGTGAATATACAAAAAGTCTTCCTGGAAACAGGGACCTCCACACTGATCTGACACAGACAAGCGCTCAGAGAAAGCAAAGTAAGTATGAATCAAAGAACCAAGCAAGAAAAGCACTGACTGCATAATTCTGCAGACCCAGGTTTTGGTCCTCACTCTGCCATGGCTTAGATATGACCTGAGATAGGTCCTTTCTCTTCCTTTCTGGCACCTGTCTCTGCATCTCTGAAATGAAGGCCTATTAGAGTACATGACTTATAAGGAACAATTTTAAAAGTTTAAAATCAGGACTGGGTGTGGTGGCTCATGCCTGTAATCCCAACACTTTGGGAGGGCAGGGCAGGAGGATCGCCTGAGGCCAGGAATTTAAGACCAGCCTGGGAATATAGTAAGATCCTGTCTCTACAAAAAGTAAAAAAATTAGCTGGGCATGGTGGGATATGCCGGGACTACTCTAGGTCCTGGGGTGGCTAAGGTGAGAGGATTGCTTCGGCCCAGGAGGTTGATCCTGCAGTGAGCCATGATAAGTGCTACTGTGCTCCCGCCTGGGTGACAGACAAGACCCTATCTCAAAAAAAAAAAAAAAAAAAAAAAAAAGTTTAAGATCACTCATCCACCAGAATCAATGAATCAACTTATTTTACCAAGGATTTCACTGGATTTTTACTTAAAATCCCACAAATATCTAGTTCTTTTTATTTTTTATTTAATTTAAAAATAGCGACAAGGGGCCAGGCCCGGTGGCTCACACCTGTAATCCCAGCACTTTGGGAGGCCGAGATGGGCAGATCATCAGGTTAGAAGTTCAAGACCAACCTAGCCAACGTGGTGAAACCCTGTCTCCATTAAAAATGCAAAAATTAGCCAGGCATGGTGGCACACACCTGTAGTCCCAGCTACTCTGGAGGCTGAGGCAGGAGAACTGCTTGAACTCAGGAGGCAGAGGTTGTAGTGAACCGAGATAGCGCCACTGCACTCCAGCCTGGGAGACAGAGCAAGACTCTGTCTCAAAAAAAAAAAAAAAAAAAAAAAGCAACAGGGGCAGGGTACGGTGGCTCATGCCTATTAAAATACAAAAAAATTAGCTAGGCAGCCAGGTGCAGTGGCTCACGTCCGTAATCCCAGCACTTTGGGAGGCCGAGGAGGGCAGATCACGAGGTCAGGAGATCGAGACCATCCTGGCTAACATGGTGAAAGCCCATCTCTACTAAAAAAGAAAAAAAAAAAAAAAAAAAAAAAATTAGCCGGGCGTGGTGGCGGGCGCCTGTAGTCCCATAGTTACTTGGGAGGCTGAGACAGGAGAATGGCATGAACCTGGGAGGTGGAGCTTGCAGGGAGCCAAGATTGCGCCACTGCACTCCAGCCCGGGCTACAGAGCGAGACTCTATCTCAAAAAAAAAAAAAAAAATCAGCCAGGCATGATGGTGTGCCCCTGTCATCCCAGCTACTCAGGAGGCTGAGGTGAAAGGATGGCTTGAGCTTGGGAGGTGGAGGCTGCACTCTGGCCTGGGTGACAGAGCCAGGTGCTGTCTCAGGAGGAAAAAAAAAAAAAAAGCAACAGGGCGAGGCATTCCTGAATATCTCTTTTTTTTTTTTTGAGACGCAGTCTGAAGTCTCGCTCTGTTGTCCAGGCTGGAGTGCAATGGTGCGATTTCCGCTCACTGCAAGCTCCGCCTCCTGGGTTCACGCCATTCTCCTGCCTCAGACCACAGGCTCCCGCCACCACGCCTGGCTAATTTTTTGTATTTTTTAGTAGAGACAGGGTTTCACCATGTAAGCCAGGATGGTCTCGATCTCCTGACCTCGTGATCCACCGCCTCGGCCTCCCAAAGTGCTGGGATTACAGGCATGAGCCACTGTGCCCGGCCTGAATATCTAACTCTTAACACTTGGTTCTTTAACTCATGGCCCATTATAAGCAGATTTACATATGCCTCCAGTTTAAGTAATCCAAATTCCAATGACATCTCCAACAGTCTAAGGACTCACTGAGACCACCAAAAAGTTTGTTTCCAGGCTGGGCGCGGTGGCTCACACCTGTAATCCCAGCACTTTGGGAGGCCGAGGCAGGCGGATCACGAGGTCAGGAGTTTGAGACCAGCCTGGCCGGCTTGGTGAAACCCTGTCTCCACTAAAAATACAAAAAAAAAAAAAAAAAAAAAAATTAGCTGGGCATGGTGGTGTGTGCCTGTAGTCCCAGCTACTCAGGAAGCTGAGTCAGGAGAATTGCTTAAACCTGGCAGGCAGAAGTTGCAGTGAGCTGAGATCGTGCCACTGCGCTCCAACTTTGGCGACAGAGTGACACTCCGTCTCAAAAAAAAAAGTTTGTTTCCAGAGTCCATTATAATTTAAACAAGAAGAAACACACATAGAGACAGGTCCTGGGCAATCAAAAAACAAAGACTCATAGTTTAATGAATACAAAAACAATGTATCTGCTGTTCACCACTCTCTGGATCCCTTGTACCCTGCTCAGAGCTAACCACCCAGTGACTGGTTTTGTTTTGTTTTTTTGAGACACAATCTCACTGTGTCACCCAGGCTGGAGTGTAGTGGTGCAATCTTGGCTCACTGAAACCTCTGTCTCCCAGGCTCAAGAGATACTCCCACCTCAGTCTCCTGAGTAGCTGGGACTACAGGCATGTGCCACCACAACTGGCTAACTTTTAAATTTTTGGTAGAGACTAGGTCTCACTGTGTTGCCCAGACTGGTCTTGAACTCCTGGGCTCATGTAATCCTCCCACCTCCGCTTTCTAAAGTGCTAGAATTACAGGTGTGAGCCACCGCACGTGGCCAATACAGTGACTATTGAATAAATATTTACTGAGTGGGACTGATGGATTGTAGAGTGGGTGACAAGAGAAAGGAAGGAAAAGGGACCATGGCTTCATCCGATGGCAGTCAGTTCACATTTAAATCAGTTGGCCTCCAGGTCAAAGAGATGCGATATGCAAAAAAGAGCTGACAAATGAAGAATTAATTAGAAGGTAAAAAGCTCATGGCTCATCTACATTTAAACAATCTGATTCTACCCTCATCTGAGAGGCCATTCTTCAGTCTGAAGAAAGTTGAAGGCAATCATCACAAGGCTGACTTATAATCTTTAAAAAAGCACTTTTCAGCCTTCCATAGCATAAAACCTGGCCCACAGTAGGGACTCAATAAATGTTTGAGAATATGAACAAGCTGGATGCATCCCTCACCTTTGCCATTCCTAAATGGAGGAACATCTATGCTGTCATTCCCAGGAGGAATGGACAAACATCCACGTGCAGAAGACAGAGAAACTCAGTTAGTTAGATGTCAAGAAAGAGGAAGGCCGCATGGCTTCTCTGATCCACGTGGCACATGCCAGTTTCTTTTTCTTTTTTTCAAAGAGACGGGGTCTTGCTATGCCACCCAGGCTGGCCTCAAACTCCTGAGCTCAAGCTATCCTCCCGTCTCGGCCTCCCAAAATGCTGGGATTATAGACATGAGCCACCGCTCCCAGCCCATGCCAGTTTCTTGAGGGAGGATTCCATTTACCACATCAAAGGATGTCTCAGCATCTTAGGATCTTAGGATCCTGAGTCACCCAGGGAGAAACTCACCCAGAGGAGACGAAGCAGCCATGGTGACTGGTCATCACACAGCTACTGGTAAAGGAGGGCTACGAAAGATCTCTAAAGGGAACTAACTATATGAATGGCAAAGAAACAGGAGCACTATCCCAGCTCTAACAGAATGGTCAGCCTTCTAAACCGCACAAATCTTTGTCTCACAGATCTCAGCACTTGCCTGCTTATAACCTCTCAATGGCTTCCCATTGCAGGCAGATAAAACCCAAACACCATGTCATCACCAAAGGCCCTGAATATTCTGGATCTTACCCATCTATATCTTCTTTCCACTGTTCACCCTTTGTTACTTGCACACGTCAAGCTCCTTCTCACCTCAGGCTTCTGAATTAGCTCTTGTTGCTGCTGGAATCTGGAATGCTCTACCCAAAGCTGCCTCTTGTTCGCACTTTAGGTCTTGGTCACACCTCACTTCCCTCACTGCCTTATTCAATGAAGCCTCTCATACCATTTATTTATCTGTTAGTCTCCCTTATATCCTCACAGAGGTAGGACCTTGTCTGTCTTGTTCACCTCAATACCTCCCAGCACCCAATCACTGTGCCTGGCACAGCTGTAGGTGGTCATGCACATCTGTGAAACAAAGCAATTAGGTAGAACACTTAGGTCCTATACCACGAATCCTGTTGACCACCCTCCTTCTCTTGAACTCCTATTGTCTCTCCACCAATACTACTCTCCTCTAACTTTTCCAAGTCTCTCCAATAGGCTATGTTTCTTCTGCTCATCCCTGGTTCAACTAACCACCCAGTTTCTGACTCATATCTCCATCTGTTTTCTGTATACATCTAAAGGCAAATAAAAGCCAACAGATTAAAAGTGATCTTTTCATCTTCTCTGTATTCTAGGTCTCAATATCTATGTCCAACATCATACAGAGTTTCTCAAGTCAGAAACCTCTAGATTCCTCCTTCTTCCCCACCTCTCCAAATCCAGTTCTTCCTAAACGAAAGCCCACAATACACTTCACTAATACATATCCTTTTTTCCACAGATTTGCACAGATTCCAACACAAAGTATCCTTGATAGTATCCCAGGCAGCTATAACCAAACAGAATTGGGACTCTGGGAAATCCATTTTCTTCTTCTACCAGTACATCATGCTCTAATTATAATACCAAATTGCTTATAGTTCCCTGCACACATCATCTACCTTTTCTCCTGTGGTTTTTTTTTTTTTTCTTCTTTCATTCGACTGGAAGATTTCCAGCTCCTGTTGTTTGGCAGGAAGCCTTCTCTGAACCCCTAGGTCAGGTCAAGTCCCTTCTTCTTCCCCTCCACAGTACCCTATACATCTTCTACTTGATTATAATAAAAGGAACTATTTCTATAATCCCTCTCTATCACTAGACTAAGCTCTTCAGGGAATAAGATCATTTCTTTTTTTTTAAATTTTTATTTATTTATTTTTTATTTAAATAGAGACAGGGTCTCACTATGTTACCTAGGCTGGTCTCAAACTCTTGGCTCAAGTGATCCCCTCACCTCAGCCTCCCAAAGTACAAGCATGAGTCACTGTGCACTGTTTATTTTCAATGTTTGTGAGCAGAGTTCACAGAGGTAGATGATGCCTTCAACACAGTGAGCCTTCAGTCTCTGTGGAACAAGGTAATCTCGGAGAAGGTATTTTCTTCACTGACCCTTTAAATCTACCTTTTTTAGTCCCTTTCAAGACTAATTTCAAAAACAAATTCAGAGACTTGCCTCTGCATCAATACATTCTGCAACTCTCATTGAAAACATTTCAGGGCCCGGCACAAATGCTCATGCCTCCCAGCACTTTGGGAGCCGAGACGGGAGGATCACTTGAAGTCAGGAGTTCGAGACCAGCCTGGTCAACATCGTGAAACCCCATCTCTACTAAAAGTAAAAAATTACCTGGTGTGCGCAAGCCTATAATCGCAAGAGGCAGAAGTTGCAGTGAGCCAAGATCACGCCACTGCACTCCAGCCTGGGCGACAGAGTAAGACTCTGTCTCAAAAAAAAAAAAAAAAGAGGCTGGGTGCGGTGGCTCACGCCTGTAATCCCAGCACTTTGGGAGGCCGAGGTGGGCGGATCACGACGTCAGGAGATCAAGACCATCCTGGCTAACACGGTGAAACCCTGTCTCTGCTAAAAATACAAAAAATTAGCTGGGCGTGGTGGCGGGCGCCTGTAGTCCCAGCTACTTGGGAGGCTGAGGCAGAAGAATGGCATGAACCTGGGAGGTGGAGCTTGCAGTGAGCCAAAATCACGCTACTGCACTCTAGCCTGGGCAACAGAGTGAGACACCGTCTCAAAAAAAAAAAAAAAAGAAAAAGAAAAAAAGAAAACAAAACATTTCAAATCTGCACTGCCTTTACTCCACTGCTGGTCAAATCATCAGTGACATTCATATTCACAGAGATTCTGCTTGGCCTAGGTTTTCCTTTCCCTGTGTTGCTCGCATTTCCCTAATCATCCAACATTATACAACCAGGAAGGCAGCCAAGGAGCTGCCAGGATGCAGCTTCCCATTGTGATGCCAGGCAGATAATTGCATCTGCATTTGCACAGATTCCAATAAGAAACCTGGTGACAAAGTTGAGTCCACTTTCAGAAGGAAAGAGCAGTGGCATGCAGGATATGCCTGTTTGGCGACTTTTGTTTATCATCTCTCTCTCTGAGCCTGTCCCTCACCTGGCAAAAAGAGATAACAACACCTATCTTACAAGCCTGTGGTGGCAAGAGGTAAGTTCTTCCTGGTTCACTAGCCTAGGCATGTAATTCTAAAGCAGATTCCCTTCCGAGACCTATCCCTACCTAACAGCCCCAAATGTAGTTTGGACGTGTTCAGGGTGGGGGAGGAGATTGACAGAGGTGGAAAATGACTTTCCATTTTTAAAGTCTGATAAAGTTAAATTAACACCATCTCTCAGGCAGACACCATGTAAAAATGAATTTTAAGACCCAAGGGAATCATGAAGCCTCTGGGCCAGTCTATGAGCTTCCCCCTAAAATTCAATTCTTGACCCAATATACAGAAATGCCCTTCTCACTGTTTTTGGTTGCTATTTAGACAGTTTGTAAGAACTGTGTAAACCCTTGATTCCTGGGAAACTAGCAGAGCTAGGAGTCAGGGTTAGGGTATCAAAACAACAGCTGAGAGAAGCCTTGCTCTCTCACTCAGTTTTCTGGAAATCCTCATCTCAATTAATATCCTAGTAACTACTTTTTTTTTTTGTCTCCTTGAGACAGGGTCTCTCTCTGTCACCCAGGATCACGCCCAGTGGTGTGATCATGACCCACGGCAGCCTTGACCTCCCAGCCTCAAGTGATCCTTCCATCTCAGCCTCCCGAGTAGTTAAGACTACAGGCCTGGCTTTTTTTTTTTTTTTTTTTTTTGGTAGAAACGAGGTCTCACTATGTTGCCTAGGCTGGTCTTGAACTCCTGGCTTCAAGCTATCCTCCTGTCTCAGCTTCCCAAAGTGTTGGGATTACAGCCATGAGTTACTGCACCCAGTCCCTACCACTGCTTTTGACCAAGGGACTCTGAATACTTGTACCACCAAGAGATCCACAACCTAGTCACACTACTAAGCACAGTTTGAAGCTATGGTTGTGGTTTTTATCCAGCCGTGGGAGGATCTTGCTTGGGTAGAAGCTGTCAAGGAGAGGGGAGGAAAGGAGTTAACCAGAAGCCAAACAGCATTAGCATGGTATCACCAGCCTTCCAACCAAGCTCTTAGTGCTTCACGAGAGAATGGAGCATTTTGTACCAGCTAATATTTTGGAAAGAACTCTGCAGGAGTGGTGTTAAGTTATGAAAGAATTTGGCCAACTCCCCTAAATTAAACCGGCTTTTATGGTTGGGCATGGTGGCTCACACCTGTAATCCTAGCACTTTGGGAGGCCAAGGCGGATCACTTGAAGTCAGGAGTTCGAGACCAGCCTAGCCAACATGGCGAAACCCAATCTCTACTAAAAATACAAAAATTAGCCGGGTGTGGTGGCAGACGCCTGTAATCCCAGCTACTAGTAGGGAGGCTGAGGCAAGAGAATTGCTTGAACCCGGGAGGCAGAGGTTGCAGTGAGCCGATATTGTGCCACTGCACTCCAACCTGGGCAACAGAGTGACTCTGTCTTAAAACAAAACACCAACAACAAAAACTAGCTCTTACAACACACAGGACATATGTAGCCACTAAGCATCAGCAGGGCCTTACCAGCAATCTGTACCACCTGGTTTCTCCAACACACTGTCTCCACAGACATAAGTCTTCCAGAGTCAAGGATAATTTATAATCCAATGGAGCAGCTGATTTAGTCCAGTAGCTCACACTAGAGTGACTAAAGTTCAGGCCTGCACAAACAAACAGCACCAACACCTACCCCACCCCCTTTTCTTAGTGCTGGGACATCAAAGTAAACACACAGGGGTTACTGAATGCAAACATCCTTGTACACATAAAAGTAGTGATGCTGGAAATGGAGAGGGTGAAGGGAGAAGGCTGGGCCAGCAAACCCCAAAACGACCAAACTGCATTTTTTAGAAACTAAATGTTACTTCTCCCTAACTCCTATTTCATCCAACCTTCACCTGTCACAACTGAGGTCTGGGTTTAGGATTACAGCATCCGATACAGACTATATTTCAAAAGAGAGAGAAGCGGGGCCGGGTGCAGTGGCTCACGCCTGTAATCCCAGCACTTTGGGAGGCCGAGGTGGGCGGATCACGAGGTCAGGAATTCGAAACCAGCCAGCCTGGTCAACATGGTGAAACCTCGTCTCTACTAAAAATACAAAAATTAGCCGGGTGTGGTGGCGCGTGCCTGTAATCCTAGCTACTGGGGAGGCTGAGGCAGGAGAATCGCTTAAACCCACGAGGCGTTAAGTTGCAGTGAGCCAAGATCACGCAACAGCACTCCAGCCTGGGCGACAGAGCGAGACTTCGTCTCAAAAAAAAAGAAAAAAAAGAGAGAAGCAAGTCAGCTGTTCCTTTAATACACACAAACTCAACTCCCTTGACCAGAGCCCCAACATCTGATCATGGGTTCCAAGCCTAGGTTTCCCCTCCTAAAAAGGGGAAGGAAGCCACAGCCCAGAAAAGCAGTGGGAGACAGACCACAGGCCACAGTGATGATCAGAGGGGTCAGCCACTTCTCAGCCATTATTTAGTCTGTAAAATGGAAATGGGAATAACAACAGTACCTATCCTCAGGTGCCGGCGAGGGGTACTAGAGAGAATTACGTCCAAAAAGAGCAGGGCCGGGCATTAGGCATTTGGGGAGAGCAAGCTATTATTGTCTTTACTACTACTGTTCCACCGTCCCAGAAGAGACCCTGCTGAGACCCGAGACGAGCAACTGACAGGCAAATCGGGCCAGTTGGAGCGGGTATCTAGTGCCTGGAGCCCAGCGAGCCGAGAGGACGAAAGAGGTGAGGAGCTGCGGGCGCAGGGGCGTGAGAGACTGAGAACAGGTGGGAAGAGCCCAGGAGAAAGCAAGGATCAGCGAATGGGGTCCTGACAGAGGACCCCAAACTCACCCAGCGTGAATTCCCATTGCTCGTTCCCCAGAGAGCGTTCGGGCACTACCTCCAGGTCCAGCATTGGTTCGGCTCGCCTGGCCCGGGCGGCCTCCCTGCGGCAGCGCAGAAGGGACCCGAGCTAAGGAGACAAAGCAGCGGCTGACAGGCCGCCCCCGCCGGCCCGCCACAGCCCCGCTTTCCACCTCCTCCCCGGCGGCAGCGGCAGCAGCACCGGCCCAACACCACACCTCACCTCACTTCACCTCACCTGCAGCAGCCGCGGCAGCGGGGGCAACGACGGCGGCGGGCGCGACTGCAGTAAAAGTGGCGTGCCGGGCCGTAAAGCGCGGGGAGGGCCGGGCGAAGGCGGGAGTGCCAGCGCGAGGGAGGAGCCTGGGGCGGAGCCGCGCACGCGCAAACTGCGGGTCCCGCCGCCGTCTCTGCGGAGGCTGAGTCGGGCAGGGCTGTAACGTTGGGAACTGTTCGGGCTCTAGGAGCAAGGAGCCCAGTACTTCGTGAGCCCCTACATCTGTGCACCACAGCACACACACTTCACATATCTACATAAAGAAGGGTTCACCACACAACACACACGTCACACAGCTGCACAAGACCCGTCTGCTGTCTACACACACGTCCCACTCACGTTCACTGGTAGCAGAAGGCAAGTACAGAGGGCACGCTGAGGCCCAGCAGGAGGGAGGACGCGGAGTCCCTAAGCCTCACGGCCCCCACCGTCTCCGTTGGGGCCGGAGGTGACGCTGGCCGCAGCAGCTTTTAGTTGTTCAGGAATGACGGCCCCACCCAGTCGCCCCTGGGGCAAGGGTCGAACCGTAAGCGAGTGAGGACTGTGGGCGTTAGGGGTCGGAATTGGTTCGGGGAGAGGACTGGGTAGAAGAGGAAGGGGCCAGGCCAGGCCTCCCTGCTGACCACATCCAAATGTGCGCAGTCCCCCGGGACCAGGATCCGAAGCCGCCGGCAGCAGCGTGGACCAAAGCTGTGGGGGTCTTGATCAACCCCTTGGCGCTTTCTGTGCCACAGTTTTCCTAATCTGCAAGGGACAGGAAGGTTCCTCTAGCAGGTTCAGCCTGAGGTTTTGGCCCGTGCCCCGGGACACCCTGAAACTAAAGGACAGCCGAGGCCTATGCTGATGCCAAGCCTTCACGGAGGCAGTCTCTGGGTTCTCACAACCAACCTGAGATGCGAGATTATACCGACTTTACATAGGCGAATACATGAGGCCCAGAGATGTTAAAGACCCAAGGCTCCTTGGTTCTAGGCGCAGAACCCAAGTCCTTTCCATTACATTGCCCCTGGAAGAAGGTTTTCAGTAGGGGAGAGAGTGGCATACTAAATTCTCAAACTGGCTTGATACTAGCGTTTCTTTGGAGGCTCTATCAAAATTTGAAGTCGCTGTTTGATTAAAATGAACTACATGGAGAAGGTTGTCCACTGCAGCATTGTATGCCAAAACAACAGAACTGGGTCACTGAGATGTCCAGTAGGGAAGTGGCTAAATAAACCGTGATATAGATAGATAGATAGATAGATGATAGATAGATAGATAGATAGATAGATAGATAGATAGATAGATAGAGATATGTTTTTAAAGGTGAATGCTGAGAGCAGTGCTCACAGCGGTAATACCAGCACTTTGGGAGGATGAGGTGGGAGGATCGGTTGAGCCCGGGAGTTGAGACCAGCCTGGGCAACATAGCAAGACCCAGTCTCTATTAAAAAAAAAAATTAGCTGGTGTCATGGCAGTAGGTTGGGCCAGGAGTCCTAGCTACTCAAGAGGCTGAGAGGTGGGAGGATAGCTTGAGGATAGCTGCAGTGAGCTGTGATTATTGAGCCCCGGGGCTCCAGCCTGGATGACAGAGCAAGATCCTGTCTCTAAATAAATAAATAAATAATAAAAAGTGAAGTAGGTCTCTATGTTGATGTGGAAGGAACTCCAAGAGAAAAAAGCCAGGTGCAGAAGTATGCATACCATGACCACCCACCACCCCCCTCCCCCGGCCTTTTTTTCTGTAAAAACAAAAATAAAAGAAACAGTGGCTGTACCAAAAAGAAAGAACATTTCTGGAAAAATAAAACATTGTCAATCATACCTAATAGAGTGGCAGAGGACAGGAATCAGGGGGTCATTATTCCTTATCATGACAAGCATTAAAGATATGTTTAGAAAAGCCTAGTTGGGCAGCTGGGCTAGATAGCTTGGGAAGGAAATCTGGGGAAAAATCTTAAGATTGGTGAGGAGCAATCTTAGTCAATTAAAAGTGTCTGGCTGGGCGCGGTGGCTCACGCCTGTAATCCCAGCACTTTGGGAGGCCGAGGCAGACAGATCACCTGAGGTCAGGAGTTTGAAACCACCCTGGCCAACATGGTGAAAACCCGTCTCTACTAAAAATAGAAAAAATAGCTAGGTGTGGTGGTGCATGCCTGCAGTCCCAGCTACTTGGGAGGCTGAGGCACGAGAATCACTTGAATCCAGGAGGTAGAGGTTGCAGTGAGCCAATTATCACCCCACTGCATGCCAGCCTGGGCAACAGAGCAAGACTCTCTCAAAACTTGGAGGGGACTTATTTCTGGAGGAGAAAGATGGGTGGGGCCTAAATTGGGGTGGGATAAGCCCAGTGGGGTTGTGGGATAAGCCCAGTGGGGTTGTACCAGAGGCAAGACAAAGAAGAAACCACATCATTCTGGATAACAAAGTGAAAAGGATTTCTAATTTGGGTAACCCCCAAACAGAAAGAACAAAGTTGTCGGGGAGCGCCCTAAGAAATTCCCTGTTGGAATAGTAGGCAGATTTCTGTGAACAATGTTAGTCAACAACAAAAGTTTATCTGGCCAGGTGTGGTAACTCATGCCTATAATCTCAGCACTTTGGGAGGCTGAAGTGGGAGGATTGCTTGAGGCCAGGAGCTTGAGACCAGCCTGGGCAATATAGCAAGACCCCGTACACACACACACACACACACACACACACACACACACACACACACACGCCAGATGTGGTGGCACATGCAGGTAGTCCCAGCTACCCAGGAGGCTCAGGTGGGAAGACCACTTAAGCCTGGGAGTTTTGTTGTTGTTGTTGTTGTTGCTTTTTGTTTTTGTTTTTGAGACGGAGTCTCGCACTCTCGCCCAGGCTGGGGTGCAGTGGCGCCGTGGCGCCATCTTGGCTCACTGCAAGCTCCGCCTCTCGGATTCACGCCATTCTCCTGCCTCAGCCTCTCGAGTAGCTGGGACTACAGGGGCCCGCCACCACGCCCGGCTAATTTTTTGTATTTTTAGTAGAGACGGGGCTTCACAGTGTTAGCCAGGATGGTCTTGATCTCCTGACCTTGTGATCTGCCCGCCTCGGCCTCCCAAAGTGTTGGGATTACAGGCGTGAGCCACCGCGCCCGGCCGAGCTTGGGAGTTTGAGGCTGCAGTGAGCTATGTACTGCACTCCAGTACAGCCTAGGCAACAAAAGAATGAGACTGTATCTCTAAAAAAATAAACAGAAGTTTATCTTTGCTCATTTAATGTTGATTCACCCAGGTTTTTATCCAAGGTGGGAATAACAGCTTTGGGATGGTGATATTAGGAGGCCTTGGCCCAGAGCCCAATACACACACACACAATAGAAGCAGAAGGTGCCTGGCAGGAGCAGGCCAACTCAGGAGAATGTCAGCTACAGCCATTCCCCCAAACTGAGGGTAGGGATGTTCAGAAATATGGAATTGGCTAATGAAAAGCATATTCAGGGAGGGCAAGTAGTCATGGTAGCAGTCAAAGCCAGACATGCAGGGACAGCTTCAGGTCAGAACATGGTGATTAAGCTCAGGGACTCAAAATTTGAATCCCAGTTCTGCCACTTAATAGCTTTGTGCCTTGACAAGTTAATTAGCCTCTCCATGCCTTAGTTTCTTCTGTAAAATCTGTAACAATCTCACAGATTTGTTAGGAGGTCTGTACTTGTGTGTCTGGCTTACAGGTAATTGCTTTGTGTATAACTAAAATTTTAAAACATCTAATAGTAACAGAATTGATGGAATCCACTGGCAGGATTTACAGATTGCATGTGGGAGATGAGAGAGACTGGGAGTCAAGAATAACGACATAGTTTTCCCAGCTTGGGTAGCTGGAAGGACGGTGATTGGAGGAACTGACATTGGCGTTTGGAAGGATGTCAATCCTTCTGGTAAAACTGTCACGTGATAACTTGGAAGGGAAGAAATGTAACAAGCTTGAAACATTACTTGAAGAACTTGGAAAACAATCTTAGTACCATGGTTATTTATTAATTGCATTTGCCAAGTTATTTTTTTTTCTTTTTTTTTTTTGAGACGGAGTCTCACTCTGTTGCCCAGGCTGGAGTGCAGTGGTGAGATCTCGGCTCACTGCAACCTCCGCCTCCCAGGTTCAAGCGATTCTCCTGCTTCAGCCTCCCCAGTAGCTAGGATTACAGGCACGTGCCACCATGCCCAGCTAATTTTTGTATTTTTAGTAGAGACGAGGTTTCACCATGTTGGCCAGGCTGGTCTTGAACTCCTGTCTTTAGGTGATCCACCTGCCTCAGCCTCCTAAAGTGCTGGGATTACAGGTGTGAGCCACCGCGCCCAGTTAGATTTTTTTTTTTAAAGCCAGTTTGAAAGCAGGAATGACAGGTAATGTGTACAGCAAATGAGGGATGGGGCTAAAAGTCATGGAAAATGGTGGAGCAGGGAACCCATCCTAATAGGCCTTACAAAGAACACTCCCCTCTGTTAGGGCAGAGGGCCCTCAAATGGTTTCCAGTGTCATTTCATAATTGTTACTGACCGGTGACTTCATTCTTCCCCTTTCTGAAGGCAAGTGCTTCCTGCAATTTTTCTGTCCCTGTCCCACCACTGTGTACTGGGTGCGTAGATCCTGGTCTCCACACACAATTTTAGCTCAATTGCCTGACTAGCAGGCACTTTTAGGTTTTCTTCCATGATGTGTATTTTCTTGAAGGAAGGAAAGTAAAATAATTGAAACAGTGGCCTGTTGTAGTCATCAGAGCAATTCACAAATATTCTGACTCCTGGGCAAAAAGGGTTGCATTTCCCTGCGCAACTGAAGTTGGGTGTGGCTGTGAATTGCTTGGTCCATTGAAAACAGAAGTCACGTGTATCAATTTCAGGTGAGTTTTCAAAGCCAATGCCTGTTTCATTACCTGTTTTCTTTCTTGGTTCTGTCACAATGGCTGGCAGTCCTCCAGTTCTGCTTTGTTAGCCTAGGTCAACCCCTGATGAGTATTTAGCATATAAGACATAAATCTTTAAGCCAATAAATTTTTTTGGTGTTTTAAAGCAACACACCAGCCCAGGCGTGGTGGCTCACGCCTGTAATCCCTACACTTTGGGAGGCCGATGCGGGTGGATCACCTGAGGTTAGGAGTTCAAGACCAGCCTGGTCAACATGATGAAACCCCATCTCTACTAAAAATACAAAAAATTAGCGGGCACCTGTCATCCCAGCTACTCGGGAGGCTGAGACACGACAGTTGCTTGAACCCAGGAGGCGGACGTTGCAGTGAGGAGAGATTGAACCACTGCACTCCAGTCTGGGCAACAGAATGAGACTCCATCTCAAAAAACAAACAAACAAAACAAAGCAACATAACCAGCCTATCCTGACTGATAAGAGAAATTGGGAAAACTGTCAATTATGCCTCCTGTACTGTTTATAGCTTTGAAATGTCTCCATGCCAACAAAGCTACCCTTAATCTTCCTGTGTTACTATATCGTATGATCAGTGGGACCAAGTTTCTGACTCCAGTCTTATTCTCCCCAAACAAAATTGAGTTTTCTCAAGCACCGATTCCATCAAGGTCATAAGCCCTCAATGGCTTCCTGTTCACCCTTGGGAATGGTCCAAATGTTTTATTTAACACGGTTGGAAAGGCCAGTCCAGCACTGCTTGTGACTCTTACCCTGCCCTCTGCTGGGTGGAATCTGCCCTTCTGGATTCATCTCACTGCTGCAGCCCCCTCTTTTCTGTTCCAGTCATACTCAGCTGCTCTTAGCTTCTCAAACTTGCCAAGCTATTGGCTAGCTACCTGCAATACCTTCTCTAGCTAGCTTAAGGTCTGCCATCCTTCAGATCTTAGCTCAAACATCTCTTTTTTTATTTTTGAGACGGAGTTTCACTCTTTCGCCCAGGCTGGAGTGCAGTGGTGCAATCTCGGCTCGCTGCAAGCTCCGCCTGCTGGGTGCATGCCATTCTCTTGCCTCAGCCTCCCAAGTAGCTGGGACTACAGGCGCCCGCCACCACGCCCAGCTAATTTTTTGTATTTTTTAGTAGAGACGGGGTTTCACCATGTTAGCCAGGATGGTCTTGATCTCCTGACCTTGTGATCCACCCGCCTCGGCCTCCCAAAGTGCTGGGATTACAGGCGTGAGCCACCGCACCCACCCTCAAAACATCTCTTTAGGGAAGCTTTTATTCACCACCCAGACTAGAATAGATGTACTATAAGAGCCAGTACTTCTAATGTAACTTAAACAGTGTTACTGCCTTTGGTCAGCTTTTTAGCTAGACTGTAGATTCCTTGTGAGCAGGGAACATGTTTATTTTGGACACTGGATATTTCCCCCCCTAAATGATAACCATACTTTTAGTCTCCAAAAAAAAAATAGAACTTCAACATTTTCCATTTTTATTTTTATAGGTAATATCTTGCTCTGGTGGCCCAGGATGGAGTGCGGTGGCAAGATCATAGCTCACTGCAACCTCAAAATCCTCGGCTCATGCGATCTTCCCACTCCAGCCTCCCAAGTAGCTGGGACTTAGAGGTGTGCACCACCATGCCTGGCTAATTAAGAAAAATATTTTTGTGCAGATGAAGGTCTTGCTATCTTGCCCAGGCTGGTCTTGAGCTCCTGGCCTCAAGCAATCCTCCTGCCTCAGCCCCCCAAAGTGCTGGGATTACAGATATGAGCTACTGTGCCTGGCCTTTTATTTTTATCTACAACATCTCCTCAACATTTCTGAAATCTGAATGAGGCCAATAACGACCTTAATTCTAAGTTGCTTAAATTTTCTAACCAAAAGCTGGGAGTTGACTAAAACAGTGACTTATCTGTTTCAGAATATTCCATATTTAAACAAACTAAACTGCCATTTCCATCCATGATTTCACCCTGTGACTGTCATTTTTTAGCTTTGGAACATTTCTGAAATGCCATATATGAATATATGATGGTGATGCAAGAAAAGGGGTTGATGCTATCTAGGGGGAATCATGTATTCAAATCTGCAAGACTGAAATCTTACCTTTAAAGAATGTTTAGATTAAAACACCAAAGGTATCTTTTTTTTTTGAGATGGAGTCTCGCCCTGTTGCCCAGGCTGGAGTGCAGTGGTGCGATCTTGGCTCACTGCAAGCTCCACCTCCTGGGTTCGCACCATTCTCCTGCCTCAGCCTCCCGAGTAGCTGGGACTACAGGCGCCCGCCACCACACCCGTCTAATTTTTTGTATTTTTAGTAGAGACGGGGTTTCACCGTTAACCAGGATGGTCTCGATCTCCTGACCTCATGATCTGCCTGCCTCGGCCTCCCAAAGTGCTGGGATTACAGGTGTGAGCCACCGCGCCCGGCAAAACACCAAAGGTATCTTATACTCAGTTACGTATATTTGGTAATATCACCATGGTGGTTTAGAAAGATGTCCACAAATGCTTTGACATCCCCGCCTTCAACAGATGAAGCTTAATATTCCTCCCCCTTTGAGTGTGGACCAGACCCAGTGACTTGATTCTAACATACAATATGGCAGCCCAAGATTCAGTTCTAAGACTGTGCTTTTGGCTGGGCATGGTGGCTCACACCTGTAATCTCAGCACTTTGGGATGCCGAGGCGGACGAATCACTTGAGGTCAGGAATTTGAGACCAGCCTGGCCAACATGGTGAAACCCCGTCTCTATGAAAAATACAAAAATTAGCCGGGCATGTTGATGGGCACCTGTAATCCCAGCTACGTGGGAGGCTGAGGCAGGAGAATCGCTTGAACCCGGGAGGGGGAGGTTGCAGTGAGCTGAGATTGCAGCACTGCAGTCCAGTCAGTCTAGGCAACAGAGCGAGACTCCATCTCAAAAAAAAAAAAAAAAAAAAAAAAAAAAAGACTGTGCTTTCAACTTGGGTGTGCGCTCTCTTGGATCACTTGCCTTGGGGGAAGCCAGCTACCCTGCTGTGCACTGTCCTATGGAAAGACCCAGCTGGGCATGAAATGGAAGCAGGTCTCTGTCCAACATCTAGCAAGGAACATCTGCCTTTCATCTAGCAAGCTGCAAAGAACCGAGGCCAGTCAGTGACCACATTAGTGGGTTTGAAAGGGGATCTTTCATCCAGTCAATCCTTGAGATGACTGTAGCCCAGGATGACTCTAACCTTATGAGGAACTCTGAACCAGAACCATTGATCTTAGCTACTTCCAGATTTGTGACTCACCTGTGGGATAATACGTATTTATTGTTTTAAGCTGCTAAGTTTTGGGGTAATGTGTTATGGATAATACAATGGTTTATAGATTGAAAAGCTCCTCATTGCCAAATGAGGCATAAATCAAGTAAGATATTTTTCACCAAGCAGCCCCGAGCTAGCATATCCAATTATGTTTCTAGAAGTGATATACTTACTAAAACCATGCTGTTACTGCTCAATTTTTTGAAATTAACTCTCAGAGCATGAATCCTACTCTTTGGAATTTCCCTTAATGGTGTCAATTCAGAATTTAAAGGCATTTTTGTCATTTGCAGTAAGTCTTGTGGTTAATGAGTGAATCTGTTTATCATGTGTCAAGCTTAAGGCATACTTTCAAGGAAAAGGGCTTACTTTTCTGTTGTAGGAAAATGCCAGGAGTCTTAAGAATGTTTGATATAACACCAGCACAATCAAAACGGCTGTATATTTCCAAAACAACTAGCTTGAAAGATGGAACTAATTTGGATGTGTAATTTAAAATTCTTTCTCCCAACATCACTACTTTATGGTCATATCTCACAGGATGGGTAAATCAAGCCAGATTTCTTGAAAACCATAATATACACTGGGGGATTTGTATACCTTGTGATACCTATATTTAAAGTAGTCTTCTTTGGAATCAACAGAAATTACCACTAGATGCCACTGTTGTTGCTTTCTTAGAAATTACTGGGTTAGGTCAAGAAAGAGCCAAGACCCTGTTTTTACTACACAGAAGTTTATTGTGAAAGTAAATTAAACAAACAAACACACAGTATGGCCAATGGTGGCAAAAGCAATCTGGTAGCTTAAGGCAAGTTTTAATGGAGATGAATTTAGAAAAGATGATGCAATGATGTAATTTTGTTTAAATATAGATTATGAAAAAATATCAAATTGCATCAATAACTTAATAGAAGTAGTTTTCAAAGCCTGTACTACTGGAGAAAAAGGGCTCATGATCTTAATGCCAGCATTAAGACAGACAGAAGCAGCATGGTGCTAAATGACAGAAAAATCCAGTATTTACATTAGGATGGTAACAGGAACATTTAAGAGCATTTGATCTTATTTACTGGTGGACCGAAAGCCCTTAGCTAGACAATAGAGGAAAATGTACCATCATCATGTTATTTAAAAAAATTTAAGTGCAGAAGTAAAAAACCAAGGAGCTCTGTAATAAAGTAACATAAAACACCACTGTAAGGATCACTTAAAAAGCGATTCCCTCAGGGGAAATTAGGGCACTGAGTGTGTAAACATGTGAGCTGTACAACACCAAAACCAACCAAATTCATTCATAGTACTTATAGTTATGCAAGATCAGCATGGCCTTTAATGACGCATTATTGTTTGTAACAATTTAAACACACTCCTTTCCATGCATAACTTCAAATATATAACAAATACTTTTATTTGATACAGGATATCTGTTTATGAAATAAGACCTATATACAATGAAAGTAACACCTCCCTCATCAGTCAAGTACAGTTATATGCTTTTTAAATGCAATGACCTTATTCAGACTTCAGTCCATTTTCTGAATTGACTGTGTCAGTTTTTCACCCTTTAAAATAATGCCATTTAATGATAAAATACATTTTTCAAAAATTCAGAAATGTAGTAACATTTAATAAATGTGACCATGAAAAATATTTGTAAGGAGGTGCCAAATGACTTAGCACTGTTTTCCACTCTGTATCTAAAAAAAAAGTTGCAATTTGACAGTAAGCCTATTTAAAAAATATTCTTACATTAATTCATCTCAAAAGGTTCTATTAATAGTCCTTTTGCAAAATACCATATATATAACTGTGAACGTTTTTTCCAGAATTAATGGAAGAAAATGCATCCTCTGCACAGATGAACATTTTCTCTCTAAAACTAATCTTTCATCACCCAGCATGTTTTTACAAAAGCATGCAATATAAAATACACATAAAAGCAGCTATCTTAAACATGATTTTAATACAATATTACCTTTGTAGCTGATTCATCACTGTCTCCAGTTTAATATGCTGTTACATACATGAAGAAGCTCCAGTATCCCTTTTCTGATTGACTTTTTAAAAAAATCCCTGAATAAAACAGAAGCCAGCCTGTGACTTCTTTAGGCATTTCAGTAGAAGATCATCTATGGAGAATATCTCCAACCAAACTCATGATTACAGAACAGAAGCTAAAACAATCTAGGGCAGAGTACAGAGTTAATACCAATTTAAAACTTTTATGTTTAAAAAGAAAGAGCCTGTAATCCCAGTACTCTGGGAGGCTAAGGCAGGAGGATCGCTTGATGCCAGGAGTTCGAGACCAGCCTGGGCAACACTGCGAGACCCTGTCTCTATTAAAAAAAAAAAAAAGAAAGAGTGCTGATTACTAGCATTTAAAAGGATACTGCAACTTTAATAACTGTAAACTTTGTCAGAAGGCTGTGGCAGACAGCTCTATGCTACTAAGTTTTTAGCCTGTAAATAATGCAAACAACATCAGCAGTTTTAAAATGCTATAGACTATAAAAACACAAAAGGAAATGGGGCAAACAAAACAAAAAATAAGAATGCTCATCTAAAATGAAGCTGTATAACCAAAACATCTAGAAGTACAAAAAAAAAAATAGAAAAAATGATTAGAGAAAACCCTCTGATACAATTTTAATTTCTTGACTTGTTTTTAAATGACATGAACTTTTAAATTAAAGTGGAAGAAAAGGAGCTTTACAGTTGATAGTTTCAACTCCCTAAAATAATGCCAACAAGGTAAGCTTGCATAGAAAAAAAACTTCAAATTATTACTGGCTACATGCTTAAAAAATTAGAAATGCAGGTATTATAATCATAGTGCAAAACCATGGCAGTTTGTGATGTCTATTACTGCCTAAGGTTGAGAAATAGACCGTAGTACCTCCAGTTATCACAGTTTCTGGTCTTTTAATCAATTATTTCTGCCAACTAGAAGCAATGTGTATGTAAAGATGGGCAGCACACATCTGCTGTGCTATTAATTAACGAAGTTTGAGGTCATCACCACCACCTAAATTGGAACCAGGACTAGGGTCTTGTTGTCTTCTTGCCTGCAATGACAAAATCATAATTTGGGGTCAAAAAGTGTTTTGACAATCAAAATACTAGATATACAAAATACAAGACAGTAGCACACAGAAAAACTTCATAACTAAAAAGTTTTCAGCCAATATAGTCACATGTAACAGGCAAAAAAAAACCAATTAAAATTATGTCTGACATATTTTACTAAAGTTTCCTTAAAAATCAAGAATAAAAATCATTTTTATTCAAAAGAAAATCACCATAAATATGTACTACATAAGAAATAACAACAAATCTAGCACTGGGCGCAGTGGCTCATGCCTGTAATCCCAGAACTTTGGGAGGCTGAGACGGGCAGATCATTTGAGGTCAGGAGTTCGAGACCAGCCTGGCCAAAATGGTGAAACCCTGTCTCTATGAAAAATACAAAAAAATTAGCCAGGCATGGTGGCAACACCTGTAATCCCAGCAACTTGGGAGGCTGAGGCATGAGAATCCCTTGAACCTGGGAGGTGGAGGTTGCCGTGAGCTGAGATCGCACCACTGCACCCCAGCCTGGACGACATAAGTGAGATTCCATCTCAAAAAACAAACAAACAAACAAACAAACAAACAAACAAAAAACCCCACAACAAATCTATATTTACAGTTTTGGAAAAAGAGGATTTAACTTTAACACATTAGCCAAGTGCCTTAGAAGCAAACTCTTCCTTTTAGTAATAGCTGACATTTATTGAGTATCAGCTGTCTGCGGGCACTGTTGTAAGTACTTTCCATGAATTAAATAATTTTTTAGAGAGATGGGGTCTTGCTATGTTGCCCGGGCTGGACTGCAGCGGCTATTCACAGGTACGAACATAGCACATTACAGCCTCAAATTCCTGGACTAAACCAATCCTCCTGCCTCACTCGGCCTCCCAAGTAACTAGAACTATGGGCACATGCCATAGGACCTGGCTAGAACTAATTTAATCCCTCCCAACAACCTATGACATAAGTGCTATTATTTATCTCTATTTTACAAATAAAAAAACTGAATCACAGAGAAGTATATGTTCTACTAATTATATGACTGAAAAATGTAGCACTTTATTATGGATAAAGTATTGTCTCATATGTTAAAAATAGAAATATAAAATTAGAGTCCTGGGTGCACTTATATTCCCAGATGCTTTTTTTTTTTTTTTTTTGAGACGGAGTTTCACTCTTGTTGCCCAGGCTGGAGTGCAGTGGCGCAATCTTAGCTCACTGCAACCTCCAACTCCCGGGTTCAAGCAATTCTCTTGCCTCAACCTCCTCAGTAGCTGGGATTACAGGCATGTGCCACCACGCCCGGCTAATTTTGTAGTTTTAGTAGAGATGGGGTTTCTCCACGTTGGTTAGGCTGGTCTCGAACTTCCGACCTCAGGTGATCTGCCCGCCTCGGCCTCCCAAAGTGCTGGGATTACAGGCGTGAGCCACCACGCCCGGCCCCAGATCTATTTTTTTGTTTGTTGTTTTTTTGAGACAGGGTCTCACTCTGTCACCAAGACTGGAGTGCAGTGGCACAATCTCTGCTGACTGCAACCTCTGCCTCCCCGGCTCAAGCGATTCTCCCACCTAAGCCTCGAGTAGCTGTGACCACAGGCACACGCCACCACACCTGGCTAATTTTTGTATTCTTTGTAGAGACAGGGTTTCACCATGTTGCCAGGGCTGGTCTTGGAACTCCTGGGCTCAAGCCATCTGCCTGTCTTGGCCTCCCAAAGTGCTGGAATTACAGGCATGAGCCACCATGTACGACTCAGATGTATTTTTTTTTTTTTTTTTTGAGACGGAGTCGCTGGAGTGCAGTGGCGCGATCTTGGCTCACCGCAAGCTCCGCCTCCCGAGTAGCTGGGACTACAGGCGCCCACCACCACACCCAGCTAATTTTTTGTATTTTTAGTAGAGATGGGGTTTCTTTGTGTTAGCCAGGATGGTCTCAATCTCCTGACCTCGTGATTCACCCGCCCTGGCCTCCCAAAGTGCTGGGATTACAGGAGTGAGCCACCGCGCCCGGCCCAGATGTATTGTTATAACAATATTTAACAATTAAGAAGCTTGACTAGGTCTATAAAATAAAAATTAGAAAAAAATACTTCCTGTTGACCAAATCTATTTTAAAAAAAGAGGCTTGACAATTATAAACACCAAGATTTCAAGATTCACTTTGGAGTCAACATTCCTATTTAAACCCCTTATGGTAAATTACTTAATAGAGAGACTATATATATACATATATATATATGTATATTTTCTCCTTCACAAGTTCTAATATGTGGTTATTCTATAAGCTTTCTTTACTGCCTCCAAATGTTGGCCAAGCACAAATATCTGTTTGTATCCAGAATGTGGTACTAAGTACTTTCCATGAATTAACTAATTATTATTATTTTTTTTTTTTGAGACAGAGTCTTGCTCTGTTTTCCAGGCTGGAGTACAGTAGCGCAATCTCAGCTCACTGCAACCTCCGCCTCCCAGGTTCAAGTCATTCTCCTGCCCCGCCTCCCAAGCAGCTGGGAGAACAGGCATGCACCACGACACCTGGCTAATTTTAAAATATTTTTAGTAGTGATGGGGTTTTGCCATGTTGGCCAGGCTGGTCTCGAACTCCTGGGCTCAAGTGATCCACCCACCTCAGCTTCCCCAAAGTGCTGGGATTACAGGCGTGAGCCACCATGCCCAGCTGAATTAACTCATTTTGTTTTAAAGAGATGAGGTCGGCTGGGTGCAATGGCTCAATGCCAGTAATCCCAGCACTTTGGGAGGCCAAGGTGGGCGGATCACCTGAGGTCAGGAGTTCGAGATCAGCCTGGCCAACATGGCGAAACCCCATCTCTACTAAAATACAAAAATTAGCTGGGTGTGGTGGCATGCGCCTGTATTCCCAGATACTCGGGAGTCTGAGGCAGGAGGATCGCGTGAACCAGAAAGGCAGAGGTTGTGGTGAGCCGAGATTGTGCTGTTGCACTCCAGCCTGGGCAACAAGAGGGAAACTCTGTCTCCAAAAAAAAAAAAAAAAAACAGATGAGGTCTTGCTGTGTTGCCCAGGCTGGAGTGCAGTGGCTATTCACAGGCACAAACATAGCACCCTACAGCCTCAAACTCCTGGGCTCAAGTGATCCTCCTGCCTCACCTTCCCAAGTAGCAACAGTTTTCCTATGTTAGATAACTGCAACTCCATTTTACCAGTTGTTTGAGCAAAAAGCTTTGCTCTGTCGCCAGGCTGGAGCGCAGTGACGCAATCTTGGTGCACTGCAACCTCTGCCTCCTGGGTTCAAGCAATTCCCCTGCCTCAGCCTCCCAAGTAGCTGGAACTACAGGCACGCAGCACCACACCTGGCTAATTTTTTGTATTTTAGTACAGACGGGGTTTCACCATGTTAGCCAGGATGGTCTCAATCTCCTGACCTCGTGATCAGCCCACCTCAGCCTCCCAAAGTGTTGGGATTACAGGCGTGAGCCACCGTGCCCAGCCTTTTTTTTTTTTTTTTTTTTTTTTTTGAGACACACTTTTGCTCTTGTTGCCTAGGCTGGAGTGCAATGGCCTGATCTCAACTCACTGTAACTTCAGCCTCCCAGGTTCAAACAATTCTCGTGCCTCAGCCTCCTGAGTAGCCGGCATGCGCTTCCATGCCCGACTAACTTTTTTTACTTTTAGTAGAGACAGGGTTTCACCATGTTGGTCAGCCGGATCTTGAACTCCTGACCTCAGGTGATCCTCTTGCCTCAGCCTCTCAAAAGCACTGGGATTACAGGCATGAGCCACCAAATCCGGCCTCTTTCTTAAAATTCTGATATATTTCTCTAGCATGTTTTAACTGCTTTTGTTAGCAGAATGGACAATGACTAAATTTTAGCACATTCTTTTCAATTAAATAGGTTATAGTACACAGTCACAAATTCAAAGAGCTATGGAATACATATGCATCAGAAAAGCAATTTATGTTCCATACACAATCAATGCTAAATGCAGTGTAAGGACAGATCAATTCTGCAAAATCAGAGATGGTGATATAAACATCTGCTTTCAGTCAATGAAGGTTAGAAAGGGGCCAAGCAATGAAGAAACACTGAGAAAAATAAATCCTAATTATATATTTATAAATCACTACTAACCTACCAATAATACTTTGTGAAAAGAGTATTTCAGCTTTTGTGTCTTGGGGCAAAAATAATTTTCAAATTATTTTAATAATAATGGGATTACTCCAAATATATGACAAAGCACAGTCATCAGCAGCTGGAGTTTTCCCTACTGGTCACAGCTGCACAGAAATAGCCATGGATTTGTTTAAAATATTACATTTTTGATAAAAGCACAGAGAACAGGAGTAAAGAAAAGTTGTCTTGCTATTATTTGTGGGTTTCATTTCTATTTACATTGTGAAGGCACTGAGGAAGATGTAAGGAAAGACACTGTGATGAAGAGTCAAGAGTAGGAACAAAAATGAGGGGCCCGGACACGGTGGCTCACACTAGTAATTCCAGCACTTTGGAGGCTTAGGTGGAAGGACTGATTGAGCCCTGGAGTTCCAGACCACCCCGGCCAACATAGTGAGATCCCCATCTCTTTAAAAAAAAAAAAAAAAAAAAAGAGGGAGGAAGTCTAACAGTACAAATGAGAGCAGAAGAGGGAAGAATGAGAGATCTGGGAGGACATTTAATGCTAGAAGGGAAGATGTATTGACCGTCATATGAAGGAAACAAATACAGAAACAGATTTAGGTTCAGTAAAATAGCTTCCATAGGAGTAGAACTTAACAGCTGAATAAGCAGCTGCTTTAAGAAGCAGGACTTCTTACTGTGGCAGTTTTCTAATGAAGGTTTTTGAAGGATTTCCTCTATGGGTAAACTATACTACATGATGGCAAAGAAACTCTGAACTCCATCATCCTAAAAGCACAAAGTTTGTAATTTCTAGTTTCCTTCTCCTCAGCCATAGGGCCTTGATTCTAACCTTTTAGTAACAGTTATTTCAGAATTGGGGTTTTAATATAAAGCACACATCCATGAGTCTGATTTCAGAGCACAAATCTGTTCTTAGTATTTATGAAGAATTAATCTCAACCTTGTGCTACAGACCTCTTACTACCAGTTGCTCTCCTGTTTTCTCTCAGTATATCATCTCCCAGGAACAAGGCAAATAGAGTTGCTAGGAGGCAGTCATGAGATGACTCCAAATGAGACGAAAGAACACACACCAGCAGCTTGAGTTTTCCCTACTGGTCAGAGCTATGCAGAAACAGCCACGAGGAGGGGGTATCCAGAATGAAGAAAATTTCCTGGTTGATCTCCATTCTTTTAATATTGAGAGCTCAAAAAAAAAAAAAAAAAAAAAAAAAACCTGCTGAAAACTCTTCATGGGAAAATTCCCTAACAATTAAAAACAACTATATTTTATTGAGTGTGTACTATGTCCAGATACTGTAGTATTCACTTTTTGTTTGATACTTGGCTAAAAGAACAGCTGGGCATGGTGGCTCACGCCTACAGTTTACAGCACTTCGGGAGGCTGAGGTGGAACAATTACTTGATCCCAGAAGTTCAAGACCAGCCTGAGTGACAGTGAGATCCTGCCCCTACAAAAAATTTTTAAAAATTAGTTGGGCATGGTAGCACGTGGCTGGAATCCCAGCTGCTTGGAAGGCTGAGGCAAGAACTGCTTGAGCCCAGGATATTAAGGCTGCAGTGGGCTATAAGACTGCACCACTTGGCTCATGCCTGTAATCCCCACACTTTGGAAGGCCAAGGCGGGCAGATCACCTGAGGTGAGGAGTTCGAGATCAGCCTGGCCAACACGGTGAAACCCCATCTCTACTAAAAATATAACAATTACTCAGGCATGGTGGTGCATACCTGTAATCCCAGCTACTCGGGAGGCTGAGGCAGGAGAATCGCCTGAACCCAGGAGGCAGAGGTTTCAGTGAGCCGAGATCTGGCCACTGCACTCCAGCCTGGGCAGCAGAGTGAAACTTTATCTCAAAAAAAAAAAAAAAAAAAAAAAAAAAAAAAAGATTGCACCACTGTAACCTAGCCTGGGTGACAGAATGACACCCTGTCTCTAAAAAAAATAAAATAAAATTCAGGGGGAAGGAAGGGAGAAAAATAAAATTCTGAATACAGAATTATAGAATTTTAGAGTGGCAAAGTACTTGAGAGATCTGAT
The DNA here is from genome assembly GCF_000001405.40 of Homo sapiens. Lineage (NCBI taxonomy): Eukaryota > Metazoa > Chordata > Mammalia > Primates > Hominidae > Homo > Homo sapiens. Next base: position 67,092,545 of record NC_000016.10, on the reverse strand, counting down.
TCAACTCTCATTGTGCAGATGACAGCCTAAGACTAAGGTTAAGTAATTTCCCCCAAGTAACATAGTTGGAGGCAGAGTCAGAACACAGAATCAGACCTATGGAAAAGATGAGCCTTTAACTTACAATTGGCATTAATGTCAGCCTCCTTAGTCACTGCTAGTTCTCCCTATTGCTAAGTCTGGAGGAGACACAAAGCACAAATTTTAAGTCTCAACATGAGAGAAAGGAATGCACTTTCCCCAAACTCATTAAAAAGGTTAAAAAGCAGCCATAAAAAAGAATGAGTTCATGTCCTTTGCAGGGACATGGATGAAGCTGGAAGCCATCATTCTCAGAGAACTAACACAGCAACAGAAAACCAAACACTGCATGCTCACACTCATAAGTGGGAGTTGAACAATTAGAACACATGGACACAGGGAGGGGAACATCACACACAGGGAAGGGAATGTCACACACAGGGGCCTGTCAAGGGGTAGGGGGGAAGGGGAGGGAGAGCATTAGGAAAAATACCTAATGCATGCAGGGCTTAAAACATAGATGACTGGGAGGCTGAGGCAGGAGAATCGCTTGAACCCGGGAGGTGGAGGTTGTGGTGAGCCGAGATCGTGCAATTGCACTCCAGCCTGGGCAACAAAGGCGAAACTCTGCCTCAAAAAACAAACAAACAAACAAACAAACAACAACAACAACAAAACCTAGATGATGGGTTGATAGATGCAGCAAACCACCATGGCACAGGTATACCTATGTAACAAACCTGCACATTCTGCGCATGTATCACAGAACTTAAAGTAAAATTAAAAAAAAATTTTAAAAAGGGTAAAAAAAAGTCAGCAGACAATTATAAACATCTGTCAGATAAGCAGACTGCGAGAGCTGTTCCAACAGGCATGTCAAAAAATATAGTTCTTACAAAGTATGCAACCTAAGGAAAACTTCAAATATAAAGTAACATTTTAAAATGAAATAGTGGGAATAATCTGCATTTCTGGGCTTGGACCATGATGGCCCTACCACTTCAGCTATGTCACCTTAGGCAAGTTTCTTATCCTCTCTTAGCCTCGGTTCCTCAAAATGAAGAGGTAACTTACAAGAGCATTTAAAGATCAAATATAAAGCCAAAATTATAATGTACACTGCCTGGCACATAGGATGCACTCATGATGCTGTTATTATAACAAAGCTGTTCATCACTTCCCATTTCCATTTATGAACTTTTCAAATAACTATTCAAATGTTGAAAAATCCATATCCTGCAGATAGAATAATTTTTAGAAACTAAAACAAGGCTAAAACAAAAATAAATCTTAATAAAGTCTATTGCTCCTCTGATAGAGAACCAAGACTCTCTTCCTCTGGTAGTGGGGGAAGTCAGATTTCGTATCCTTTTCCTCCTTCATTAATCTTCTTCCGATTCTCATTCTCAGTCTGAGTTCATACTCCCAGTTCATTCTCATCTACTGCCATTACCCAAAACACAACCCAGGAAGGCCTAGCACAGACATATTCTCATGCTGATTTATCCATACACAAGAAAGAATATTGGTAGAGTTAAATAATTTGAAAACTGAAGTCTTCGGAAATTTAAAATAAATAGAGGCTGAGATTTTTTTCTTGGACCACACAGAATTGAAGGCCCCAAAACTATGCAAAATACAAATACAAAAACCACATAAAACTTTTTGCCTGTTTTTATTTCCAAATAGTTTCCACATAAAATTCTATGATTTGAATTGTATTAAAATTGCTCATAGTAGGATAAACAATAATTTACCCATTCTCTGACATTAAAGACAACCATTTATTTGCTGCCACTTTATAATCTAACCAAATGTAGGCATTTTTAAGATAATAGAGAAAATATCTTTAAGCACCCTGTCACCTTGGAGCTGAGTTAAAAGCCAAGAGTGCTATATTACAGTTTTAGGTCAAAAGGCCAATCAAGTTGAAGGCAGTCTCTGGAAACAGAGACTAGTGTACAAGTTGCTATCTTTCTAACTCAACTATGATCAGAGCATGAAATCTGTCCTTTATTAACCTCCATCTTCCTTCACAAAAGACATTTGAATTAGTTATAGACATATATACCCCAAAAAGAAAGGTCATGGGAAACATGTCAACATTTTCAGATCAAGGAAGGATTCTCAGACAGAAAAGGTGCTAGGATGCTTCTATATAGCAACAGATGCCAATGGAGAGCATTTCACAAAAGTAACGTCTGTGATTATTTTTTATTTTTAAAAGCCTTCTTTTTATACAAGTACAGAATAGTGCCCAAATTGTTAAGTATGTAATGAAGAATTTTCACAAAGCGAACACACCCACCTAACTAGCACCCAGGTCAAGAACTAACATTACCAGAACATGGGAAGTTCTCTTCATACCCACTTCTAGTCACTACTCAATCCCCACAGTAACTGGTAGCCTCCAACAGAGCCAAGAAAAGTCCAAAATCCTTTACTGGTTGTTTTAAAAAACCAAACCAACCAACCAAACAAAAAACACCAGAATCTAAAATGGCTTGGCAAAATAGTATCTTCGACTTTCATAGTCTAAAGTTAGGATATGACTACTTTTACTGTTTTCCTGCCACTCCAGATATATTGTGAGCCAAGTACACAGAAAGAAGGGGTAAAGAAACTGGCTTCCACTGAGTCCCCATTCTAAGCCTCAGATACTGAGCTCTGCAACAACCTGGGAGGGAGTTTTTACTGATGAGGCTCAATGAGAATAAGCAACTTTCTCAATGCTATATGGCAACAAGTAGTGGAGCCGGGATGCAAAACCTTGTGCTCATTCCACTACATCCAGAGTCCTCATTATGTTCTGCCACCCACTGGGTTCCGTAAAAACACCCCCAGGGACACCAGAGGGAGACCAGAACAATCCCTACCCTGGCTTTGCCCAGAGCAGTGCCTTTTAAAAAAACTGTTTTATACAGTGGGGCTCTGTATACAATTTCAAATGGAGGAAGGGTTTCACATAAAAAACAGCCTATATGCCAGAGAATAGAGATAGCAAGGTCTAGAATCTTCTGTTTTCATTATTCTGTGTAATACTGAAAGCAAATTTTATTTTTTTCTAAATAATTAATGATACAAAATTCATAAGGTACAGAAGATACACAGTGAAAAATAATAATTTGCTTATTTTGTCCCCCAGGTACCTGGTTCTCCCCCATAGTTTCTAGTTCCAGTTTCTTAGATATTCTACTAGAGAATGACTATGCACATTTAAACAAAAATTACCCACAGAGTAGGAAAAATACCCAGAGAGTAAGATATTATACACAGTACTGTGTACCTTATGTATATCATTTTAATGTATATCAATGACAAGAGTATTTGGTAAAGGTTACTAACATAAACAATGCTTCTTCATTTCACTATAGTTTCTCATTTCAAGTTAATGATAATCTGCCATTACCTCTGAAAGGTAAAGAAAATATTGTACTACTGAAATAGGCTGTTCCAGAAAAATGAGAAAAAGAAAACACTAAATCCTATCATGAAGGATCGAAAACTTTCTAAATTTTACACATGGTGAAATGGAAGAATGCTCAAGGAATTTTATAACTAGTTTCAGGTTAAAAGACACTGTTGAAAATCAAAACCCCTTGGGCCACCAACCACTTGGAGTTCTGCTTCCCCCCTTAGTAATCTTAACCTTACACATAGATTAAATACTCACGAGCACCACTGTTACAAGTTTAGCATGGCAGGGCTGGAGGCCTCAGAAGTTATCCAAACAGTGGAGGACATCCCTAAACCTCTGTGCTGCTAGGATCTCAAGCTTCCACAGGCCGTTTACTGACTTGCTGCCACCCATGAGTTACCACTGTTCTCTGGCCCTCCTCTCCAGTCAGGCATCAGGACCACCCACTAGAACCATTATTTTTCTTTTCTGCCTCAGCCTTTTCTATTCCAGGCAAAACGGTTCTTAATCTCTCCTGGCAGATTTTATTTTTCAGCTTAAGCATCTTTACGGGTGGTGTGGAAATTAATTTCCCAGCGCTAAGCTGTATTTGTGCAGGCCTCCTGGTTAGGAAACTGGTTTAAATACTCACTGTTTCTTCCATTAACCAAATATTTGAGGGAGAGCAAGTCAATTAATTTTTTGGAGACTCTCAGTTTTATCAACTGTAATAATGTTAGATTAGATGATGTTTGAATCTCTAAAGATAATCTGAATCACAGAGGGGAAACAACATTTTTCTCCAATATTCTCTTTTTAGGAAAAAGAAGGTAAACTGCAAGAAAATAAGGTGACATTAGGAATTTTTTATGGATGGAAAAAAAAGACAAAGAAGCAAAATATATACACGCTAAGTGCCAAAAGACACACAAACCCCAAACTCCCCTATGTGATTGCCAGTGCATGTGCTGGAGTCAGATTCCAGCCCAATTTTCCAGATGACAGTTCTCTACAAGAACTGATGTTTTAAATTACTGCCATAAGGGACTACAGGATCTTAAATCATTGATGAAAATATAACTCTTTTCTCTATGCTCTAGGTCATAATGTAGGGAAAGTGCCTTGATACACTTCAGAGAACTAAAAGGATGTTCTTGTTAGCCAAATAATTCAATTAACTGGAACCAGCATTATGGTGGAGCTTTTAGTGCTAAAAAGAAGTACTTCAGAGCTATTATTTACTGTAGGCATACACATACCAAGCATCATACTAAGTGCTTTACAAGCATTTTCCCATTTAATACTCAAATTCTGTGAGAAAATTAGGGCTCTTGAGGCAAGTGACGGAGCAGGAATCTCAACTAGGCCTGACTACAAAGCCCATGCTCTCAATCACTGACAAAAAAACAAGTAGAAACAATCTATCTGAGCAACAAATTATGTGACACTTCTATCAACAGACTATATTTCTGTTCATATATACATATAAACTCACATACCAAAATATTCTTCCAACATTTTAAATTAGAAAAATCAAATTAACAATGTATTTATTTCTTTTTGTGGGGTCAGGGAGACAGGGTCTTGCTCTGTTGCCCAGGCTGGAGTGCAGTGTCACAATCATAGTTCACTACAGCCTTGACCTCCTGGGCTCAAGCGATCCTCCCACCTAGCCTCCCAAGTAGCTGGGAACACAGGCACATGCTACCATGCCTAGCTAGTTTTTAAATTTTTTGTAGAGACAAAGTCTTGCTGTGTTGCCCAGGCTGGTCTTGAACTCCTGGGCTCAAGCAATCCTCCCTCAGCCTCCCAAGGTGCTGAGATTAAAGGTGTGAGCCACCACAATTTAGAATAGAAAATTCTTAGTCAATTAATCTAGAGTTTTATGTAAAGCAAAATACATACAAAAGCTTTCAACAGTTGTTCCATTAATTGTCAAATAGTTAATCTCCAAATATAATGTAGCTGAAGAGCACTTTTTAGAAAATGATTCCTATATTCATTTAAAGCCATGTTAGCTTGCTCCAGAAATACTGACCAATCACACTCTCTTGACTTGGCAGGCTCTCTTACTCCTCCTTACTCCTCCATGCCTTTGCATACACTGTTTGTCCTGCCCAGAATGCTTTCTCCAACTTGAACAGCTGGCAAAACACACTCTTCCTTCAAATCCCTCTAAGTATACTACCCTGTGAATTTCCCAAGCAGAGGCAGACTTAAGCTTCCTCTACACTGCTGCTGTCCCTTTTGAACCTCCATTATGTATGGTGGTTGCTAAAGTACACTGCAATGATCTGTTTATCCATCATTTTCCCACAAGACTGACAGCTGATCAAAGACAGAAACAATGCATTTTCATCTATATATTTCTCAGTCCCTAATGCAGAATACAGACCAACACACTTGGGGTTTATTACTTTACTTAACTAGTTAATATAAACCAACACATTATAAATATTTAGAATCTTTCCAGAGACCATTAATATGTATTATCTACATGAACTATCATAGCAGGCTCTCCTATAATTCTAGTTTTCAGACAGGCAGGATAGGGGCTGTTTTTTGAAGATATCCAATGAACAACTAAGCAGTGTACAAAGGATTGTGGTAGGTAATGTGGAAGACACAAAAATCAGGGGCTCCATCTCATGGGATTGCCATAAAGTGGAGGGCACAAATGTTTATAATTGTTTCAACATGTTGTTCAATAAGAACACTAGTAGAAATAAAAAGTGCTACAGAATGGAAGGGCTTTATGATTATGACTAAGAAGACTGAGGAAAGGCCTGACATTTAATGACAACATTCAGGTTGGGCCTTGACGGACAGAAAAGAACATTCTACATCAGGGAACAAAGAGCATGAGCAAAAAGGTTCAGAAATGTAACAAATGTACATTATACATTTTAAAGCTTCTAAATTTTACAGATACCGAAAGAAAGGGCATGGTGTGGAAGTCTTGTATTCACATATATGAAAATCACAAGAATTACAACAGCATCAAAGAAAACAAGTATCACATATATCCCTCCATTTTCTTCTCTTAGCTAACAAGTATTCTTGGGGACATCCTCAGCTGCTATCAGCCCATTAGATTAATTAACTCACTGACAAAGAGATCTAGCAATCACTAAAAGATACTAAATTTTAAGCCGGGCACAGTGGCTCAAGCCTGTAATCCCAGCTCTTTGGGAGGCCAAGGCGGGCAGATCACGAGGTCAGGAGATCGAGACCATCCTGGCTAACACGGTGAAACCCCGTCTCTACTAAAAAATACAAAAAATTAGCCGGGCATGGTGGCGGGCGCCTGTGGTCCCAGCTACTCGGGAGGCTGAGGCAGAAGAATGGCTTGAACCAGGGAGGCGGAGCTTGCAGTGAGCTGAGAATGCGCCACTGCACTCCAGCCTGGGCGACAGAGCGAGACTCCGTCTCAAAAAAAAAAAAAAAAAAAAAAGATACTAAATTTTAGGCTGGGTGCAGTGGTTCACATCTGTAATCCCAGCACTTTGGGAGGTCAAGGAGGGAGAACTGCTTGAGCCCACGAGGTTGAGGCTACAGTGAATCATGTTCACACCACTGCACTTCTGCCTGGGCAACAGAGTGAGACCCCATCTCCCCCCACCCCCACCCAAAAAAAAGATATTAAATTTTATTTCAAGTCTGGGCACGGTGGCTCACTCCTGTAATCCCAGCACTTTGGGAGGCTGAGGCAGGTAGATCACCCGAGGTCAGGTGTTTGAGACCAGCCTGACCAACATGGTGAAACCTCGTGTCTACTAAAAATACAAAAATTTGCCGGGCGTGCTGGCAGGAACCTGTAATCCCAGCTACTCAGAAGACTGAGGCAGGAGAATCGCTTGAACCCGGGAGGCAGAGGTTGCGGTGAGCCGACATTGTGCCACTGCACTCCAGCCTGGGCGACAGAATGAGACTCCATCACACACACACACAGAGACACACACAGAGACACACACACACACACACAATTTATTTCATACACTAACCACCAAATAGGCTTGATTTTTAAATGTATTCTAAGTAAATATATTTTAACACAACTAGAAATTTTATGTAATACTTTAAATAATATTAACAATAATAATAGCACCTGACACCTAGTCAGTGGCACATACGCTAAAAGTGGTTTCACATGTATTTACTCATTTAATCCTCACAATGACCATATGAGACAGGCAGGATTATTACTCCTATTTTGTAGATGAGGAAACTCAGTCATAGAAAAGTGAAGTAAGCTGTCCAAGCTGACAAAGTAAATGACAGAGCCAGATTCAGACTTCTGTCTGGCTGTAGAGTCTGGGCTCTTAGCCACTGTCTGCACCCATGCACGCACACACACACACACGTATGCACACACACCTTAATTTAAACAATAGTGTACATATAATTTTGTGCTTGGAAAAAAACCACAAATTTTCTTCATTATGTAACATTGACTTAAAAACTTAAAAAAAGTGGTGAAATACACATATCATAAAACTTACCATCTTAGCCATTTTTAAAGCATACACTCAGTAGTGTTAAGTACATTCACACTGTTGTGCAACCAACTAGAACTCTCTTCATCTTGCAAAACTGAAACTCTATACTCTTTAAATAACTAACCCCCATTTCCCCGGCAACCACTATTCTACTGTCTGTAGATTCCAAAAGTATATAGGACATGAATTTAACAATCTTAGGTACCTAATACTGATTTTTAACACCTGGAAATGGTTCTGTTTAGTTGATATATTATAATTATATTTTAATGTGTTTTGATTATCAAAGATGAATGTGTGCTTTTTCTATTTCTTCTTGTATGAAATGTTCATGTTGATACAAAGTTTATAAACTTGAAGCATGATATACAGTAACATTTGACAACACTCTTTTTCAAACACATTAGTTCTTATCTTGATTATTTTTGCTAGAATATACTTTTTTTTTTTTTTTTTTTTTTTTGAGGTAGGGTCCTGCTCTGTCATCCAGGCTGGAGTACAGTGGCACGATCATAGCTCCTGCAGCCTTAAGCGCCTAGGCTCAAGCTATCCCCCTGCTTCAGCCTCCTGAGTAGCTAGGACAACAGGCATGTGCCACCATGCTGGCTAATTTTTTATTTTTTGCAGAGATGGGGGCTTGCTATTTTGCCCAAGATGGTCTAAAATTCCCAGCCTCAAGCAATCCTCCCACCTCAGCCTCCCAAAGTGCTGGGATTACAAGTGTGAGCCATAGCATCTGGCCCTAGAATATAATTTTTAAAGAAAATCTGTATTTCTGAACAATTTGTATATACTTTGAATATTAATTTTTATAATTGAGGTCTGTTTAAAGCAGAGTACAATTTTGTGTAAAAAAATTAAAATTCCATTGTCAATTAAAAGACACATCAAAATTCAGAAACCAACATGGTAGATTTAAAAAAGTGGGGGGAAAAAAGCTCAAATTTTAAAACTGGGCAAGACTAAACTTCAATGGGTGCTAAAACTAAAGAAACACAAGACATAAATTAACTATAAAAACTGAAATAATGGGCCAGACGCAGTGGCTCACGCCTGTAATCAATCCAAGCACTTTGGGAGGTTGAGGTGGGTGGATCATGAGGTCAGGAGTCCGAGACCAGCCTGACCAACATGGTGAAACCCTGCCTATACTAAAAATACAAAAATTAGCCGGCCATGGTGGTGTGCGCCTGTAATCCCAGCTACTCAGGATGCTGAGGCAGGAGAATCACTTGAACCTGGGAGGCAGAGGCTGCAGTGAGCCGAGATCACGCTACTGTACTCCAGCCTGGGCGACAGAGCAAGACTCCATCTCAAAAAAAAAAAAAAATCAAAATAATGATTACTTTTGAGCAGAAATCATGAGAAAGTCATGATTAGATGTATATATGGAAGGGGCTGCTGGGGTAGCTGTCAAAGGTTTATTTATGTATTATTTATTTATTTCCTAAAGGCAGGATCTCACTCTGTCATCCAGGCTGGAATACAGTGGCACAATCACTGCTCACTGTAACCTCAAACTCCAGGGCTCAAGTGATTCTCCTACCTTGGCCTACCAAGTGACTAAAGCTACAGGCATGTGCCACCAAACCCAGCTAATTTTCTTACTTTTTGTAGAGACAGAGTTGCTCAGGCTCAAAGTTTTATTTTTTGACCAAACCGTGGTTGTAAGGATGTTAACCTTACAGTAATTCATTGGGCTATAGATTTTTTTATTTATTATTATTTTAAAAAATGTATCCTAAGTAAACCAGCAAAGGAAGCTACAGATTTGTTAATGTTGATTTCTGTTTCTGTATTTTACAATAGAAAGGTTAAAAGAAAAAGTTTAATTCCGTTCTTTGAATAGTTTGAATATTAAATTTTCCTTTAGTTAAAATCACACAAATGACTGACAATTATAGTTATAAAACCAAGACAAATATTCATAGAAAAATGGAAAGTAGTATTACTCGAGTTTTAATAATGTTCTAAAAATATGCAATCTGTTAACATAAGCTGATTTTTACAAATAATTTGAAAAATAAGAAAAAAAGAGGTGAGATTTTGAGTAAATGAATTAAGAGAAAATATACCTTATTATAGTAAATGATTTTTATGAAGACCAATGAATGAGGAATTGATGTACAACTTTAAAATTAAAATAAATTTCTTTATAGCAATTACATTTAATAAACACAAAGCCAGAGAGTACAACTTTTTAAAAATGAAAGACAAAATTAAACTATTAAAAAGCATTATGCACAAACATCACAAACACAGCCTGAGAGTTTGGGGGAAAGTACTAACCAGTTACTGCCAGCAGCTGTGAAACTCTCACCTCCATTTCCTCCCGATGAGACCTGTCTCTATCTTCAAATTCGCGTGTCCTTCTCCGAGCCTCTTCAAAGGCCTGTTGTGCTAATGCATCCTCCTGCTGTCAGAATACATGAAATACCTATTTTAATTTTGATTTATAAAAAAAATACAATATTTGGGTTTTGTTTTTTTTTTTTTTTTCCTGAAACAGTGGCCGGGCGCAGTGGCTCACGCCTGTAATCTCAGCACTTTGGGAGGCCGAGGCGGGCAGATCACTTGAGGTCAGGAGTTCGACACCAGCCTGACCAACATGGTGAAACCGCATCTCTACTAAAAATACAGAAATTAGCTGGATGTTGTGGCGCATGTTTGTAATCCCAGCTACTTGGGAGGCTGAGGCAGAATAGCTTAAAACCCAGGAGGTGAAGGTTGCAGTGAGCCGAGATTGCGCCATTGCACTCCAGCCTGTCTCAAAAAAAAAGGAAAAGAAAAAAAAAGAAAAAAAAAAAGAAACAGCATCCCGCTCTGTTACTCAGGCTGGAGTACAAGTGCAGTGGTGGAATCATAGCTCACCACAACCTGAAAATCATAGGCTTAACCCCATTACAGCAATTCTCCTGCCTCAGCCTCCCAAGCAGCTGGGACTACAGGCACGCACCACTGCACCTGGTTAATTTTTTTTTTTAGTTTTTGTAGAGACTGGGTCTTGCTATGTTGACCAGGCTGGTCTCAAACTCCTGGCCTCAAGAGATCCTCCCGTCTTGGCCTCCCAAAGTGCTGGGATTACAGGTGCAAGCCACCTTGTCCAGCCTTTTTTATTCCGACAGAAACAAACAGCAGAGTATTTCTGAAACATCAACACCATTAAAAAAAAAGTCAGATTTTCTTAATCCAGTCTATCATTGTTGGACATCTGGGTTGGTTCCAAGTCTTTGCTATTGTGAACAGTGCCACAATAAACATACGTGTGCATGTGTCTTTATAGCAGCATGATTTATACTATGCAGCCATAAAAAAGGATGAGTTCATGTCCTTTGTAGGGACATGGATGAAACTGGAAATCATCATTCTCAGTAAACTATCGCCAAGAACAAAAAACCAAACACTGCATATTCTCACTCATAGGTGGGAATTGAACAATGAGAACACATGGACACAGGAAGGGGAACATCACACTCTGGGGACTGTTGTGGGGTGGGGGGAGGGGGGAGGGATAGCATTGGGAGATATACCTAATGCTAGATGACGAGTTAGTGGCTGCAGCGCACCAGCATGTCACATGTATACATATGTAACTAATCTGCACATTGTGTACACGTACCCTAAAACTTAAAAGTATATATATAAAAAAAAGTCAGAGGTACTTTTAAAAGAAAAATTCAGTATTTCATATTTTATGCCACACCTTGGAAACATAAGTCATGTTAATCATATTCTAACAACTGAAAATGCTCTTCCGTTTTCTTTACCTACTTAATCCTACTCATCAAAATAAAATCCTGATGAATACAATATTTAAGGCTAACAAATGTGGTAAATACTTCTATCATTTGGGGAAAAGAAATGCTCTATGAACTAAAGCCAGAAATATAAATGAAGATGAACAGCACTGACTACACAAATGTTGGAAACTTCTGGACAACAAAAAGCAAATAAAATCTCAAGGGAAATTATTAAGGAAAATATATTTATTAACATATAACAAATCTGTCTTTTCCCAGTTAGTGGCTAAAGATCTGCACCTGAAGGAAACCCAGATACCTCAGGACTCATTGCATCTAAAAAGGTAACCAACTTAAACTTTCTTCTCTACTCTTTTTTGGTCTCTGTTGGTGGCACCATTTTTTTTTCTGCAAGAAACCTGAGCCATCATCTTTGACTCTTCACTCTCTCATTGTCTCCACAATCAATCAACCACTGAGTCCTACCCACTTGATGTCCTATATATTTTTGGAATCTTCAGTCTCCTCTTCATTCCTATAAAAAGTTTCCTCCTAGTTCAGACCCCTAAAATCTCACTTAGACCATTGCAAAAGTCTCCTCAACAGTCTCTCCTTGCTTCCATTTGGTCACTCCTCAACCCAATCTACCACACAGCCATCGGAGTATGCCTTTAAAGCACAATCTGACTACAATGCCCCCAACTTAAAAAAGCTCCCTCACTGTGTACAGCCCAGGATGCTTGGCCTTTGCCGTCACACACTTCTGAATACTAGAATTTATTATTATTATTATTTTTGAGACAGAGTCTCACTCTGTTGCCCAGGCTGGAGTACAGCAGTGTGATCTCTGCTCACTGCAACCTCCCAGGTTCAAGCAATTATCTTGCTTCAGCCTCCCGAGTAGCTGGGACTACAGGTGAGCATCATCATGCCCGGCTGGTCTCGAACTCCTGACCTCAAGTGATTTGCCTGACTTGGCCTCCCAAAATCCTGGGCTTATAGGCGTAAGCCACTGTGTCTGGCCAGAATACCAGGATTTTTGATGGTACACTTGAAGAAACGAAAAGATCCAAAACAATACCAGAAAAGTCATCAATACTACTCACTTTCCTAGATTCACTGCAGCAAGGGGTGGCCACGTAACTCAGTTGTAGCCAATGAGACAGAAACACAAGTCACCTAATGGGGCTTCCAAGAAAGTTTGAGACATTTCACCATTCCACCTTCTTAGGAACTGATGCAGTGCTCAGAGATGCAGCAGCCATCTTGCAAACATAATAATGAGGACACAGTCACACAATGAGCATGGTACAGCAGCAAGATTAAAAGACCTCATATCACGTTGGGGTCAAAAAAAAAAAAAAAAAAAAAAAGACCCAGGGCCTCTGATAACATAATTAAGTGCTTGCTATACCAGGCCTGGACTGTGTACTGCTGGATATCTTGTTCTGTGTGATAAATCCTTTATTTGTCACTGTCAGTGGGGTTTTCTAATACTCAAAATTTTCAGTGACAATGTCTATAACGTAAACAGAATGGAAAGATGTAATCAAATTCCCATTCTTGTGATGCACTTACTAGCTTTATAACCCAGGGCAATGTTATTTCATTTCTCTAAGCCTCAGTAAATTTACATGTAAGAAAGGCATAGTAATACTTTATAACAAGATTGTTGTAAAGATTAAATAACACATAAAAAGTGCTTAAGCATACTGACAGCATTCAATAAATGCTATTATTCAACAAGCACTTATGGATACATAAAATTCAAACATTTGACTGAACATCATAACATGGACCTACTATATTCTCAGGACATAATATAAGCCAGAGGTAGCCGCAAAAGAATGCTGTTCCCAATTTCCCACGGCTTTCTATGCACTTAGGTATCAACTGGGACACATCTGCCGATGACAGGAAAAAACTGTGGGCCTGGTGCGGTGGCTCACACCTATAAGCTCAAGCACTTTGGGAGGCCAAGGCCGGTGGGTCACCTGAGTTTGGGAGTTGAAGAGACCAGCCCTGGCCAACATGGTGAAACCCCGTCTCTACTAAAAAACAAATACAAAAAATTAGCCAGGCATGGTGGCAGGCCCCTGTAATCCCAGCTACTCGGGAGGCTGAGGCAGAAGAATCACTTGAACCCCTGAAGGCAGAGGTTGCGGTGAGCCAAGATCACACCATTGCACTCCAGCCTGGGCAACAAGAGCGAAACTCCATTTCAAAACAAGAATAAAAAGTATCATTATTAATATTTGCAGCAAAATAAGCCAGGAGATATTTGGTAGCCTTCACTTTCTTGTTCCATCTTCTGTTTTGATCTTTTCTTTACTCTCTTTTTTAGAGAAGGGGTCTCGCTCTCAAGCCCAGGCTGGAGTGCAGTGGTGTGATTATAGCTCACTGCAGCCTCAACCTCCCAAGCTCAAATGATCCTCCTGCTTCAGGCTCCCAAGTAGCAGGGACTACAGGTGTGTGCCACCAGAGCTAATTTTTAAATTTTTTATAGAGAGATGAGGTCTCGCTGTGTTGCCCAGACTGGTCTTGAACTCCCAATATCAAGTGATCCTCCTGCCTCAACCTCCCAAAGTGCTGGGATCACAGGCATGAGCCACCGTGCCCAGCTTGTCTTGGTATTTTCTAATGACATGTGAGACATATGTGCAGTGAACAGAGTTCACACTTTAACAAATGGTAAAATGGAAAGACAATCAGCAATTACCAGTATTATCCTGATCCTTTCCTGCTGCAATCTAACACCTCCCTTTCAAGGACAGCATAAAGGGCACCTGCTAATAAAAACCACGTGCTTACCCACAAAGTAGGCTCAAATGGCTAGGAACAACCAACTCCATTCAGGTTCGGGTAGGATAAGGTTTTCAATTCTCCCGTCCCCACCAGCCACTTGTTATACTACTAGTCTGTTACTCCAAAGTCTATACCACAACCTGCACAACGTAGCCAGGTGGGGTCATCATAAAACATGGCTGGGTGTAAATTAAATCCATGTGGAAAATAAAGGCTTAGCAGTTCTGTCATAGAGCATACACAGAATATTCGACCACTCTTGTTGTAGTAATTCTCTCTTCACTGTATTTAAATTGTGTCTTTATTTATTGTCTAAATCTACAACTATATATATTTAACAGTTCGGTAACACTTACCTTTCTGCATCAGAGTTTAAAAACTGGAAGTTCATGCTTAATTAAAAAATTAAGAATCAATTTTTTTCCAAGACAGTTGATGATGAACATCTAATTTGCACAAAATATCGACATTTACTATTCTCTGTGGGGACCAGAATGGTATCACTGATCACATGAAAACCAAAATAAATAAATCTGCTGAAGAAGCATCAGTATTTACATAAAAGACAATCAGTATGTGCAGCTGCAAATGGTACATTTAACACATCAATCTGTAGCACGTAACTTTTCACTTAAATGACTCTTCCAAATTAATTTCACCCACGTTTTTGTGCATATGTAAAAAGTAAAGCTGTTTATACGTTGCTTCATGAACAGAAAAACCTTGCAAACAAAAAGACACTAATTTTACAGCAGTGTCATCAAGTACTTCAAACAGAAAATGCATCAATTCCAATAATGGTTCAATTTTTCTAATCCAATCATGGAATCAAATAAAACTTTGCAAGGTCATTATACTGAACGTGAAATATTGTTTTGTGATTGCCAAAACAAAGTCATTTAAAAAGTACAACAATGAAGATAAAATTATTGGCTTATGTTGGTAATACAAATGTTGGTGGAACACATATTGTATAAGAAAATAACATTCTCATTGAATTAGAAATCTACTAGGAACTAGTAGTGGTACACATATAATTTATAACTGCATCCAAAGAAATGAAACATTCTATCCTTTAGAAGTTATAGTTTATATAACTTACAAATATCTTTATATATCCATAGTTAAAGTAACTGAACTGCAGAATTTTGACAAAGCTGACAATGAAAAAAAAAAACTAATCTCATGACAGTACACACTGGATTTTTAGAAAACTTGAGTCTCAAGAACTATGCTAAAACCAACCTAGTTCCTACAATAACAATGACCTTCTTTTGGTAAATGAGTCTTTGTAGTAAAGTTTTGTTTAAAATTAGTTGGAAATCTCTGATTATTCAATGGTAAAGTGCCAAAATCTTCATATTTTTCAAGCTTTTAGACAATTATATTAAAAAACCAAGTGTGGCAGATCACCTGAGGTCAGGAGTTTGAGACTTTGGGCATTTCAGTTTCTGTGCTGCTCTACCCTGTTTCCCTCCTGTTCCTAGAGGTGACCACTATCCATAATTTTGTGAATACTACTTATGGCTTTCCTATTATTTATTACCAAGAGGCATTTTGCTTAATTTTGCCTCTTTTTTACTTTCTATAAAAAGAAATAAATGGGGGGAAAAACATGTATTGGTTTTACCTGATTTTGTACTTTTACATAAATCGATTCATATAACATGTGATGTTTTTTAAATTATTTATTTTTTTGAGGCAGTCTGTTGCCCAGGCTGAAGTGCAATAGAGCAATCATGGCTCACTGCAGCCTTGACCACCTGGGCTCAAGTGATCGACCTACCTCAACCTCCCAAGTAACTAGGACTACAAGTGCATGCCACCATGCCTGGCTAATTTTTTAAATTTTTTTGAGATGAAGTCTAGCTCTGTCACCAGGCTGGAGTGCAGTGGCGCGATCTCAGCTCACTGCAACCTCTGCCTCCCGGGTCCAAGCGATTCTCCTGCCTCAGCCTCCCGAGCAGCTTGGACTACAGGAACCCACCACCATACCTAGCTAATTTTTGTATTTTTAGTTGATACGGGGTTTCACCATACTGGCCAAGGTGGTCTCGAACTCCTGACCTTGTGATCTGCCCACCTTGGCCTCCCAAAGTGCTGGGATTACAGGCATGAGCCACTGTACCCAGTTAATTTTTAAAAATTTTTGAAATTTTTAAATTTCAGGCTCTTCAACTCCTGGCCTGAAACAACCCTCCTGCCTTGGCCTCCCAAAGCGCTGGGATTACAAGGGTGAGGCACCATAACTGGCCTGTTCTGTACTCTCAATATTTTTGAGGAACTCACACATATTGGTGTTAGTTGTAGCTTTTCATTCTCAGTGTATTTGTGTGACCACGCACTTTATAAATTTCACTGTTAATGGCCATTTGCGCAGTTTACAATTTCTAGCTATTACTAATAATAGTTATAAATGTCCTAGCACATATTTTGTGATGAATATGCATATTCACTCCTGTTGCCATCATGCCTTGGAGTAGAACTGCTAGATCATAGTGTGTGTATATATATATACACACACACACACATATATGCATGCGCAGCTTGCATATTTACAGCCAGTTTTCCAAATGTTGTGCCAATCTTACATAACCAACACACCAACTGCTGCTCTACATTCTTGTCAATGTTTGGTACTGTCTTCTTCATTTGAACCATTCTGATGACTGTGTGGTAGTACTGTGGTTTTAATAATTATTTTTCTGATGATCCAAGAAAGCTGAATCCTTTTCATTTGCATAGCCTGTTTGTGAACTGCCTGTTAAATGTCTTTCGCCAATTTCTTTTAGGTTGTCTGTGTTTCCTTTCAATGAAAATATTTTCTCACTGAAATGTAAGAGTTCTTTACACACACACACACACACACACACACACACACACACATTTTTTTTGAGATAGAATCTCGCTCTGTTGCCCAGGCTGGAGTGCAGTGACGTGATCTCGGCTCACTGAAACCTCTGCCTCCCAGGTTCATGGGCTTCTCCTGCCTCAGCCTCCTGAGTAGCTGGGATTATAGGTGTGTGCCACCATACCTGGCTAATTTTTGTATTTTTTAGTAGAGATGGGGTTTTGCCATACCAGGCTGGTCTCCAACTCCTGGCCTCAAGTGATCTGCCCACCTTGGCCACCCAAAGTGTTGGGATTACAAGCATGAGCCACTGCGCCTGGCCTCTACATATTTTATGTAAGTCCTTTGCCAGAAAACATTTTCCACCACTGTTCAGGTTGCCTTTACATTCTCTTAATACTGTCTTTTGATAAACAGTTCTTGGTTTTACCATAATTCGTTATTTATCCATTTACTTACAGTTTAGCATCTTTTGTGTCCTGTTCAAGTTTTTGCCTACTCCAAGGTCACAAAATGATCTTCTCATTTTCCTTTAAAAAGCTTTACTGTTTCGGCCGGGCACAGTGGCTCATGCCTGTAATCCCAGCACTTTGGGAGGCCGAAGCGGGTGGATCATGAGGTCAAGAGATCGAGACCAGCGTGGCCAACATGGTGAAACCTCGTCTCTACTAAAAATACAAAAATTAGCAGGGTATGATGGCACGTGCCTGTAGTCCCAGCTACTTGGGAGGCTGAGGCAGGAGAATCACTTGAACCCGGGAGGCAGAGGTTACAGTGAGCTGAGATCACGCCACTGCACTCCAGCCTGGTGACAGAGCTAGACTCTGTCTCAAAAAAAAAAAAAAAGCTTTACTGTTTTACATTTTATAAACTGCTATCCATCTGAAATTGATTTTTGTGAATGGTATAAGGGGCTCTGATATATTTTCCCCTCACAGAAATGTTTTATTGTCCCAGCATCATTTACTGAAGAGACCTACCCCCTGCCCCCCACCCTTGTCTGCACTGCAGTGTCACCTTTGTCTTTGTTTATTGCTGGTATATAGAAATGTAACTGATGGTGTACTGACCTTGTATTACATCTAATGCCCTGTGAAATTCATGTGTTAGTTTTCTTAATAGTGTGTAAATTATCTTAGATTTTCTAAGTACATGCATCTTCTGCAAATAACAGCTTGGTGTTTTTTGTTTTTTGTTTTTTTTGAGATGGAGTCTTGCTCTGTTGCCCAGGCTTGGAGTGCAGTGGCACCATCTTGGCTCACTGCAAGCTCCGCCTCCTGGGTTCATGCCATTCTCCTGCCTCAGCTTCCCAAGTAACTACAGGTGCCCTCCACCATGCCCGGCTAATTTTTGTAGTTTTGGTTGAGACGGGTTTCACCATGTTGGCCAGGCTGGTCTCGAACTCCTTACCTCAGGTGATTTGCCCGCCTCAGCTTTCCAAAGTTCTGGGATTACAGGCATAAGCCACTGCGCCCGGCCTCGTGTTTTTTTGAGATGGAGTCTCACTCTGCTGCCCAGGCTGGAGTGCAATGGCACGATCTCGGCTCACCGCAACCTCCACCTCCTGGGTTTAAGTAATTCTCCTGCCTCAGCCTCCTGAGTAGCTAGAACCACAGGCACGCACCACCATGGCTAATTTTTGAATTTTCAGTAGAGACGGAGTTTCACCATGTTGGCCAGGCTGGTCTCGAACTCCTGACCTCAAGTGATCCACCTGTCTCGGCCTCTCAAGAGTGCAGGGATTACAAGTATGAGCCACTGCATCTGGTCACATGTCTTCTGTTTCTTTTTGGGAAAAGAATCTTGGATGGAATTCCATTTTTAACTGGAAATGATTTGATTCTGAAGTAACTGAACTTGGCAAAATTTTCAGAAGAATCATAAATAGAGACAGAATCATAAATAGAGACAGCTTTGACAGGTATTGTCTTATACCAAACTTGTCAAAGAAAGGCACTCTGGACAAAAGCAGAGACAATACCTGTGAAAATATTTCAGCTGAAATAGTTATACAATTTAATCTTTCAAAAATGGAATTGACTCTCTTCCATTTAGCTCTTAGTTTACCAGATACTTCAGCATTTGTTAGAGTATTTTGTCAATTTTTTACGTAGTTTACAGACACTCAATTGAAGATGTCAGCTGTTCCAAATTTACTAATTATAATATGCAACTCTGAAGCATATTGTGGGCACTTTTATGAAGAAAATAAAAGTAAGGGGCTAGATGCAGTGGCTCATGCCTATAATCCTAGTGCTTTGGGAGGCTGTGGCAGGAGGATCGTTTGAAGCCAGCAATTCAAGACCAGCCTGGCCAACATGGTAAGACCTCATCTCTACAAAAGATAAAAAAAATTAGCCAAGCACGGCAGGAGCTTGAGGCTGTAGTGAGCTGTCATTGTACCACTGCACTCTGGCCTGAGCAACAGAGCAAGACTCTGTCGCTAAAAAAAAAAAAAGAAAAAAGAGGCCGGGCATGGTGGCTCACGCCTGTAATCCCAGCACTTTGGGAGGCTGAGGCGGGCAGATCACCTGAGGTCAGGAGTTGAAGACCAGCCTGACCAACATGGAGAAACCCCGTCTCTACTAAAAATACAAAATTAGCCGGGCATGGTGGCACATGCCTGTAACCCCAGCTACTCAGGAGGCTGAGGCAGGAGAATCGCTTGAACCCAGGAGGCGGAGGTTGAGGTGAGCCCAGATTGTGCCATTGCACTCCAGCCGGGGTGAGAGAGCAAGACTCTGTCTGGAAAAAAAAAAGAAAAAAAAAGAAAAACAAGACCATATTGAAAAATCTATATATTCTTCAGAAAAATATTAGATACAGATATAAATAAGAGACTAATAAAGTGCATGAATAAATATCAAGACTAAGTATTCTGCTTATTAATCTTAATGTTCAGAAGATTAGCATAAAGATATAACTTTTATTTTGCTGTAATGTGCACATGTTGTTTTATTTAAAAACGTATTTTTAAAAATGTTTTTTGAATGAAACAATTTTTCTAGGGCTAGCAATATAATAAAATCAATTTGTGGGTCAAAATATTATATAATTTCAGTTAAACATGACCTTATACTTTTAGGAATAATACAGTTACAATAAGTAATATGGTCACTCTCATCCTATATCAAATTATATTACATTATGAATGATATAACATTAACCATGAACTTTAACTTTTCAAAAAACTGTTTTTTGGTTAATTCAGAAGAGTTATTTCTGCCTGTGTGATCAGCAGAGAGAAACAAAGCTGTGTTGGGCCATGGAAGTGAGGCTGCCACCGGCTCACTCGCTAGAGATGGGGCCTATTCCAGCCCAGTGAAAGAGGGCTGAAATCCATGCTTTGTGATTTTACACACTACTTCACAAGACAGACATCTGGAGAAGAGTGGAAACCCTAAGTATAAAATGCTAAAGTACAAGCAGTAACAAACAAGAGTCTTTGTTTAGGAACTGTACTGCACGCTAGATACTGTGCTAGGCACAGCCCTTTACATATGCTATCCCATTCAACTGCCCACAATCTTGTGGGCAGCATTATCCCATCTTAGGAAGGAGAAATCTGAGGCCTGGAGAGATTTAATAACTTGCCAGCATCACACAGCTAGTGTTTTAGTCATCTGAGGATGCCATACTAAAATACCATAAATGGAGTGGCTTAAACAACAGAAATTTATTTTCTCACATTTCTGGAGACTAGCAATCCCAGATCAATGTGCCAGCCAATTTGGTTCCCCGTGAGGAACCTCTTTCTGGCATGCAGACATCCATCTTCTCACTGTGTCCTCATACGGCAGAGAGAGAGACAGAGAGCTCTCTCCTGTCTCTTAAGGACACTAACCCTACTGGATCAGAGCCCCACTCTTACGCCTTTATCTAACCTTAATTACCTCCATAAATGCCCTATCTTCAAGTACAGTAACAACGGGAGTAGGGCTTCAACATATCAATTTGGGGATGGGGTAAACAAACATTCAGTTCATGAGAGCTGGTAAGTAGTGGGGCCAGGATTCACATTATACGACTATGAACTCCTGCCCCTAGCATCTACATTTCATTGCTTCTTTACTTATATTATCTTGCAGATGGGGACAAGGGGAGCTACAGGGAAGTACTGATTGCTGCCTAAATAGTTGGAGTCACCTGCTCTGAATTTTTTTTACTATACACTGTATAACTCCTATTATCGGTAAGAGTTATGTAACTCCATTGTGATAGTAGTAAACTATCACAACAGATGGCACTTAATTTGTAGTGATATAGTTCAATTTGGGGACTATGGAAATAAGGCTTGGAAAACTCCAAGTATAAAAAATGTTAAAAATTTTAACCTATTATCTTAATAAAATACTTTAGTTTTTGTTGTTTGTTTTTGAGACAGGGTCTTGTCTTGCTCTGTCACCCAGGCTGGAGTGCAGTGGTGTGATCTCGGCTCATTGCAATCTCAGCCTCCTGGGTTCAAGCAATCATCCCACCTCAGCTTCCTGAGTAGCTGGGTCTACAGGTGCACACCACCACAGCTGGCTAATTTTTTTTTTTTTTGGTAGAGACAGGGTTTTGCCACATTGCCCAGGTTGGTCTCAAACTCCTGGGACCAAGCAATACTCCCATCTCTGCCTTTCCAAGTGCTGGAATTACAAGCGTGAGCCACTGCACCCTGTCAAAATACTTTAGTTTTTTAAAAGTCAATCCAATCTGAATTTTCCTTATATAAATAAAGTCTGCTTTATCACTTCTTAACAGAAAATAGACTTTTAGATTGCTGGTTATTTATTATTTTTCTGAAAGAATTGGAAATTCATTAGCATTGTGGAAATCAGGGTAGTGCATGGATTCTTTCTTTATTTTTATGTTTAGAGATGAAGGTCTCATTATGTTGCCTAGGCTGGGCTGGAACTCCTGGGATCAAGGGATCCTCCTGCTTCAGCCTCCCAAGTAGCTAGGACTACAGGCATGTGCCACTGGGATGGCCTGGGCCAGACCAAGAATTCTTTCTTAAGACTTTTAACTTTGAATCCTAAGCTTTTCACTAGAAAGTTTTAATTTTTTGATCTCCTTTAAAGAAAATTCTTACATTTCCATATATAAAGAACTATATGGGAAGATACAACAAAGAAACAAAGAGTTTCTTTATGTTCCTGTTATTATTTTAACTTTATTAAGGTTAATATCAAGCAAACAATTAAAAGACATTAATACCTGCTAATAATCAGGTGCTTTTACATTTTCTTTGTTTTTAAAGAGACAGGGACTCACTCTGTCACTTAGGCTTGAGTGCAGTGGTGCGATCACAGCTCACTGCAGCCTCAAACTCCTGGGCTCAAGTGATCCTCCCACTTCGGTCTCCCAAAGTGCTGGGATTACAGGTGTGAGCCACTGCACCCAATCTGCTTTTACATTTTCTTTTGGTGCTTTTAATATGTCATCCCACAACTTTCTAGCCTCTATGATTTCAAGAGAAGTCAGCTGTTAATCTTACCGTGGTTCCTTCGCGTGTGAGGAATCCTTTCTTGCTGCTTTCATGATTCCTTGTCTCTCAACAGTTTATAATGTGACTAGGTATGGATTTCTTTGTGTTTATCCTACTTAGTGTCCATTGAGCTTCTTGGACAATGTGGATTAATATTTTTCATCAAACGTGAGAGTTTTTGGCTACTACTTCTTAAAATGTATCTTCAACCTCTTTCTTTCCTTTCCTGAAACTTTCATTACATTTATGTTAATACGTGTGCTGGTGTCCCACAGGTCCCCAAGACTGTTAATTTTTCTTGTTCATATGTCAGCTCTTATCTACCATTTAGTCTGTGAACTTTTTGTTACTACTGTACTTTCCAACTCCAGAATTTCTTTTTTTTTTTTTGAGATGAAGTCTTGCTCTGTCGCCCAGGCTGGAGTGCAGTGATGCGATCTTGGCTTGCTGCAACCTCTGCCTCCTGGGTCCAAGCTATTCTCCTAACTCAGCCTCCTGAGAAGCTGGGATGGCAGGCATATGCCACAACACTCGGCGTTTTTTTTGAGATGGAGTTTCGCTCTTGTTGCCCAGGCTGGAGTGCAATGGTGCAATCTCAGCTCACTGCAATCTCCACCTCCCGGGTTCAAGTGATTCTTGAGCCTCAGCCTCCTGAGTAGGTGGGATTACAGGCATGCGCCACCATGCCTGGCTGATTTTGTATTTTTAGTAGAGATGGGGTTTCACCATGTTAGCCAGGCTGGTCTTGAATTCCTGACCTCAGGTGATCCGCCCGCCTTGGCCTCTCAAAGTGCTGGGATTATAGGCATGAGCCAACCACGGCCAGCCTCAACTCCAGAATTTCTATTTGATTCTTTTAATAATTTAGATCCCTTTATTGATATACTCTACTTAATTAGTCACTGCCATCATAATTTCCTTTAACATTAAAAGGAAAGAATTTTCCTTTAGTTCTTTCAGTATATTTATAACAACTACTTTGAAGTCTTTCTCACTAAGAACCAACACTTGGGCCCCCTCAAAGACAGTTTATATTGCTTGCTTTTTCACCTTTGTATAAGTTGCATTTTCATAGTTGCATATCTCATAACTTTTTGCTGAAAACCAGACAGTTTAGATAATATACTGTAGCAACTCTGACTTCTGATCCTTGCTTTCAGCTTGTTGTTGATGTTTGTTTGTTTAGTGACTCGCCTGGACTAATTCTGAGGAGTCTGTTTTCCACAGCAGTGCACAGCCTCTGATGTCACTGCTCAGTTTTTCTCTTTTTTTCTTTTTAGAGAAAGGATCTCACTCTGTTGCCCAGGCTGCAGTACACTGGCATGATCATAGTTCACTGCAGCCTTGAGCTCCTGGACTCAAGCGATCCTTCCACCTCAGCCTCCTAAGTAGCTAGGACTAACAGACACATGCCACCACACCTGGTTAATTTTTAAAATTATTTGTGTAGATGGGGTCTCACCATGTTGCCCAGGCTGGTCTTTAACTCTTGGGCTCATGTGATCCTGCCATCTTGGCCTCCCCAAATGCTGGGATTATAAGCATGAGCCACTGCGCACAGCTGTCTTTTTTAAGTCTTGCTTTCTGGGGGGTTGTTCCTGGATCAGCATAGTTCAGCCGTCAGCCAATGACTGGTCAGAGTTTTTACCCAAACATCTTGAGTCAGCAGACTTCCATCTTTTGCCACTGGACTTGTGTGTAGCTTGGGGAAATGCTTTCAAAGATCAGGGAGTTTGCCAGTCTACCTTGTGTTCATCCAGGGAAAAGTAGCATGCAAGGACCTTCTGTGTTCTCTTCAAGAGAGCAGGTGTAGCCTTGTACATGCACACAGCTTTCTGGATGACATGAGTGTAATCTTAGTAGGGTCTACTTTACCTATCACTTTCCCTGAATCTCCCTGATAAATTTCTGGCTGGTCTGCCATTTTGTTGCTTTCTGCAACACTAGCTTTGCCAGACTGTTAGCAAATGAGACCTCTATCATTTTAAACAATATGCCTGGGCATGGATTTTTTTTTTCCCAAGCCCTGCTTTTAATAAAGTCAGCTCTCTTTGACAGGACAACAGATCTACCAGTGCTCATGGCTTACCCTGCCCGCCCAGGGAAGAACCTGAGGGACCACAGAGCTGGGGAATGGGAGCAGCTCCTGACTAAAATGACACAGACTGTCACTGATCTTACTGAGATTCAATAGCTTCCATGAGGCCTTAAATGGGTGTTGTTCGTTGTTGTTGTTGTTTTTGAGACAGAGTTTTGTTCTGTTGCCCAGCCTGGAGTGCAGTAGCGCAATCTCGGCTCACCGCAATCTCTGCCTCCTGGGTTCGAGCGATTCTCGTGCCTCAACTTCCCAAGTAGCTGGGATTACAGGTGTGCACCACCATGCCTGGCTAATTTTTATATTTTTAGCAGAGATGGGGTTTCATCATGATGGCCAGGCTGGTCTCGAAATCCTGACCTCAAGTCTCAGGTGATCCGTCTGCCTCAGCCTCCCAAAGTGCTGGGATTACAGGTGTGAGCCACCACGTCCAGCTTTTTTTTTTTTTTTTTAAACAATTTTTGTCAAGTTTTATCATTGCTTTCTTGGGAGAGGACTTGTTGAGCTCCTCACTCAAGCATTCCAAAAGCACGGCTCCTACATTTTATTTTGAACAGTTTTTTCTTTTTTCCCTATTCATAGTGTTCTAAAGATCAAGAATAAATATTTTAAAGAGCTACTTGCTGGACTTTGAAGCACCCACTGAGCAGATACGAATAACCCATGAAATTTAGAACTGCTGAAGAAAAAACTTTCCCAAAATCAGGATCAGAATTTGAGTATCAACATTTTCAGGATTCCTCAATATTGCTTCAACACAATACTTTCTATACTTACTCTTAAAAATTGGGTAAAATAGGTCCCCAGGCAAAGGCAAGATTAGGGACTAAAGGGACCATGCTCAATAAAGCCTGATGTTACCCTACCTGGGCTCGCTCCTCATCAAACTCCAGACAGCCCATACCATCCAGTCTTTGGAGATCAATCCAGCCTTTCCAGATAACACAGACTCCATTCAGAATCATGGGAGCCTTCAAATATACCTAAGACACAGAAAAGGATGAAAATAATTGAAAACCATCAGACACATGAAAATAAAAAGATTAAACTTACTTATATAAACTCTGTAGAAAAGATGAATAAAATTATGATTGACTGATTGATTGAGATGGAGTTTCGCTGTGCTCCCCAGGCTGGAATGCAGTGGCACAATCTCAGCTCACTGCAACCTCTGCCTCCCGGGTTCAAGCAATTCTCCCACCTCGGACTCCCCAGTAGCTGGGATTACAGGCGCTCACCATCATGCCTGGCTAATTTTTTTTTTTTTTTTTGTATTTTTAGTAGAGATGGGGTTTCACCATGTTGCCCAGGCTGGTGCTGAACTCCTGAGCTCAGGCAATCTGCCAGCCTTTGCCTCCAAAAGTGCTAGGATTACAGGCGTGAGCTACCATGCCCGGCCAGACACTTTGATTTTTGAATGTTGGGTAGAAAGATGGAAAACAATTGGAAGCCACCACCCTCTGAAGAGAGCATGCACTGCTTCCCTCAACGTGGGTTCCTGGAGCATGCAGGATCAGGCTGTTGATACTCCCCTCAGTTTTATAAGCTATCTCACAGATTCCTGATAATTAATCTTTTTTTCTTTTTATTTTTTTGTCTTGTTAGCCAGAGTTGATTTCTACTGCTTTTAACCAAAGAACTTTAACTGGTATAATATTTACTATTATATCACATTAAGTAGTATGTGGTTATCTTTAGGTGTCCATAAATAATTCGGAACAAAACACTGCTATCCTTTATATGGGACTTATGAAATTTAATTCAAGCTATTTCACAGTTTTTTATTTATTTATTTTTTACTTTTCCCAATAGGCAACAGTAAGGTGAATCAGTCTTTTAAATATAGTAGAAAAGTTTTAAGGTCACAGGGTTTGACTACATGTATCAATTATTTATCTAGAAACTGGTAAGTTAACCCAAAATCTACTTATTTCAACTCCCTGTTGAAATTCTTAAATACTATAACAAAATCAACTAAGACAAAAAGGCTAGGCACCAGTGGCTAATGCCTGTTATCCCAGTACTTTGGGAGGCCAAGGTGTGAGGATCATTTGAGGCCAGGAGTTCAAGACCTGCCTGGGCAACACAGAGAGACCTCACCTCTAAAAAGTAAAAAAATAAAAATAAAAAAATGAATAAACTTAACCAAGCATCTTGAATTCTTAATAAATGGAAATGTGTTTATTCCTTACACATAATACCTTTAGATGACAAAATTAGCCAGGCTTCATACTGTATCACATCCAACAAGTATATCTACTTACACATTAGAGAAATATCGAAAATAAGTATCCTAGGATATGGTAACATCTCAAGTCACTGACAAATTAAATATGTTCACTATACTTTATGCACTGCAGTTTAAAAAAGTACCAATAAATTTTAAAAAGATCTTCAAGATTCCTGAAACCAAAAGTATCTCTCATCTGGTGAACCTTCAGCTTCATGAGAAAATTCCTACATCCTGGCTAGGCGCGGTGGCTGATGCCTGTAATCCCGGCACTTTGGGAGGCCAAGTTGGGCGGATCACTTGAAGTCAGGAGTTTCAGACCAGCCTGGCCAACATGGCAAAACCCCATCTCTACTGAACATAACAAAAATTAGCCAGGCATGGTAGCGCACAGCTATAATCCCAGCTACTCGGGAGGCTGAGGCAAGAGAATCACTTGAACTCGGGAGGCAGAGATTGCAGTGAGCCGAGATAGTGCCACTGCACTCCAGCCTGGGTGACAGAGTGAGACTTGTCTCAAACAAAAAAAAGAGAGAGAAAAAAAAGAAAACTTCTGTTTTACACTTTTATTAACTTTTCTTCTGAAACAACAACAATAAAAAACAACAACAAAAAACAAAAACCCATTTCTGCACCATTCTTTTTCAAGTAAATAAATAACTCTAGAATAAAAATTGCTTTAGGTATACATCATACCCAAATTTAGATCATTTTTGATCACCAAATTAATTCTCATATTGGCTCAAAATACAATTGTTCCCAAGAGTAACTATCCACCCAGAAAGGACGGTGTTAATTCTATCATCCTGAGGTGAATATTTTATTGTGATAGAGATAAACAATATAAGAGAAATTTATTACAGTTTCTACAATCTTCCCACTCCTAATACCACACTAACCTAATAGTTACTTTTAAAAACATAATTTTAGGGCTGGGCACGGTGGCTCACGCTTGTAATCCCAGCACTTTGGGAGGCTGAGGCGGGTGGATCACAAGATCAGAAGTTCGAGACCAGCCTGGACAACAAAGTGAAACCCCGTCTCTACTAAAAATACAAAAATTAGCTGGGCATGGTGGCGGGTGCCTGTAATCCCAGGTACTTGGGAGGCTGAGACAGGAGAATCGCTTGAACCCAGGAGGCAGAGGTTGCAGTAAACTGAGATCGTGCCACTGCACTCCAGCCTGGGTGACAAAGCTAGACTCTGTCTCAAAAACAAATAAACAAACAAAACACATAATTTTAGGTCTTCTCTACCTTGTTTAACATGAGTTTCTGAATAAACCAGCATAGGTTAATATTTACTGCCTTGAACAAGGTATTTTTAATGCAGAGGAAGTGGGAATTCTTCAGTGAGTTTTCAAACCTGCAGATTATCAAATATATATTTATTAACGAGGCTTTTCATTTACCTGCACCAAATGTATTTCCTTTGGGAAATCCAGTGCTTTGTGAGCTAAAATCTGGCATTATTTATTACCTGTTTAATTATATAAAAATCTGTAAAACAGTTTCTCATTTTGAGGAAAAAGCTGGAAGCATCTTTTTTTTGAAACTCATTTCAGTAGTCTCTTCAGACTCTTGGATTCTTTTTGTTTTTAGAGATGTTTAATAACAATAACTGACTGCCAATAATTATAAACATGATAAAAAAATTACCTCTGAGATACCTTTAAAATAGTACTTATAGAATTTATACCCTCTGGCTGGCCGCAGCAGCTCATGCCTGTAATCCTAGCCCCTTAGGAGGCCAAGGCAGGAGGTCATGAGTTCAAGATCAGCTGGGACAACATGATGAAACCCTGTCTCTACAAGAAATAACAAAAATTAACTGGGCGTGGGTGTGTGTGCCTGTAGTCTCAGCTCCTTGGGAGGCTGATGCAGGATAATCGCTTGAACCTGGGAGGCAGAGGTTGCAGTGAGCTGAGGTCGCACCACTGCACTCTAGCCTGGTAGACTGAGCAAGACTCTGTCTCAAAAAAATAAAAAATAAATAAAAATTTATGCTTTCCTGGTACATATTTGTGTCATTCCCCTTCACTACTGAACCCAATCATTTCTGCTAAGGGCTGCAATAAACCACAATGAACCAATTTCTACTTATATTGGAAAATAACCAAAATACAAAAGGTTCCATTTCTCCTCCTATTTGGACCAAGGGAAATAGTCTTTAGTTACAACTGAAACCGTTTAACCACACATTTCCTTCTGTTCTGATAAGTGCTCATTCCCTTCCACACTGTGCATTTAAAACTCCACCAATGTGCATCAAATCAAACAAGTGACTATGCCGACCTCTGCTCAACCCATCACAAAACCTAAAAACAATACCCCTTATTTCATCTCAGTGAATCTTGATTTACCATCTCTCATGAAGATTTCCATCCAGAAATCTTCATTAATCTTAAACCCTGTTAGAAGGCTAACAGGTGGACGGAGTAGCATGCACTGGGGATTGTCATTTCACCTATTAGCACACCTCATTATAAATTCTAATCATGGAGACATCTTTTCTAATAGCAAAGTCAACTTTACACCACTTGAACTGGATTTTATATTAGTCATAAATGATTTATATTCTTTAGAATTGAAGATTCCACAATCTCTTGGCTTATTCTTTTTAAAAAAATTATTATTATTTTTGAGACAGAGTCTCACTCTGTCTCCCAGGCTGAAGTGCAATGGCATGATCTTGGCTCACTGCAACCTCTGCCTCCTGGGTTCAAGTGATTCTCCCTGCCTCAGCCTCCCGAGTGGCTGGGATTACTGGTGCATGCCACCACATCCTGCTAACTTTTCTATTTTTAGTAGAGACGGGGTTTCACCATGTTGGCCGGGCTGCTCTCGAACTCCTGACCTCAGGTGATCCGCCCGCCTTGGCCTCCCAGAGTGCTCGGGTTACAGGGATGAGCCACCGCACCGGCCAGCTTATTCATATTAATGTCCATAGTCAAAAATATTTTCCTGGCTGGGCACGGTGGCTCACACCTGTAATCCCAGCACTTTGGGAGGCCAAGGCAGGGCAGATCACCTGAGGTCAGGAGTTCGAAACCAGCCCGGCCAACATGGCAAAACCCTGTCTCTACTAAAAATACAAAAATTAGCCAGGCGTGGTGGTGGGCTCTTGTAATCCCAGCTACTCGGGAGGCTGAGGCAGGAGAATCATTTGAACCCGGGAGATGGAGTTTGCAGTGAGCCGAGATCATGCCATTGCACTCCAGTCTAGGCAACAACAGCAAAACTCTGTCTCAAAAAAAAAAAATTTCCTTATAAAATTACTAAATTTTTTAAAAGCCCATTTATTACTTATTTATAAATGTTCTTTCATGACAAAGAAAACCAATGATCTGTTTTGGGAAATTTCTAAATGGTTTCAGAAAATGAGTAAAATTCTTTGTTTTTTGAGATGGAGTTTTGCTCTTAATGCCCAGGCTGGAGTGCAGTGGTGCGATCTCGGCTCACTGCAACCTCCACCTCCCAGGTTCAAAGGATTCTCCTGCCTCAGCCTCCCAAGTATCTGAGAGTACAGGCACCTACCACCACACACCGCTAATTTTTGTATTTTCAGTAGAGACGGGGTTTCACCATGTTTGCCAGGCTAGTCTTGAACTCCTGACCTCAGGTGATCCGCCTGCCTCAGCCTCCCAAAGTGCTGGGATTACAAGTGTGAGTCACCGCACCCAGCCAGAAAATGATGACAATTTTTAATCAAGACTAATGACTGCAATTATAATTAAAAATAATATTTAGATGATCCTACTGATTTATTTAGATGTTCTCATTCAAATAAATACAGTTTTATGTGTACATCTTCAAAGTAAATGTTTGGTGCTTTCATGTATTCATGAATACCAAACTTCAAAGTATAAAGAAAATAAAATTCTGTCTCAACAGTTTGGCATTTTATAATGCAATTCAATAATGTCATTTAATACACAGTGAAATGCTTCTGTCAAAAAAAATGTCATTTAAGCACAAAGACAGTTTTTCACTGAAAATGATTCCTTATTTCAAACTTTAAAAAGAAAAGTTATTAGAATATGAACTAGGGATTAAACCCATTGTCCTAGAACAATGAAATATTTTATACAAAATTGATTTAAAATGGGTAAACAGATGCAGCTAACCATACATGAGAAAAACAAGAAAACAGTTTATCTTTCCAAAAGTAAAATATCACAAATATGTTTGAGACTTCACAGCAGGTTAAAAAGTGACTACAGTGTCACATCTTGTGTTCTTCTGGAAAAGTAAGGGAAAAGCTAGTTTAACACAATTTTTAATCATCTCAAGCTCTAAATATAAGTATTTGTGATGTTATATTCAATTTAAATTATACATGATATCACCTAATTTTCACATTCTGTGGCTTTAAATTTCCCACCACTCATGCAGCAGAGCTTCAGCAAAAACATGTTTGTACCATCAACTGTGGTATCACCCATACAATGGAATATTACTTGGTCATAAAAAGGAATGAAATGTTTATACACACAACAACACAGAATGAACCTTGAAAACATAATACTAAGTGAATGAAGCTAGAAAAAGGTTACGTATTATATGAAACGTGCAGAAAGCTGGCTGGCGCAGTGGCTCATGCCTGTTAATTCCAGCACTGTGGGAGGCGAGATGGGCAGATCATCTGAGGTCAGGAGTTTGAGATCAGCCTGACCAACATGGAGAAACCCCGTCTCTACTAAAAATACAAAATTAGCTGGGCGTGGTGGCACATGCCTGTAACCCCAGCTACTCGGGAGGCTGAGGCAGGAGAATCGTTTGAACCCAGGAGGCGGAGGTTGCAGTGAGCCAAGATCGCGCCATTGCACTCCAGCCTGGGCAACTAGACTGAATCTCCGTCTCAAAAAAACAAACAAAAACAAAAACAAAAAACCCCCCAGAAACGTACAGAAAGCTAAATCCAGAGCAACAGAGCAACACGAAGGAGATAAGTAGTTGCCAGGGGCACAGGGGAGTGGCAAATGAGGAGTAATTGCTACCATGTATGGGATTTCTTTATGGTGTGACGAAAATGTTTTGAAATTAAATGGTAATGATGGTTGCAGAACTCCGAATGTACTAAAAATCAATGAATCGTACACTCTAAAAGAGTGAATTTTATGGTATGTGAATTGTATCTCAATGAGCTGTCATTTTTTAAAGTTTGCTGCCAGGAGTGGTGGCTCACGCTTGTAATCTTAGCATACTTTGGGAGGACTGCTTGAGCTCAGGAGTTTGAGACCAGCCAGGGCAACATAGTGAGACCTCATCTCTACAAAAATTTTAAAAAATTAGCCAGGTGTGGTGTCACACAAATGCAGTCCCCGCTACTCTCTGCAGACTGAGGTGGGGAGGATCACCTAAGCCCAGGAGGTCGAGGCTGCAGTGAGCCATGATCGTGCCACTGCACTCCAGATTGGGATATAGAGCGAAACTCTGTCTCAACAAAAAAAAAAAAAGAAAGAAAGAAAGAAAGAATTAAAAGTTTGCAACAATTTTTATCTGCTACATATAAGGGATATCTATGAGATATCCAAATCAAGATTTTGAGGAGGCAGTTACATATGGGATTCCAGCATTCTGAGAATAGATCCGGGCTGTTATAAATCTGGCAGCCATCAACAATACCATGGTATTTAAATCCAGAGGAAAGGAAGAGACCCCCAGAGTAAGCAGGGGAAAAGAAGGGACCCAGGAAGAATCTGGAGCAAGTCCAACTTTTAGATGCTGGGTAGAAGAAAAAACCCCAGCAGGGCAGGCTATGAACAGCCAGTGAAGAAACCTGAAGGAACGCAGGCTAAAGGTTGTTACAGGCCCCATTTAAAATTTCCCCTTTGTTGGCTGCATTAGATGGAGTTCAGAAAACCTACAGGGGTTTGGGCTTACAGATATGTTTCAAGAAGGCCAGAAACGTCGCTGCGCAAAAATGTATGTGTTTGAGCCCATGTGCATTTTTCTAATGAAGTCCACTGCTTTCATCAAATGCTCCAAAGGGGTGTGCAAGGCAAAACGGATTCAATTATGATAGAAAAACTCCATTCTGCCTTTTCTCTCACAGACACAAAGATCCTTCTAATACAGGGCCTGAGATGGTAAATGTTCTTCTTTTAGCAAATGAACCAAACTTAAGTAGCTAAATATTACTAATCCTGTGTTTTGAAATTTAAGTATCAAAGGAAGAACCTAAGTCTACTTCTCATGTATTAACCTGTACAAATAGTTCTTTGAGGGTCTGGAAGGTACTTATTCTATGAATATCTAAATTTGGAATAAGCAGTGGCATCCTTACCTGTCTTTTCCTTTACAATACTATATAACTTACAGAAAAGATCATAGTTTCTAGGTAGCCGAGATGAGGAGACAAATTAAAGGTACAAAGGGATGGCAGAGTTCCCTCTTTTGAGTGATTCTAAAGAGAATTTCAAGGCAATTAAAACAGAGTAACTACAGATTTGCAAACAAGACCCCCATGCACATCAGTACTGAGTCATAAAATCAATACACACAGAAACCAAGTGTCAAAGCTATTGACAAAAGCAAGAAGCTGAAACTTCACTATCAAAAAATCCCTTTCGATTGGAAAGGATATCTCGATTCTCTGTAATAAGTTGTTAGAGCTTAAACACTGGTGGCTCTAGTCTATAAACTGACGTATTAAGAAAACGTAAGAGGGTGTGATCATTCATTACTCCTTAGGTTCTCAGTAAATATTTAAATACTGATTAATAGAAGAACAGAAAACAGCTAGAATCTAGAATTTTTTTCTTGTAAGTTTCCTATAATAATTTCCATTTGAAAAGATCCACCTATTCCACAAATGTTTATTACCTGTTAACTATGTGCAGGAAATGCTTATAAGGGCAGTGGGGATATATGATGAGTTCAAAAAGATTTATTTCACCCACCCAAAAAGAGATTCCAGCACTACAATAGCACTGCTCATTAACTTAAAGTTTTTAATGAGGAAGAGCTGAATATATAAAAAAAGAACTGTTGGTCGGGCGTGGTGGTTCACGCCTGTGATCCCGGCACTTTGGAAGGCTGAGGTGGGTGGATCACTTGAGGTCAGGAGTTGGAGACCAACCTGGCCAACATGGTGAAATCCAATCAATACTAAAAATACAAAAATTAGTTGGACATGGTGGCGCACAACTGTAATCCCAGCTACTCAGGAGGCTGAGGCAGGAGAATCACTTGAACCCAGGAGGCAGAAGTTGCAGTGAGCCAAGATGGTGCCACTGCACTCCAGCCTGGGCGACAGAGCAAGACTCCATCTCAACAACAACAACAACAACAACAACAACAACCGATTTGAATAACTAGTGTGATGTCATATTCATGACTGGAAAGACTACAAATGACAATTTATCCCAAAGTAATCTTCAACAAAATTCCAATGAAATATCTGAAATATCAAAATAATGTTTTTTAGAATTTGGGAAGTCTACAGTTCACATAAAACAATCAGGCCATCCATGAGAAATTAGAGAAAGAGTAATTTTTTGCCCTTTCAGATACTAAAACATACAACACAACCAATAAATATATAGGAGTGCTGTGGCAGTCAGCTACAACTTAATGGAACAAAACCAAAAAATTCAAAAATGAAACCAAGTATATAAATACTTAACATATGAAAAAGGCAACACTTAAAATCAATAGTAAAAGGATATTTTATTTAACCAGTGGAGTTGAAAAAACTGGCTAACCATGTGGAAAAGAATAGTTTAGAACAAAATTAACATAACTAACCAAAAATTATGAAAAAAAGTTCACTAACATATTAAATCAGAACAAGATAACTATTTTAAAACAAATATTAAAATAAATTGAAAAACATTTCAATAACATGTATCAGGAGGGAAAACAGGTTATATTACATTGTCAGGGGGAGGGTAAACTGGCTAATGATTTTGGGAAGGCAATTTGGGGGAATAAGGGTGCATTTTCCTTTGACACAGCAATGCCACGTCTGTGAATTAGCCTAAAACTTAATCAAAGATGTAAAAAAAAATTCTATTACAAGAATGTTCATTCTCAGGGGATTTTTGTAAATAATGGTAAATGATCAGAAATAACCTAGACGCCCAATGATAATGAGCTGAATAAATAAACTTCCAAATTGAACACTGACCTTTAAAAAGCCTGCTAGAGGATAGGCGCGGTGGCTCACGCCTGTAATCCATGTGCTTTGGGAGGCCAAGGCAGGCAAATCATCTGAGGTCAGAAGTTCGAGACCAGCCTGGCCAACATGGTGAAACCCCGTCTCTACTAAAAATACAAAAATTAGCCGGGCATGGTGGCAGGTGCCTGTAATCCCACCAACTCGGGAGGCTGAGAAAGGAGAATCACTTGAATCCAGGAGGCAAAGGTTGCAGTGAGCCAAGATTGCACCACTGCACCCCAGCCTGGGCGAAAGAGTGAGACTCCATCTCAAAAATAAAAAGCCTGCTAGAGGCCGGGCATGGTGGCTCACGCCTGTAATCCCTGCACTTTGGGAGGCCAAGAAGGGTGGATCACGAGGTCAAGAGATCAAGACCATCCTGGCCAACATGGTGAAACCCCGTCTCTACTAAAAATACAAAAATTAGCTGGGTGTGGTGGCACGCACCTGTAGTCCCAGCTACTCAGGAGGCTGAGGCAGGAGACCTGCTTGAACCCGGGAAGCCGAAGTTGCAGTGAGCTGAGATCATGCCACTGCACTCCAACCTGGTGACAGAGCGAGACTCTGTCTTAAAAAAAAAAAAAAAAGCCTGCTAGAATCCAGGCAGGTCTGCTGATCCTTGACCACCAAAAACAAGCATCCCTCACCACCAAAAACAAGCATGTTACACGGGATGTTTACATTATGCTGTTAATGGAAAAAAACATAGTAAATACTGGGTAAAGAAAACCATTAAGCCTACACACATACACACACACACGACTTGCCATTGTTATACTCTATCAAATCTACATGAACACTGTATCAGTGAACACTAAACCACTGTTCCTAGGGGAAATGCAGACGTAGGTTCCTTCTAGCCTAACATCTTCCTCAACTGATCAATACATAATTTTGTTTTATGTATGCTTCTGTTCAGACATCATCTTCAATATATATTGCTGATTCACTAACACTGAACTCACAGCTGACAGCACTGTAACTCATGACTGAAGGGAACTTATCTAACATGTACATTTTCTCCATAAGGCACATTACGGCCTTCTTGCATTTAAGGAATACTAGACTGCACTTTAACATTATGCTTGTGGGCCATTTTAAACAGTGAAATCACCAACAAAAAGCACAAAATGAAAACTTATAAAACATAGAGAACATCACAGCAACACTGACAGTAATTTCTTTCCAAAGGAGACATGCTGTTTTTTCCCTGACAATGAAGAGTTGTTCCTACCCACAGACCAATGAATCATCCAACAGTAATACTGGGATGGCCATAGGCACCCAAGAAAACAAGATATTCCACTGAAGAAGTATGTACCCTGTCGCTTGCTGTAATCATTTCTGTAGTCTATTCAACAGATTCCTTTAGAAGATACTTGGTTCTGACTCATCCTCCTTTAGCCACATGCACCTCCCTGTTCATAAATGGACAGTCAGCTGCTCAACTGTCAGATAATCTCTACAGTCATTCAATCTTGTTTGCCTCTGAATCATAACTGGGTTGCATGTATGTGTAAAAATAGCTTCTTCTATAGTGATTTAATGTAATTTACCGATCATCTTACAGTCCAAAAGAGAAATCATAAAATGAAAAACTAAAGAAAGTGTCTGGAGGCCGGGTGTGGTGGCTCACACCTGTAATCCCAGCACTTTGGGAGGCCGAGGCAGATGGATCACGAGGTCAGGAGATCGAGACCATCATGGCTAACACAGTGAAACCCCATCTCTACTAAAAAAATACAAAAAAATCAGCTGGGCGTGGTGGCGGGCACCTACTCAGTAGGCTGAGGCAGGAGAATGGCGTGAACCCGGGAGGCGGAGCTTGCAGTGAGCCGAGATGCGCCACTGCACTCCAGCCTGGGCGACAGAGCGAGACTCCGTCTCAAAAAAAAAAAAAAAAAAAAAAA
The DNA here is from genome assembly GCF_000001405.40 of Homo sapiens. Taxonomy (NCBI): domain Eukaryota; kingdom Metazoa; phylum Chordata; class Mammalia; order Primates; family Hominidae; genus Homo; species Homo sapiens. The sequence continues at coordinate 67,055,361 of NC_000016.10, read as the reverse complement.
AAAAGAAAGTGTCTGGAATTCAATAGATTTAATACACTGTGTGTGTGTGCGTATACACATATAAATACATATTCAATAAATGGATACTAAACTCAGACTTCTGTTAAGAATAAATTAGACCCTCCAAAAAGTCATAAAAATGTATTAACTTGCCACCAATATGCTCTCCACATAATTATTTTAATTTGGTTTCACTGTATTTTTCTTTTCTTACATGAAAAGCTGAGCCAAGATAAATTCTGACTTTCACCCTTCAGTTGCAGCCATTTCCTCTGAAGTGATGTAAAGCAGTAAAAATCTACCAGCTAGATTCTCAGATAAAATGTACCCGATAAACAAGAAGAGGATACTAACAAAAAAGGAACATTTGTAGCACACACAAAAAAGAGCTCTTGGTGAAACCCTGTCTCTACTAAAAAAAAAAAAAAAAATACAAAAAATTAGCCAGGCGTGGTGGTGGGCACCTCTAGTCCCAGCTACGCGTGGGAGGCTGAGGCAGGAGAATGGCGTGAACCCGGGAGGCGGAGCTTGCAGTGAGGCGAGATCGCACCACTGCACTCCAGCCTGGGCGACAGAGCGAGACTCCGTCTCAAAACAAACAAACAAACAAAAAGCTCTGTTGAAATATAGTAGAAATTAAGACCCAATATAAGACTCTGAAGATAAAGTAGAGGAAATCTTCTGGAAGGTAGACCAAAAAGACAAAAGAGACAGTAAGAAAATAAGGTAACAGGATCATTCCTGTGGGTCTAACATCCAAATAGTAGATGTTCCAGAAAAGAATAGAAAAAATATAAGAAAGGAAGTCATCAATTAATATAAGAAAATTTCCTTACGAAGGACACAGCTGCCATACTGTAAAGGGCTGGCAAGTACCCTGCACAAGGAATGACTGTGGACCGACACTAGGTTACATCATAGATAAATACCAAAACATGGAGACAAAGATTTTACAAACTTCCAAAGACGGGGAAATTGGTCACAAACAGATCAGGAAACACAATGACTTCAGAGATTTTCAACTGCAACATTTAAACCAAGACAATGAAACAAGGCCTTCTTAACGAAAATAATCTCTAACCTCAAACTCTAGAACAAGACAAACTTACAATAAAGTATCGTAGAATAAAGACACTTCAAATATGCAACAACTCTGTTATCCACAAAGAGACCGTAAACCAAGAAACAGGAAGACAGAAAAACTGAAAAAGAAACAAAAAGAAAAAAACAAAAAAGCCCCTCACAGCAGAGGATGAACACAGAAATCAGTATGAAAGCAGTGCGCTGGATATAGAGGACAATCAGTCTAGATTGAAGAGATGGACATTCTGAGGATGGTCATCACCAAGATCCTGAGGGCAAAATGCTCATATATAAGCCTTCCCCACTGCTGGGACCAGCTAAGGACACTCATTTGAGCTGACAAAGGTGATGTGCTTTGACTCACTCCTGTGAAAAGAAGGTAGCTCTGGAATGAGACATCAATTTTGACAAAAGAAATTAAAAAAAAAAAAAAAGGATAAAAGAAGGTAGGTCATGGTGAGCCTAGAAGCAGAAAATACCAGAGCAGCTAACTCCCTCTGACCATATTCCTCCACATCTCCGGCACACGGTGAGCAATGGTTTCAGTGTGCCAGATGCCCTAACTCCAGTGTGAGCCCTAGGTTTCCCATAATCCACTCATGACTGTGCTCACAAGCTTCCCCAGGGAGGCTCTAAAAATTCACAGGGAAGCTGAATCCGGACTTGACCCTAAGATTCTGTTCAGCTCATCTTCTAGGAGCTGCATCTGAAAGTGACATTAGAAGGCTGGGTGCGGTGGCTCACGCTTGTAATCCCAGCACTTTGGGAGGCCGAAGAGTGTGGATCACAAGGTCAGGAGATCGAGACCAGCCTGGCTAACACAGTGACACCCCATCTCTACTAAAAATACAAAAAATTAGCCAGGTGTGGTGGTGAGGGGGCCCGTAGTCCCAGCTACTCGGGAGGCTGAGGCAGGAGAATGGCGTGAACCCAGGAGGCGGAGCTTGCAGTGAGCCGAGATCGCACCACTGCACTCCAACCTGGGTGACAGAGCAAGACTCCTCTCACCAAAAAAAAAAAAAAAAAAAAAGAGAGAAAGTGACATTAGAGTCCGTTGTTTACACTGCCCTGAAGTGTGTGCTTCCTAGTTTCATTTTTTTTAAAAACTAAACAATGCGTTATTTAGAGATATATGCACAGGAAATAAAATGACAAAGAAAAGTAAGGGAACAAATACATCAATCAGGATAGTGATTATTTTGTGGGGGGAGACGGGTTGAGGAAAAGAACTGTAAAGTTTTCTTTCTCTTTTTTTCTTTTTTTTTTTTTTGAGATAGCATCTTGCTCTGTGGTATGAACACGGCTCACTGCAGCCTTGATTTCCAGGACTCATTTTGAGATAGCATCTTGCTCTGTGGTATGAACACAGCTCACTGCAACCTTGATTTCCAGGACTCAAGGGATCCTCCTGCCTCAGCCTCCCAAGTAGCTGGGACTACAGGCCTGTATCACGACACCTGGCTAATTATTTTATTTTTTTGTAGAGATGGGGTCTCACTTTGTTGCCCGGGCTGGTCTGTAACTCCTGGGCTCAAGTAATCCTCCCTCCTTAACCTCTGAAAGTGCTGCAATTATAGGTGTGAGCCACCATACCTGGCCAACTGTGCAGGCAGTACTGTTCAACAGAAATATATAATGTGAATCACAAATGCAAGCCACATATGTAACTGTAAATTGTCTAGCAGGCATTTTTTTTTTTTTAAGAGACAGGGTCTCCCTCCTTCACCCAGGTTGGATTGCAGTGGCACCATCACAGCTCACTACAGCCTTGAACTCCTGGGCTCAAGCAAACCTCCCACTTCAGCCTCTCCAGGAGCTAGGACTACAGGCACACCCCACTATGCCCAGTCACTTAAAAAATGTTTTTATTTTTTAAGGATGGGGTCTCACTATGTTGACCAGGCTGGTCTCGGACTCCTGGCTTCATGCAATCTTCCCACCTTGGCCTCCCAAAGTGCTAGGATTACAGGCATGAGTAACTGCACTCGGCCTAGTAGGTATTTTTTAAAAAGTAAAAAGAGGTGAAATTAATTTTAATAATGTTACTTAACTCAAAACATCTAAAATTTTCAACATGGTATCAAGCAAGCAATATCTTGGGTCAGGCACAGTGGCTCACGCCTGCAATCCCAGCACTGCGGGAGGCTGAGGCAGGTGGATCACTTGAGCTCACAAGTTCGAGACCAGCCTGGGCAACATGGGAGGAGGGCTTGAGCCTGGGAGACAGAGGTTGCAGAGAGCTGAGATCGTGTCACGGCACTCCAGCTTGGGTGACAGAGCCAGAACTTGTCTCAAAATATATATATATATTCCTATTGCTATATATATGTATGCGTGTGTGTGTGTGTGTGTGTGTGTGTGTGTGTATACACATATATATATATGCCTGTAATCCCAGCTACTCAGGAGGCTGAGGCAGGAGAATAGCTTAAAACCCAGAAGGTGGAGGTTGCAGTGAGCCAAGATCACGCCACTGCGCTCCAGCCTGGGCAACAGAGCGAGACTCCAACTCAGAAAAAAAAAAACACAAAAAAAACACCAAAATCATATAATACATTTAACGTAGACTTGAAATAAGGCTCTCAGCTTAAACATTTTACCTATATATGTTGGTCATTTAGACATTTCTCACGTTTTACATAAACGTGGCAGGTTATGCTATTCATGATGACACTTAGAAAACTAATTTAGTTAAGTTGATAGAAATACATACAAAAACACACTGTGAAACAAACCCAGAAAAAATAATGAGTATAAAACTGGATCCATATATGTATGTGTGTGTGTACATATATATATATAGCAATATATTACATTATTTTGGATATATATTTTGGATATATATACATATATTTGGATCCATATATATATTACATTTTGGATCCATATAAATACATTACATTATTTTTGTTTTTCATACCAGGTTTCAAAATCTGGTTTGTGTTTTTTCACACATCACATGTGAATTCACACTAGCGACATTATAAGTGTTCAACAGCCACATGTGGATTGTATAATAGCTACCATACGGAACATCAGTCCTACTATACCTATGTTCCTTTTATTATTATTCCTAAAATGTACATGTTTTTATCTATTCTTTGTAAGACACATCTAACAAATGAAAAATAACTTAAAAGAATTCCTAAAAGGAAAATGCATCAAGTACAGTAGTCCCCGCTTAGCCACAGTTTTGCTCTCCATGATTTCAGTTACTCACAGTCAATCACGGTCCAAAAATATTATATGAAAAATTCCAGAAATAAACAATTCATAAGTTTTAAATTGCACTCCTTCTCTCCAGAGAGGTGAATCATCTCTTTGTCCAGCACATCCATGTTTTATAAGGAATGTGTCCATTAGTTACTTAGTGGCCATCCTGCTGCAGTATGGCAGTGCTTATGTTCAAATAACCTTAATTTTACATTGATTACTGTATATTGTTATTAGTGTTCCACTTTATTTTTTTAAACTTTTAGTTTTTTGGAGACAGGGTTTTGCTCTATTGCCCAGGCTAGAGTGTCATGGCTCAATCATAGTTCACTGTAGGCTCAAACTCCTAGGTTCAAGCAATTCTCCCACCTCAGCCTCCCAAATAGCTAGGACTACAGGTGCATGCCACCATACCCGGCTAATTTTTAAACTTTTTTGTACAGACAGGGTCTCATATTGCCCAGGCTGGTCTCAAACTCCTGGACTCAAGCAATCCTCCTGCCTTGGTCTCCCAAAACATTGAGATTATAGCTGTGAGCAGCCTTGCCCGGCCACGTTCTACTTTATTATTAGTTAAGGTTGTTAATCTCTTACTGTGCCTAATTTATAAACTAAACTTTATCATACGTATATATGTATATCTGTATAGGAAAAAAACAGCACATATATAGGATTTGGTACTATCAACAGTACAGGAATCCCTGAAAGTCTTAGAACGTTATATATACATATATATGTGTGTGTCTTAGAACATAATGCTATATATATTGACATATAATTTATATATTATATATTTATATATTATATATAATTTATGTGATATATATTACATATAAATATGTGATATATAAATTATATATATAACATATATTATATATATCACATATAATTTATATATGATATATTTATGATATATATATATCAGTAGAGTAACTTGGTGGACCAAAATAACTCTAAATAAGGCTTTGGAAGGTGGTATGTGGAGTTTGCATCAACTTACCTAATGATTACTTATTAGCAGTAGTGTAGTATGCAAAGAACAGACTTAGGGGTAAAAAATAAGTGGGTCTGGGTCCTGGCTGTACCAGGAAACAGATAATACGACTTTTGAAGGTTAACTTAGCCTCCTGGCCTCAGTTTCCTCAGCTGTAAAATCAAGCTATCACCAGATATGTTCTAAAATTAAACAGTTCTTCTATACAGTGCAGTATTAGGAGAATTAGTGATAATGTAAACCATCTAGCACAGTGTCCGGTGGTAGTGATCACCATAAAAACTGCTTTGCAGTTCTCAAAAAGCATTTAAAATGGTTCATGGGAGGCCAAAGTGGAAGGATCACTTGAACCCAGCCAGGAGTTCGAGACCACCCTAAGCAACATAGTGAGACCCCATCTCTACAAAAAGTAAAACAAAAAAAAACAGCTGGTGCGGTGGCATGTGCCTACAGTCCCAGTGAGGTGGAAGAATCGCTTGAGCCTGGGAGGTTGAAGCTGCAGTGAGCCATGGTTGTGCCATTGCATTCCAGCTTGGGAGACAGAGTCTGTCTCAAAAATAAACAGAATGGGGCCGGGCGCGGTGGCTCACGCTTATAATACCAGCACTTTGGGAGGCCAAGGTGGGCAGATCACCTGAGGTCAGGAGTTCGAGACCAGCCTGGCCAACATGGTGAAACCGTCTCTACTAAAAGTACAAAAATCAGCCGGGTGTGGTGGCAGGCTCCTGTAATCCCAGCTACTCAGGAGGCTGAGGCAGGAGAATAGCTTGAATCCGGGAGGCGGAGGTTGCAGTGTGCCGAGATTGCGCCACTGCACTCCAGCCTGGCAGACAAGAGACTCTGTCTCAAAATAAGTAAATAAATAAAAAATAAATAAAATGGTTCAGAGTTCTGAAATACTCACAAATTACATAATGGTGATGGTTGTGAATATATTAAAAACCACTCAGTGGCCAGGCGCGGTGGCTCACACCTGTAATCCCAGCACTTTATGAGGCCGAGGTGGGTAGATCACCTGAGATGAGGAGTTCAAAACTAGCCTGACCAACATGGAGAAACCCTGTCTCTACTAAAAATACAAAAAATTAGCCAAGCATGGTGGCACATGCCTGTAATCCCAGCTACTCGGGAGGCTGAGGTAGGGAATTGCATGAACCCGGGAGGTGGAGGTCGTGGTGAGCTGAGATGGCGCCATTGCACTCCAGTCTGGACAACAAGAGTGAAACTCCATCTCAAAAAAAAAAAAAAGAAAAAAAAAAAAAAGGCTAGACACGGTGGCTCACAAGGTCAAGAGATCGAGACCATCCTGGCTAACATGGTGAAAACCCGTCTCTACTAAAAAAATACAAAAAAATTAGCCAGGCGTGGTGGCGGGCTCCTGTAGTCCCAGCTACTCGGGAGGCTGAGGCAGTAGAATGGCATGAACCCGGGAGGCAGAGCTTGCAGTGAGCTGAGATCATGCCACTGCACTCCAGCCTCGACAACAGAGCGAGACTCTGTCTCAAACAAACAAACAAAAAACACCATTCAGTTGTGTAATTGGTGAATTAAGATGCTGACTTTCGTTTCAATTTTTAACTTCATGTAATATCTTATTTTAATATTTTATAAATAGCTTTTAAAAAAGTGAGTATAGTCTCACTGAGAATATGTGTCAGGAAGAACCAAAAAGCTCAATTCTCTCCCCTGGTCAACTGCCTGAATTTTCTTTTTTTCTTCATATCCAATGTTTTCATACAGAATATTCAGGATGGATATTTTAACCTTGGCCAATACATTTAAGGAAAATAAAAAATGTTTTAGGGGTTTTTTTTGTTATTTGTTTGTTTGGAGATGGAGCCTTGCTCTGTCACCCAGGCTGGAGTGCCGTGGTGCGATCTCTGCTCACTGCAACCTTTGCCTCCCAGGCCCAAGCAACTCTCCCACCCCAGCCTCTCTCAAGTAGCTGGAACCAGAGGCATGCGACACCACGCCTGACCAATTTCTGCATTTTTATTTTTATTTTTTTTGAGATGGAATTTTGTTCCCAGGCTGGAGTGCAGTGGCGCGATCTTGGCTCACTGCACCCTCTGCCTCCCAGGTTCAAGTGATTCTCCTGCCTTAGCCTCCCGAGCAGCTGGGACCAGAGGCACCCACCACCATGCCCAGCCAATTTTTGCATTCCTAGTAGAGACGGGGCTTCACCATGCTGGCCACGCTAGTCTTGAACTCCTAACCCCAGGCGATCCACCCGCCCTGGCCTTCCAGAGCACTGGGACCAAAGGCACGAGCCACGGCACCTGACCCAGTAAAAAAATGGCCAAGAAATGTTCTGGATAGCAAAGGGATGGATAGAAACTCAGGACTAAAAAGCTGGTGTGAATAAATATCCTAAAAAAAAAATTTAAAGGGTTCTCCCAAATGGCTCATTACTTAGAACACTGTTCTGCAAACAGGGCCACACGATTATTAGAAACTATCATTGTTATTATATGGAACAAACTTTGAACATCTATGATATGGGCAGATTTGTTTATTTGAAAACATCTACATTCTTCTAATGTAAATGTCGAAGTCACAAGTTTCTAGGCCATCCTTTTGTTTTAATCTGAAGATTAACCTGTCTTTACATCTGAAGTTTTAAAACACAAAAAGGCTCAGTACTGACTGCATACATGGGTAAAAGGTTTTTCATCCACAAAAACAACCTGCCAACCATCCCCAGACTCAGCCCTTTCCCTCTTAGGTACAGCCTGCATTAGAGTCCTGAAAGCACAGCAATACTGCCAAGAGGCACGTTTTATTTTTTTAAATAGTTTCCACACATGGCATTGAAGACATTTCAAATGGTATTTATTTATTGAGACAGAGTCTTGCTGTGTTGCCCAGGCTACAGTGCAGTGGCATGATCTCAGCTTATGCCTGGCTAATTTTTTTTTTTTTTTAGTAGAGACGGGGTTTCACTATGTTGGCCAAGCTGGTCTTGAACTCCTGACCTTGTGATCTGCCTGCCTTGGCCTCCTAAAGTGCTGGGATTACAGGTATGAGCTACTGCGCCCGGCCCTTCAAATGTTATTTAAAATTCTTAGTTCCTAAACACACATCAATTTGAGGAGGCCCAGCTTAAACTGAAAAGCTTATAACAGATAATACTTTCCAACTGTTCACGTGCATACTTTCATAAAAAAAGGAACAATAATTAAAGTCTACCATATCACTATTATACTTTAGCTTGTCTGTAGCTTCCAATCCTCTGTACAAAACTAAGCATCAAAGAATAATATTGAAGAAACAAAGTCTCTGCACCTGAAGGTAAACAGCATTTTTATGCTGTTAAAAAGAAATTACAAACGTTTTCTTCCCTGTAAGATGAGGATCACAAAAGTATCAGTGCATGTATGTCTGCATCAATTAGAACACTACCTGCAAGGGGGCATGAGGGAACTTTTTGAAGCAATGGTGAACTTTGGTGGTGGTTATACTACTGAATACACAGTTGTCACAGACTTGTACACTTAAAATAGGTGAACTGTACTACATGTAAATTATACCTCAATAATGCTGATTGAAAAACTACAAGTGAAAATGGGAAATAGTAAAACTAGGGCATAGCAGTGCTACAAAGAAATTAACATCTTCAGACAACAACATTTCAATAGTCTTTATCCTGGCAGCATTTGAATTAACCATTAAAAAAAAATGATGGGTACATGCCTGTAATCCCAGCACTTTGAGAGGCCAAGGCGAGAGGATTGCTTGAGTCCAGGAGTTTGAGACCAGCCTGGGCAACATGGTGAGACCCCCATATCTACAAAAAAATTACCTGGGCATGGTGGCGCGTGCCTGTGGTTCCAGCTACTTGGGAGGCTGAGGTGGGAGGATCGCTTGAGCCCAGGAGGCAGAGGTTGCAGTAAGCCAAGATCACACCACTGCACTCCAGCCTGGGTGACAGAGAGATATCTAGTTTCAAAAACAAACAAACAACAACAAAAAAGGCCAGGCACAGTGGCTCAGAGCGCCTATAATCCCAACACTTTGGGAGGCCAAGACAGGCGGATCACCTGAGGTCAGGAGTTTGAGACCAGCCTGGCCAAAATGGTGAAACCCCATCTCCAATAAAAACACAAAAATTAGCCAGGTGTGGTGGCGGGTGCCTGTAATCCCAGCTACTTGGGAGGCTGAGGCAGGAGAATCGCTTGAACCTGGGAGGCGGAGGTTGCAGTGAGCCAAGATTACATCACTGCACTCCAGCCTGGATGACAGAGCAAGACACTGTCTCAAAAAAAAAAAAAAAAATGTAGAAAGTAGAAGGAAGGAGGGGAAGAGTGAAGGATGCTCTTCTCAGACATATTATTTCTGCCTTCTCTCACTTGGAATATGTAATTCAGGAAAGGTCATGAAAGAGAATTTCACCTTTACACTAAAATGGAAATAATGCAATCCAAAAGAAGAGAAAACGGGACTTCACAATCTTCAAGTGCTTCAGAGGTGCATTTACCATGTATGCAGATTCACGTACTCTAACTGGAAGGTACTATGACATACTAATTTTAAAACATTTTAATTTTTTTTTTTTCAGACAGAGTCTTGCTCTGTTGCCCAGGCTGGAGTGTTGTGGTACAATCTCAGCCCACTGCAACCTCCGCCTCCCGGGTTCAAGCAATTCTCCTGCCTCAGTCTCCCAAGTAGCTGGGATTACAGGCACATGCCAGCATACCTGGCTAATTTTTTGTATTTTTAGTAGAGGTGGGGTTTCATCACGTTGGCCAGTCTGGTCTCGAACTCCTGACCTCAGGTGATCCACCTGCCTCGGCCTCCCAAAGTGCTGGGATTACAGGCATGAACCACCCCACCTAGCCAAAACATTTTAATTTTTTCAGAAAGTCGACTTCCTCTCTTAGATTGAAAAATAACTAAAATAACTAAAATAAAAACTTTTCTTTAAAAATACAAACGCTCTGCCAGCTACAAAGGTGTCAAATATATATATATATATAAGCTTGCAGTTACCAGTTCTAAATTTTATGATTCCGTTATTATTAGAGTATTATAGTTTATCTAAAGCATATTTTTAAAAACCAGATTTCAATACACTAAACTGTCAATAACTAAGTGCTGTCAATTCATATTTTAGTCGAACTGAAATACTTAAAATCCAGATGTGACAAGGTATTTGTAAAGTTGTCTAATTTCTCTTGAAGAAAATCACACTCCAAAGCTTTACCATAGAGATCTTTTATTTGGAATGACTGGGCTATCTACAGAGAAGGAACTTCTTGAGCTTAAATAGGGATTTCTCAAAGCTAACATCAAGAAGTCCTGTAAACTCTGCCAAATTGTGGATGGTATATAAACAAACACAATATGTATTTTGGGACAAAGATCCTGCAGGCAAGTGCGTAAATGGTACCAGAAGAAGCAGAATCATAGACCTTTATTAGAAAAGGCCATTTAAAATAAAATTCTGTCCTCACTCATTAAATCCAATCTTGTTAGATTTTGCTTTATTTTATGCTCATAAAAATAAATTAAAAGACTTTTAAGTATAAAGTCCAGAAAGAAAAAAAATACAACTTATCAAAATTTTTAAAAGTAGCTACTCTAATGACATATACTTAATAAATACTTCTCGATGTCTGACATTAATGTATTTGACTATCAATTAAAATCATAAGCTATAAACAAGAATGTAACAACCATAGAAAAGTTTAACCTCTCTTTTTCTGAGGTCAATGTGGTAAAAACGAGATAGCATATTCAATTTCCACAGAAAAAAATGAACAGTAGCACTGTAAAGTTCATTTTTTTCCTTTTATGAAATGATTTTCATACCCCTTATCTTTAAAGTCATAAACTGGGATCGCAAAGTAAGTACATCCAATCATTATTTCAAAATCCCAATGAAGCTTTATGAGACACAGAATACATGTAAAAACCATTAATCTGACCACTCAAGACTAATAATTTATGGTCAACCATAATCACTTGCATTTATTTGAAATAAAAGTAATTGGAAATAAGTCCTAAGAGGAAAGATCAAAGGAACTGGAGTTGCCTGGTCTACACAATTTTAACTTAAGAATGATTTAAATTCTGATTAGTTGCTTTTCCCTTGTCTTTTGACAGCTAGATTAAAGAATTAAGAACATTTTGGCTGCCAGTGTTTGTAACACACCAGGATGGAACACTTGGGAAAGATGTAGTGTTCCAACATTGTTCAACTACCTGACGTGAAGCTTACCTAAGGCACACTGTAGCACAAACACTCTATCAATCAGTTAGCTATAATCTCACCCTACAGAACCATCAAATTGCCTAACTGTAGACAGGGGTTTACAATTTAAAAGGCATTTTCACATATTCTGGTACTACATTTAATTCTCACATGAGGCACATGAATAGGGCAGACATTCTGATCCTCATTTACATGTTAAGGAAAATAGTTATGACTGTCTTGACTCAAATCTAGAGCTCTTTCTATTATACTGTTATTAGTTTAAATCATTTCTGAGAAAGATCCTTATTAAGAGCCAATGTAGACAGCTCACCAGGTACCTGGGTATAAAAGTTTCAAATATATTTGAAGGATTATAAAATTCTGTGCTCTGACTTGGTCATATGTAAGGTATATACTTATAATCAGTCACCCGTTAACAGACCTTCCTTATAGAAGCCCTTGATTTGAAAATATTCTATAGCCACATAAGCAACAGAATGAATAAAAGGACTAATTTCTATGAGCCCATTTTCTTAAATCATAAAACTGTATTTCAAATAATAGAGAATATAGAGCTTTTTGTTTCCGCTCTATTAGGATTCTAATTTTTTCTGAGTTCGCTAAATTTAAGTGAGTATTATTGTAGCTGGCCTCCAAGATGGCCTCAATGATCCCAGCCTCCTGGTATTCACACCCCTGTGTAATCCCTCCCTCCCTGTTGAATGTGGGCTAGACTTAGTGACCAGCTTCTAATGAACAGGCTAAGCAACAAGTGACTCAAATAATAGATCATAAAAGGTATGAAAGTGACTTGAAGAATGGATCATAAAAGGCATGGTGGACCAGGCGCAGTGGCTCACACCTGTAATCCCAGCACTTTGGGAGGCTGAGGCAGGCAGATCACCTGATGTTAGGAGTTTGAGACCAGCCTGGCCAACATGGTGAAACCCTGTCTCTACTAAAAGTACAAAAATTAGCCACATGTGGTGGCATGTGCCTGTAATCCCAGCTACTTGAGAGGCTGAGGAAGGAGAATTGCTTGAACCCGGCAGGCAGAGGTTGTAGAGCTGAGATTACGCCACTGCACTCCAGCCTGGATGACAGAGCAAGACCCCGTCTCAAATAAATAAATAAATAAATAAAAGGCATGGTGGCTTCACTCTTTTTCTCTCTATGGAGAAGCATGACTAGGAAGTGAAGCCACCTACCAACAGGCAGATCCTTCAGTTCTAGTCAAGTCTTCAGAGACTGCACAGTCCCAGGCAAAAGCTTGACTGCAACCTCATGAGAGACACTGAGGCAGAACCACCCAGTGCAGTCAGTCCCAGGTTCCTGCAAAGGGGCACAAGGAAACCTTTGGGGGGGTGACTGAAATATATCTTGACTGTGGTAGCATCTACATGGGTGCATACATTTGTTAAAACTCAGGCTGGATGCAGTGTCCCATGCCTGTAATTCCAGTACTTTGGGAGGCCAAGGTGGGAGGATTGCTTAAGGCCAGGAGTTAGAGGCCAGCCTGAGCAAAATTTTTTTCTCTTCAAAAAAATTTAAAATTAGCCAGATGTGGTGGCAAATATCTGTCGTCCTAGTCAGTCAAGAGACAGAGGCAGAAAAAATAATGAAACACTTAGAAACAAATGATTTTTTAAAAAGCCTGGGCGTGGTGGCTCATGCCTGTAATCCCAGCACTTTGGGAGGCCAAGGCAGGAGGATCACTTGAGGTCAGGAGGTCGAGACCAACCTAGGCAATATAACAGAACCCCATCTCCACAAAAAATACAAAAATAACTTCAGGCATGGTGGTGCTGGGGTTACAGGTGAGATGCTGTGGTCCCAGCTACACAGGAGGCTGAGGTGGGAAGATCACCTGAGCTTGGGACATTGAGGCTGCAGTGAGCCATGACGGCGCCACTGTACTCCAGCCTGGCAACAGAATAAGACCTTGTTTTGTCAGGGGTAAAAAAAAAAAAAAAAAGAAGGGCAGGAGGATCTCTTGAGCCTAGGAGTTTGAGGTTTGAGGTTACAGTGAACTATGATTGCACCACTGCACTCCAGCCTGGGTGACAGAGTGAGACCCTCTCTCTTAAAAAAAAAAAAAAAAAAAAAAGTAAAGAAACAAGCTGCAATAACAAGCTCCCACCACAACCTCACATGCGCTAAACCAACCTAACCTGCTGTTCAAAATTGTTCCAGCCAGTTTTCCCATCCCGATGACAGTAACCCCATAGTCCCAGTTTCTCTAGCCAAAAAGTTGGAGTCATTCTTTTTTTTTTGAGATGGAGTTTCACTCTTGTTGCCCAGGCTGGAGTGCAGTGGCACGATCTCAGCTCACTGCAACCTCCCCTTCCCGGGTTCAAGCAATTCTCCTGCCTCAGCCTAAGTTAGAGTCATTCTTTATTCTTCTCTTTCTCACACGCCATATCTAATCCATAAGCAAATCCTATTGGCTCTATCTCAAAATACATCCAGGATATGACCATTTCTCACTACCTCTACTGCTACCACCCTGGTCTCTCACCAAGATTACTGCAATAGCCTGCTTCACTTTTGCCCCCTATAACCTATTATTAACCTAGCAGCTAGCATGAGTCTGTCAAAACCTAACGTAGATAATATCATTCATCTGCTCAAAAGCCTGAGCTAGGTGCAGGAGCATGCCTTTACTCCCAGCTACTTCGGAAGCTGACCAAGAGCATAACTTGAGTCCAGGAGTTTGAGTCACCCTGGGCAACATACCAAGACCCTGTCCCTAAAATATAAGCAAACTAAACACTCAAAACTATTCCCCATCTCACTCAGAATAAAAAGCCCATGTGGTTACAATGGCCTACCATGGTCACATGAACTGGCTCATTGTTATTTCTGATTTCATCTACTACAACTTCTTTCACAGTCTACTCCAGCCACAATGGCCTGCTTGCTGTTGATCAAAAACAGGGTGCCACTCTGGGGCCCTTTATAATGGCTGTTTCCTTTGTCCGGAACATCTCTCCTCCACCCCCAACCCCTGCAGGGCTCATCATTCCCTAACCTCCTTTGTGTCTTGGTTCAGGTATGATCTTCCTTACCCAGACCACTCAATTTAAAACTGCAAACTTCCTGTTCATTGATCATCTTTATCCTATAATACCTTTCCTTTTTCCCAAAGGTACTGTCACTTTGTAAGCTATTACATAACTTATTATGTATATTGTCTGTTAAGGATCTCTGTTCACTGATGTATCTCAAATACCTAGGACAATGCTCAGTACACGTAACAGGTGTTCAACAAAGACCTTCTGAATGAATAAATTTTTTGATAACTGTGACAGGTACAGTAGTGGTCAAAACACTTTACATACACTATTTCAGTTACTCTCAACAGCAACCCTGGGAAGTACCCATTAATCTCATTCTACAACTAAGGATTACAATGATTAAACAACATGCCCAAAGTTACACTGTAGTAAATGCAGAAGCCAGAACTTAACTCAATTTTGCCTAACTCTAAAGCCTTTACAACTATAGTTCCTCAAAACTGCGTATGAACAGGACGAGAACTAAGCTGCTTCAGAAGGTAACTCAGTTGAGAGAATATGGAAGAAGACACTGATTTGGAATCCAATATAAGGAACAGAGGCAAATAATTAACATTTGGAGAAGTTCCTTCAATTTTCTTTGCTTCCAGTCCTAGTCCTGTGGGGACAGAAACAAAACCTAATGGTTATAATAAAACAGACCATAAAAAGAGAAAAGAAATTCGAGACCCCACAGTCTGAGCTCCACGGATGAGAAAACACAGGGCAATGCCTTTTCTCTAAATTCACTGGAGAACTTTATTACAGTGGCACGGAACAGTACAGTACGAGTTTTTGCCTTAAAATGCTTTTTTTTCTTCTAGAAAAAAAGTAGTACAGAAGTAGTACAGATGTTGACAAAATTCTATCTGAGAAATACATGACCTATGCATAAACATTTACAGATTTACATCTGAGGGAAAGATACTGATTTCTACCAGTGTCACCATTTATGGAACACAGCCACACTCAATTGTTTACATATTGTCTAGGGTCCCTTTCACACCACAACAGCAGAGTTACAGAGATGAGTAGTTGTGACAGAGACTGAAAGCCTGCAAAACTGAAAACATTTACATTTGTCCCTTCACAGAAAAAAAAACTTCTAAAACCAGTATTAATAAAATGTACATTTCCTGATAGCCTGCATAGTTCTATCACTCTTCCTAATAGAATTAAAAACATATCTTTTTAATACATTCATGTATTGCTTTAACAACGTTACAGCCTAAAATGGATCACATATATGACAGTGGTCTTGTAAGATTATAATGAATCTGAAAAATTCCTATTGCCTAGTGACATCATAGCCATTTTAACATTGCAGTGCAATTGCTTAATTTTTATAGATTTAGTGCGGCCTAAGCATACTATGTTTATATAATCTACAGAATCACATTCATTCACCACTTACTCAACTGACTGACCCAGAGCAACTTCCAGTCCTGCAAGCTCCATTCAAAGTAAGTGCCCTATACAGGTATACCATTTTTTAAATACTGTATTTTTACCATATCTTTTCTATGTTTAGATACATCAAGATACACAAATACTTACCAAATTGTGTTACAGTTGACTACAGTATTCAGTACGGTAACATGCTGTACAGTACAGGTTTGTAGCCTAGGAGCAACAGACTATACCAGATAGCCTAAGTGTGTAGTAGGCTATACCATCTAGATCTGTGTAAGTACACTCTATATATACACAATGATAAAAATCACCCAGCAACACATTTCCCAGAACATATCCCTACCATTAAGTGACACATGACTGTACTAGAATAAACCATCTCACATTTTTGTTATTTTTGGTCATATAACTAAAAACATCTCAATGGTTTAAGTCCAAGGATTATGTGGTCTTCACACTAGTGAAGCAGTATCATTAAATTAATTCAAGCAAACTTAATTTCTGGTAGAGTTAACAACCCATTTACTAGTTATTAAATACCGGAAGACTTCAGTAACACTGAGATGTTGCCCTTGAAGTCTTAAAATAGTTTTGGGCTAAAGCTGACAAAAAACAAATTTTTTTTTTTTTTGGTTTACGTCTTTAGTATCTGAGCTACCATGTTAAACAAACTTTAAGGAAGTATTCAAACAAGAAAAAAAATAATTTCTTCATTTAGTCACACATACACGCACCAGAAGCACAAAAAAACCAATAATCGTACAAGGACTTCTCAAATTCTTCCTTATATATTGTGTAAGAATTACCAAATAGTAAAATCTGGAACATTCACTTTTAATTTTCCAAGCAAACAAGCTAATACACAGGAAAGCAAACTGCTTGCTTAGTACTCATTTTTTTAAATCTTATAATCTGTTTTCCCTTTTCTAATCCAAAGATTGTTTTGTCACGCACAAAAGATCAAATCTAATTCTACAGAATTGGAGAAAACAAAAAATTCATTTTATATATACATATATATGTATATACATACACACATATACGTATATACACACACATATATACATATATACACACACATATACGTATATATACACATATATACGTGTATATATATATATACACACAAGATTAAATTAAATATTTCTCAAAGGAATATTTAGACATTTCTCACATTTTACATAAATGTGGCAGGTTATGCTATTCATGATGACACTTAGAAAATTAATTTAGTAAGTTGATAGAAACGGGTACAAAAACACACTGCAAAACAAACACACACAAAAAAAGTATGAAACTGGATCCAAAAGGGTGTTTTGAGTATAAAACTATATTTAAAAGAGGGTTTCTTCTTTAAAAATTTTATTCTAGAAGTCAACTCCTTGACTTCTCAATCAAGAATCAACCAATCCAAGATGCTATTCATTAAAATTTACCAGGCCAGGTGCAGTAGCTCACTCCTATAATCCCACCACTTTGGGAGGCAGAGGCAGGTGGATCACATGGTCAGGAGTTCAAGACCAGCCTGACCAATATGGGGAAACCCTGTCTCTACTAAAAATACAAAAAAATTAGCCAGGCGTGGTGGCGCACACCTGTAATCCCAGCTACTCAGGAGGCTGAGGCAGGAGAATAGCTTAAAACCCAGGAGGTGGAGGTTGCTGTGAGCCAAGATCACACCACTGCACTCCAGCCTGGGCAACAGAGGGAGACTCCATCTCAAAAAAAAAAAAAAAAAAATTACCAAAATCATAATACATTTAACGTAGACCTGAAATAAGGCTCTCAGCTTAAACATTTTACCTATATTTTTGTATCTTTAACCTAAACTTCTAACATCGAAACTGTAAGACATGTTCCCAGAAACTTTTTCTCAAAACAAAAAAAAAGTATTTCCAAGTTAAAGTTTTCACATTGTTTTTCTCAAATGTAAATTTGCTGTTAATGGAATTAGAAAGTTACCTATGAGCTATTTCTAAATACTATTAATTTTTAAACCTAGAGAGCTTTTTTCCGTTTTCCTCTTGTTTTATTTTTATAGCACTATACTTACATATATTTTTGTAAACAAAATATATCTCCTCAAACTTTTAAAGAAATTGTTATGTTACTTTCCTTAAGGGTTAGAATGTTCTATGACAAATATTATGTACATGAAATTAGGAATGGAGTGATACAAAAGTTTAACAGTGGTTTTAAAAAATTATATTGGCCGGGCACAGTGGCTCACGCCTGTAATCCCAACACTTTGGGAGGCAGAGGTGGGCGGATCACAAGGTCAGGAGTTCGAGACCAGCCTGGCCAACATGGTGAAACCCCATCTCCACTAAAAATACAAAAATTAGTCAGATGTGGTGGCGGGTACCTGTAATCCCAGCTACTCAGGAGGCTGAGGCAGGAGAATCGCTTGAAACTGGAAGGCGGAGATTGCAGTGAACCAACATCACGCCACTGCACTCCAGCCTGGGCAACAAGAGCGAAACGCCATTAAAAAAAAAAAATTATATTACATCCTTATAACATGGAATGAAAACAAATCTGAGCATATGCTGGTATAATCAGATCTGTGATCTTTATTAAAATGTAAATTACCAGATAATCTCTAACAAAACAACCCACAGTATTTTAAATTGCAAAGAAATGTTTCCTACCTTGCCTGCTTCTCTTTCTAAGTCGACATACTCTCGGCTAGGTGTTTGTCGCTGTTCTCCCTGCCAGCTGGCCGGAAAAAACTGGAGAGACAGATTGGTTCCTGTGGCCACAAAAGCCTTTTAGAAAAATCAATACAAACAGGATCAGGAGCAGGACATTACATAAATTATGCAAGCAGTCATTTATTTTTACATCAGTTTATGTCTTAAGCCAGGCAGCACAGAGAATACTTAAAAGTAAAAAAAAACATGCACTCATCATTTTTCTTAAGTATTAAGTTACAAACATCTGATTCCATTTTGAGGACATTTGCCATTGGCTGCTTAAGTATAAAATCAGACATGGAATCAATACTTTCTTTCAGGTCATTTTTTGCTGACGTTAGGATCTCACACTGCTAATGTCTAACCAGAAGCCACTATCCATCTCTGCATTTAAAAACTTCTATTTTTAAATGTAAAAATCACTCAAAATCTAAAGATTTTGAATTTTAAAGAATACCACAATTTAAAATTGTATAAATGAGACACTTTAATTTTCCTTGATTTCCCTTGCTGAAACACTGCATAGCAGGCAGTACATAAAAAATGCACTTGGAATTGTCTCTCCTCTGATAAACCATACATTGGCATGGGATGTGACAGTACTCTCTAAAACCCTAGATGATTTTTAAAAATATGTCTTTTCTCACATTTGACTTTAGGAGAACTTGGTCTGACTACAACAAAGAGAAAAGTATTCATCTAATAAATATTTATAGATTAGATTTATAAATATAAAAGATTTGGATGTTAGAGCTCAACAGATGCAACAATCTAAAACCACTTCAATAAAGTGTCATTTTATGTAGGCCTTGAGCAAGTTACCTCTATATTTCCCTCAGGCAAAAAACAAAGACATTACCCCTTTCCCAAAGGAAATTAAGAAAAAAAGAAGTAAAAGCATTTTTGAAAAAATACATTTTTCATCATCTAAATGTAAACTCTTCTTTGCTGAAACCAGAAAAAGTTTTTTGTTTGGTTTATTCTACTAATTAAGTTCTGAAGCATAATTGGTTTCCATGCATAGAGTCTTCATCTCAAATCAAGAGGTTCACATTTGGGGCAATTTGTTTAAAGCCATCAACCAAGTTAGCTATCCAATAGTTCCCCTGATGGTTAACAGCTTAGATTCTTTAGAGGTAAAAATTATACTTCCTATTTCTATTACTGGCACTGTCGGTACACTTGTCAACCTAAATGCTAAATCTCTAAACCTCTCTGATGGCATTTCCCTAATCAACTGGGGTACCATTTTCATGTGGTAAATGTTTTATATCCATAGAAACTGAACTAACATCAATATTACAACATCATTTTAAAAAATCTTTCAGGCCAGGAGCAGTGGTTCACACTCGTAATCCCAGCCCTTTGGGAGGCAAGGCAGGTAGACCATCTGAGGTCAGGAGTACAAGACCAGCCTGGCCAACATGGTGAAACCCTGTCTCTACTAAAAATACAAAAAATTAGCTGGGCATGGTGGCAGACGCCTGTAATCCCAGCTACTTGGGAGGATGAGGCAGGAGAATCACTTGAACCTGGGAGGCAGAGGTTGCATGCAGTCAGCCGAGATTGCACCACTGTGCTCCAGCCTGGACAACAAGGCGAGACTCCATCACAAAAACAAAAAACAAAAAAAACTTCCCATGTACTACGAGCATAAATCTTAACAAAAAACCCCCCAACACTAGTTAAAAAAAAAAAAAGTTTCTGGGAGGGAAACTGCCCAGGCTGTACGACCTGAAGCATAATTCAGTTTTCTCACAAATCAATTATTTGTAAAGTGCTTAAAACAGTACCAAGTAAATGCTATGAAAGTGTCTGCTGAATAATATGATAAATAACTTTAAGCTCAACAAGAAAGCCAACTTTTTCAGCTTCAGATAATGAAATTCTCAGAGCAGAGTGGTGGCAGAAAAGACACAGCCCATGAACGACTGCCCCGTGTCAAAATCCCTGTGGCTTGTTTCTTCAGTATTCACGTAGTAGCAAATCCTTCCACCTCCAGTGTACCCCAAATCAGTTCTGTGCTAAGACACTCTGCAGATCGTATTACCTCATCTCCTGTCTTGATGCCAACCTCAGAAGAGATTTCCTGCTTCATCACTATATGTCCATTATCTCATAAAGATCCCTCTCTGAGACAGAAGTGGTAAACACAGATCATTCTAGAATAACATTTTCCAAACTTATGTGACCATGGAATTCTTTTAATGAAATACCTACATATAGGTAAGAGTTGGAAAAAGTCTGTTCCAAAATATTAATATGGTGTCAACATCGTCATAGGAAAATAAAGACGAAAATAAACAAAATGAAAACATTAAAATGCTACACTAGTATGACGCCTATATTTAAGATTTCCAGGTTGTCTTATGCTTTGTAGGTTTCACAAATTATAAAATAGCACACCTTGTGCCAATCCAACATACTTTTTACCATTCAATCTTTAGAATTAGAAATATGTATTAGTTTTTACTCTTCTCACCACAGAGTAACCATACTTCTTATAAATATTTTTTCTTTATTTGATTATTAGTGTTGAAGACGTCTCCAACATTCTTAACTACATAAGAATTGGTAAGAATAGGCCGGGTGCAGTGGCTCAAGCCTGTAATCCCAGCACTTTGGGAGGCCAACACAGGCAGATCACGAAGTCAGAAGTTTAACACCAGTCTGGCCAATATAGTGAAACCCCACCTCTACTAAAAATACAAAAAATTAGCCGGGTGTGGTGGTGTGCGCCTGTAATCCTAGCTACTCGGGAGGCTGAGGCAGGAGAATCGTGTGAACCCAGGAGGCAGAGGTTGCAGTGAGCCGAGAGCCAAGATCGTGCCATTGCACTCCAGCCTAGCCGACAGTGCAAGACGCCGTCTCAAAAAAAAAAAAAAAAAAAACAACGGTGAAACTCTGTCTCTACTAAAAATACAAAAACAAATTAGCCGGGTGTGGTGGCAGGCGACTGTAGTCCCAGTTACTCGGGAGGCTGAAGCGGGAGAATGGCGTGAACCCAGGAGGCGGAGCTTGCAGTGAGCCGAGATCGTGCCACTGCACTCCAGCCTGGGCGACAGAGCAAGACTCCGTCTCAAAAAAAAAAAAAAAAGAATTGATAAGAATAAATCAAGGCTGGGTGCAGTGGCTCACTGAGGCAGGCACATCACTTGAGGCCAGCAGTTGGAGACCAGCCTGGCCAACATGGTGAAACCCATCTCTACTAAAAATACAAAAACCAGCCAGGCGTGGTGGCAGGCGCCTGTAATCCCAGCAAGTCAGGAGGCTGAAGCAGGAGGTGGAGGTTGCAGTGAACGGAGATGGCACCACTGCACTCCAGCCAGAGTGACAGAGTAAGATCCAGTCTCAAAAAAGAATAAATCAGATTCTACTACAGATTCTTCGACCTGTGTTCACTTTTATTTAATGCTGATTGGGTTTTACAGTTAAAAACTCAATTGGCATAAAATAAGGAGGCTGATTGAGTTTTATAGTTAAAGAGAGATGATCAACACAGCCCTTAAATTATTTCACATCTAAATGCAAAATGAGGCTGGGAGTGGTGGCTCACGCCTGTAATCCCAGCACTTTGGGAGGCCGAGGTCGGTGGATCACCTGAGGTCAGGAGTTTGAGACCAGCCTGGCAAACATGGTGAAACTCCGTCTCTACTAAAAATACAAAAATTAGCTGGGCATGGTGGTATACGCCTGTAATTCCAGCTACTCAGGAGGCTGGGTCAAGACAATCACTTGAACATGGGGGACGGAGGTTGCACTGAGCCAAGATCATGCCACTGCACTCCAGCCTGGGCAACAGCAAAATGAATTCTTCATTAACCTCACTGATACATCAAGAAGATGTTCCAAATAAGAAGAGGACAACTGGGGCAGGAGAAAGGTTGGGAATAGTTTTGAGAACTATGGATATCCTTGCCATTTATGGCTGCTGTCAAAACAGGCAAAATAATGCCTTTTTCCACAGCCAAATAGGAAGAAACCCAGCCTGTTCATAAGTCATGAGATAAATTTCAGGCATTAAATTAAGCAGCCTCTAAATTCAAATAATCAAGTACCTCTGATATAAAAGGTATTGTGAAAAATAGCTGTATCCAGAGGGGTTTATACAAAATTAATGAGGTCTCTACCCTCTAGGAGCTAAGGATCCTGTAATTAAATGTGGGTTAACACTGAATTAAAGGAGGGAAACTAGAAAGAGAGAAAACTAGGAAACGTGAAATTCCTCTCCAAATACCAATAGTTACATTATTTAACAAAATAAGACATGAGCCGTCTTAAGTGCAAACCTCACACAGCATTCAATCTACCTTCTTTAACCTTTAATACTTCTCAGAAATTTAAAACTTGTAAAATGTGTCGAATCAGATACTTGTTTTATTTTTGGAGACCGGGTCTCACTCTGTCACCCAGGCTGGAGTGCAGTGGTACGATCATGGCTAACTGCAGCCTCGACCTCCCGGGCTCAGGTGAGGATCAGATTATTTGGAAGCGGGGAAGGTCTAGAATGTCTAATTCATCCTGGAAATAAATTCATGACAAACACTAACCACCTGTACTACTACTATAATATTACAGCATTTCAGATATCCTATGGGTTGAATTCATAATTCCATTCAGCAAAGTCTGAGATGACAGAAAACACCCTACTAGCTATGATTCACCAAATTTCCAAAAAAATTCAGCTTTCAAAGATAGTGATGATAATACAACACATGGGGCTGCGTATGGTGACGCCGAGCCTGTAGTCCCAGCTATTGGGAGGCTGAGGCAAGAGGATCGCTTGAGCCCAGAAGTTTGAGGCTGTAGTGCCTCATGATTGTGCCTGTGAACAGCCACTGCACCCCAGCCTAGGCCACACAGCAAGACCTCTCTCTTAAAAAAAAAAAACGAAACAAGACCAGACGCGGTGGCTCACACCTGTAATCCCAGCACTTTGGAAGGCCGAGGTGGGAGGATTACTTAAGGTCAGGAGTTCAAAACAAGCCTGGCCAAGATGGTGAAACCCCGTCTCTACTAAAAATACAAAAAAATTAGCCGGGCGTGGTGGTGTGTGCCTGTAATCCCAGCTACTCAGGAGGCTGAGGCAGGAGAATCGCTTTAACCCAGGAGGCGAAGGTTGCAGCGAGCCAAGATCATGCTGCTGTGCTTCCAGCCTGGGTAACAGAGCGAGACTCCGTCTCAAAACAAAAAAGCAAACAGTGAGAGTACAAGTACTTTGTAACTTATCTTTTATACTTGCATCCTTTACCTCCAGGAAATTCTATCGTCAGGTATACCACCTTCCCTTTGCAAAAGGTAACCCAGGCAAAGGATGACACGATCATCGCACCAGCTAATGAATTCTTTTATTATACCACTCAGTGCCAAAACCTAAAAGTATGTCTTATGCACTTCAATCATATAAATACTACAATTACTCAAGAAATTTGCAAGTGGGCTAAAAGCTTGAGACTCTCTTTCATAACATGCACTAATGACCAAATATTCAGGAGCTCCTGATAAATTTAACCAGTATCTTCTCACTATTACAACTCTAAAAAGCTTTCACTTAAAATATCAAAATATTCTTTAAAAATAAATTTGAGTTCAGTGATGTAAAGGGAGAATTTTATGACATATGAATTATATCTGAATAAAAATAAACTGGTTTTATAAAGGGGGTGGGAGAAGTAAATTTCCAATGTCTTCCTACTGTTAACCCAAATTCAAATCGCACCTAGCTTCAAGCCTCTAACAATGCAGTGAGTCCAAGTCACCGAGCAGAGAGTAACAGCATTCCATTAGACAGTGCTTCAACTTTTTAAAAAATAATCAGGCCAGACGCAGTGGCTCACGCCTGTAATCCCAGCACTCTGGGAGGTCGAGGAGGGCGGATCACTTGAGGTCAGGAGGCCAGCTTGGCCAACAAGGTGAAACCCCGTCTCTACTAAAAATGCAAAAATTAGCCGGGCGTGGTGGCAGGCACCTGTAATCCTAGCTACTCAGGAGGCTGAGGCAGGAAAATCGCTTGAACCCAGGAGGCGAAGGTTGCAGTGACCCGAGATCGAGCCACTGTACTCCAGCCTGGGCAACAGAGCAAGACTCTACCTCAAAAAAATAGTAATAATCAACCTCTTTTCTTGGTTTCTTCCTACCACTCCCTCCTCATCAGCACCTCCAACAAGGCAAACCAAAAAGATGAGAGGAACTAGGACCCTTGGATTTTTTTTTTCAACCCAAGGTCTGGTGAAGACGCACTAAATCTGCCTCCTAAAACAAGGACCTCGAGATCAACCGTGGGTTTTGCCCATCTGTGCAGTTTTTAGGAACAGCAGCCCTACTCAGGACATGGGGATAATGGTTTCTTTCTGATTCTCCTGAAGCTTAACATTCTAAGAAAATGACATTTTTAGGGCCTTTTCCCCCCCCTCCCCTCTCTATTAGAATAAATAACTGGAGGAAAGATTTCTACTCGGCGATCTGGTAGTGAGACCGCTTGACACAGAGAATTACCGACAGATCTACCTTCTAAGAAACAAACTATCGCCGACCTTGAATGAAGCTCCACTTCTTTTTCCGAATGGGGGTTTGCTTGCTACAAATACCCTGAACCCTTCTTCGGTGTCGCCGCCTAAACAATGCCCTTCGCTTGTTTAGTCTGGCTCGGGTTCGAGCTCCACTCGCGGTGCTCCGTTGGCCGACACGCGCCACCGCGGCGAGCCCCAGGAAAAGCGTCTCCCCGCGAGTACCGGCCCGCGGCATCTGGTTTCGCATTTTGAATCCCGAGTAGGAAGTGAGACGGCGCCCACTCAGTTCCGGGAGCCGCAGCAGCCGCGCCGCCGTCCGGAACCGGCCTGGGCCGCCGCGGCCCCGCGCAACAAGTGACCCGCGCGCGCCCCGGGCCAGCCGACTTACGATTTCCGAGCGGCCGTCGCGGCAGGCGTTCTGGAAGCGTGCCTGGCGTTCCTCGTGGGGCCGGTCCCTGAAGCCCGTGTACTTAATCTGCAAGGCAAGACGGCCCGAAATCAGGAGCCAAATCCGCGGCGCCGCCCGCGCGCCCGCCCTCCCAGCGCAGCGCCGATAAGGGCAAGCAGAGGCTGCGGGCGATGGCCGCCCCGGCGAGATTGCCCCTCCGCGGGCGCACCGACCGGGACTCCCGGGGACCGTGCCGCCCAAACTTTTCTCCGCCCGGGCCCACTCGGGGCGCGCTGCGGCCTCCTAGCCGCCCGCCCGCCTGCCTCACCTCACACTCGCGGCTCAGCTTCCTAAAAAACTCCTCGTTCTCGAACTTGCTTCTCTGGTCGGGCACGACGCGCGGCATCTTCCCGCCCTGAGGCCGCGCCGGCCGGCCGCGCTCGGGGCTTGCGCGGGCACCCGCTGGCTGGCTCCGCGCTGACCGACTGACCGCCCACCCGCGGCGCCCGGACGCCCGCTTCCCTTTGTTTCAGGCGCCCGCCCGCGTGGGCTCCCGTTCCGGGGAGTCTGAGGCGCCGCCGCCCGCTCGAGCCCAACCCACGCCGCCGCCGCCGCCGCCGCCGCCTCAGCCGTTGCCTGCCGCCCGCGCAGCCCCAGCGCTCACCGCCCCCGGCCGCCGCCGCCGCCGCCGCCGCCACTTCCTCTCACCGCCCACCCCGCCCCCGCCGGCCCCACCCCTCCTCCTCGCGCGCCCGCCCGCCTCCAACTCCGGCAAACAAGACGCACCATTCACAACTCCGCGGCCCACGCCGCGCATGCGCCACCCGCCCGCTGGCGGAGCGGCCTGGCTGTGGCGCCCCGGGGCTCCTTCCGCATCAGGGCCCTTTTCCCCCTGCTCGCCCGCGGCCACTCGGCGTGGAGCTGTCGTTGGGGGATCCGCCTGGCCTTTAGCAGACGGGAGTAGCCAGCGCAGGCCTTTTCTACCGCCCTTCCTCGGTCATCTGGAACTTCTGGGTTCCCCAGGTGCGCGGAGTAACCCCAGATTGTCACTTGAACGCGAGGAAACCTAAGTCCTTGGGGACTTTTCGTCCCTAAACCGACCGGCAGGGGTGTAGGCTCTGCACGTTGAAGACTGAGGTGGAAACGGACCAAAGAATCCAACCGAGTCATGGTGGAAAGGTCGTGGCTTTTGGAGTCAGATGGGTCTTAGATGGGATCCCACTCAGCTACACTACCTGCTGGCTGGGGCCTTAGATAAGAATTGGACCACTAAACCTCAGTTTCCTTATTTCCAAAATGCAGACACTCCTAGGTTTGCAGTGTTAGCGTGAGAACCTTTATGTGGGTCTAGCACACAGTGGGAGCCCAATAAATTTAAGTTTCTAAAGAAGAACAAGCTGAGTTAAGAATGTAACCGATTGCCAGTCCATATACTTACTCAATGTGCAATCAGCTGCAAAAAATAAGATCCATAAATTCTAGGGAAGTTGTTTAGCCCAAACTGGAGAAAGTCTGACATGGGATTTATGGCAGAGTTTGATTCAAAGTTAGTCCTGTGGCCGGGCACTGTAGCTCATACCCGTAATCCCAGCCCTCTTTTTTTTTTTTTTTTTTTTTTTTTTTTAAACAGAGCCTCGCTCTGTCGCCCAGGCTGGAGTGCAATGGCGCGATCTCGGCTCACTGCAACCTCCGCCTCCTGGGTTCAAGTGATTCTTCTGCCTCTGTCTCCCGAGTATTTGGAATTACAGGCACCCACCACCACGCCCAGCTAATTTTTTTGTATTTTTAGTAGAGACGGGGTTTCGCCATGTTGGTCAGGCTGGTCTCGAACTCCTGACCTCAGGTGATCTGCCCGCCTCGGCCTCCCAAAGTACTGGGATTACAGGCATGAGCCACTGCGCCTGGCCTAATCCCAGCACTTTGGGAGGCCGAGGCAGGCTGATCACCTGAGATCAGGAGCTCGAGGCCGGTCTGGTCAACATGGCAAAACCCCATCTCTACTAAAGTACAAAAATTAGCGGGGTGTGGTGGCACACGCCTGTAGTCTCAGCTACTCGGGAGGCTGAGGCAGGAGAATCGCTTGAACCTGGGAGGCGGAGGTTGTAGTGAGCCAAGACGGTGCCACTGCACTGCAGCCTGGGCCACAGAGCAAGACTCCGTCTCAAACAGCTACTCGGAAGCTGAGGCAGGAGAATTGGTTGAACCTGGGAGGCAGAGGTTGCGGTGAGCCAAGATCGTGCCATTGCACCCCAGCCTGGGGAACAAGAGCATAACTCCGTCTCGGGGGGAAAAAAAATCCATGAGGAAGCACTCTTGCTCCACAATGGGTCCAAGGAGGGCTCACAGACCTCCAAGTTGATCTTGGCCAAAGACTCTAGCAATAATTGTTTCTGCCATGGGAAATGTGGAATAAATAAAAATTGAAAGATCTCTAGAATGGCCTTGATGGCCATGAGCTTAGGCAAGGAAAAGGTCAGGGTCAAGGGAGCTAGACCTGGAGGGGTGGGAGTGCAGAGCAGGGCAGGGCGCTCTCATTGTCAGCCTCAAGGAGGGGAGGAACGATGTCCTAAGGGAAAGGGACAGCAAAGCCTGCCAAGCAGACCCAGAACAGCAGCCCCACAGACAGCCTTGGGCAACTCCAGGCCACAGGGTAACCCACACTCGTCGTAGTCTGGCATCCAACAGCCAGGATGACCGGGAAATAAGCCACAGGCTGAAGGAGGCCATCTCCTCGGCTGACCTCTATATGCCTTTTTGGTTGTTAATTTTTTTTCACTTATTTAAAAAAACAGAATTAAAGGAAATTTATAAAGGAAATTTTCACCCATGTAAGGTACACTTAAGTCTGTGCTCCTAACAGCTTTGGCAGCTGTTGAGTTGGGTATGGGTTGGCCCAGACACCATGCTATGGGTGTTTGCTAAGGGGGTTTGCTAAGATCCAGCTCTACTAAGGCCCACTCATGGAGGCTTAGAGGTGTCTTTTCTGTGCCAAGAAACATCTGCCCCCACCGTCCCAAAACCTGACTGAATTATCTGAAGTCCGGTCATCTGGAATCTTCCTTTCGTAAGGATTCAAGCCAACCAAGGGCCTCCTCTTGAGTATCTCCCTAACTTCCTAGGTGGGTGGCTGCTCCTGCAGGCTCCTAAAGCTGATCTTGGGTGGGTAAGTAGATAATACACAATGAAGCTGAGGAGAGCGCAGGAACCCTCACTTGCCTAGTGCAACTGTGAAGCTCTGTTCAGGGTGCCTTCATGCACCTTATCACAGTTAATTCACACAACCACTTTCTTTTTTTTTTTTGAGACGGAGTCTCACTCTGTTGCCCAGGCTGGAGTGCAATGGTGCAATCTCGGCTCACTGCAACCTCTGCCTCCCGGGTTTAACCGATTCTCCTGCCTCAGCTTCCTGAGTAGCTGGGATTACAGGCGCCTGCCACCACGCCCAGCTAATTTTTGTATTTTTAGTAGAGAAGGGCAGGCTAGTCTCGAACTCCCAACCTCAGGCAATCTGCCCGCCTTGGCCTCCCAAAGTGCTGGGATTACAGGCGTGAGCCACCGCGCCCGGCCCACACAACCATCTTCTAAGTCAGGTCTTCTGTCTCCTGAGAGATGAGGAAACAGACTTTGAAAAAGTAAATAAGGCCAGGAGCGATGGTTCACGTCTGTAATCCTAGCACTTTGGGAGGCTGAGGCGGGTGGATTGCCTGAGCTCAGGAGCTCGAGACCAGCCTGGGCAACACAGTGAAACCCGGTCTCCACGGAAATACAAAAAATTAGCTGTGCGTGGCAGCGTGTGCCTGTAATCCCAGCCACTCTGGAGGCTGAGACAGGAGAATCACTTGAACCCGGGAGGCAGAGGTTTCAGTGAGCCGAGATTGCACCACTGCACTCCAGCCTGGGTGACAGAGCAAGACTCTGCCTCAAAAAAAAAAAAAAAAAAGTAAAAGTAAAAAAGGACAGTGACGAGACCCTGATCCATTTGAAATAACAAAATGGGGGCTGGGCATGGTGGTGCACACCTGTAATCTCAGTAGTTTGGGAAGTGGAAGTGGGAGGATCACTTGAGGCCAGGAGTTTGAGGCCATCCTAGGCAACAGAGTGAGACCCTCCCCCGACTCTAAAGAAACTAGCTAAGCATTGGGATACATCATCTTCATTCCTTCCTCACCACAACCCTGTAAGTTTAGTATTATTGATCCTATTCTACAGATGGGCCAACGGAGATTCACAGGGGTTAAGTGACCCCAGGGTGGTGATTTTAATCATTCTACTCTGAGACCTAGTGGAGATACCAAAAGTCCTGCCTGCTGCCCTCACTGAACTGCAAACTCATAGAAGGCTATGTCTGGGGTTATTCCTCTGGGAGCACCCCACCATGTTCTAGAAGGGTCCCCACAGGTTGAAGAAAGGGGTTCTATTTTGGGCCTTGTGGCAGGATGTGGGTCTGCCCTTGAGGACTGTGCATTCCTATCTCTGAGCCTGTTTGTCCCTTCTTGGCTTGGAAGGTCAAAGTCTAGATGTCCTGCCTCTGCAGGCCCAGCAGAAAGGATGGTTTTATCCAGGTCTGGTGTCAGCAGCCACCCACCTTTGCCTCTCCTCACAGAGGAAGTCTCTGAGCCTCTGATGCATTTTTTCTAAGGAAATAGTTTCCCTTCAGTTACTGAGAAAATATTGTACCATCTTGAAGCTGAAATAGGATCTGGAGCCACAAATGAGACTTGAGAGGAGTGGGAGACAAGGAAAATTAGTGGCTGGCACATTGCCTAAAACCCTGGCTCCACTCAGCTTCTAGTTTTTAGAAGGCAATGGGCCTTAATTCAGGATGAGGGTGTCATCTGCCCAAGTGTGGCAGTTTCCTGGGCCCTAAAGAATTTTTTTCTTTTTGAGATATAATTTATATACCGTAAAATCCACCCTTGGGCCCAGAGAATCTCCCCTCCCTCCCAGGGGCATCTCCCCCTTCTGAGCCCTCTAGCCACCCTCCCCCAGCTCAGCCATCCCATAGGGAAAGGAAAGCAGAGAGGAGCAAGTTTCCCCAGAATAGCATTTCTTTAGTGTTGGGATCAATAAACCCGTTTGCTTAAAAGGAACCAGATGATTTCATCCTTGTAATTATAAGTTTGACGTTTGCAAATCTTGCCCGGGCTCCAAATGAGCCTCTTTGTCATGGGGGTTGGGGGTGGAGGAGTTTGTCTGGGTGCCTGGGGATGGCAGGACTGAGCCTACTGTGGTGGGAAGAGGGCCAAGCTGGGGTCAGGAAGCCTGGCTGATGATCTTAGAGGGCTGCCTTGGACTGCTCCCCTTCCCCTCCCCTGCTCTCCTAGTTTCTGACAAGTGATGGGAAACAGACTAGACTAAGGGGCTAGGGAATAAAAATAATGGTAATAACAATAATAATGGTAGTAATAATAATAATATAATGTGATGAGAGCTGGGATGAGCTCTAACCACACCACCCTTTTGCTTAAGACCCCTCCCCCAAGATTGAAGAAACTTGGGGCAGAAAGACAAAGGCCCTCAGCCTAGCATTTATGACCCCCTGACAATCCCTACTTTCCAACACTATCTCCCATCGTTTCTCCCCATGGCACCCTGCAATCCAGCCATACTGGCCTGTTTCCATTCCCTACGTGCCCATACCATGACTTCCTCCTGTTTCTCTGTTGGGAAAACTCATCTTTCTTCTTTCTTTCTCTTTTGGGGCAGGGTCTTCCTGTTTCACCCAGGCTGGAGTGCAGTGGTGCAATCATGGCTTACTGCAGCCTTGACCTCCTGGGGTCAAGCAATCCTCCCACCTCAGCCTCCTGAGTAGCAAGTAGCAAGTAGCTGGGACTACAGGTGCCACCATGCTTGGGTAATTAATAAAAAAAAATTTTTTTTTAGAGATGGGGTCTCACTATGTTGTCCAGGCTGTACTTCTTCTTTAAATATGTTCACCGGCCTCTGATTGTCCTCCATGGAATGACTGCCCCACAGCATCCATTTATTCATTTGGCTCCATGCTATGGCCAAGGAGATGGTCAGCCCACCTGGGACATAGCAGTCCCCTGGATTCTAGGAGGATTTAGTTCTACACTAATTTGTTTACTTTACTGTGAAGCCTTCATATGAGGGTCTCTCCCCTCACCCTTAAAACTTTTTAAAGTTATTTAAAACTTGTACTTTTTTTGTAGAACATTTAGGACATACAGGCCGGGTGCAGTGGCTCACGCCTGTAATCCCAGCACTTTGGGAGCCCGAGGTGGGCGGATCATGAGGTCAGGAGATGGAGACCATCCTGGCTAACACAGTGAAACCCTGCCTCTACTAAAAATGCAAAAAATTAGCCGGGCATAGTGGCAGGCGCCTGTAGTCCCAGCTACTCAGGAGGCTGAGGCAGGAGAATGGCGTGAACCCGGGAGGCGGAGCTTGCAGTGAGCCAAGATCGCGCCACTGCACTCCAGCCTGGGCAAGCAACAGAGTGAGACTCTGCCTCAAAAAAAAAAAAAAAAAAAAAGTTCTGGATAGTATTTTTAGGATCAATTTCCAAAAGTAGAACCACTAGGTCAAAAGATATGGACATTTTAAGATTCCTGATGTATGTTGCCAAATTTCTCTTTGACATCACCTCTTCTCTTTTCTTGAGTCTTAAGAATCTGTTCCTCCTCCTCCTTCCATTTCTCTTATCAGTGTCTGAGACACAGGAAATGCCAACCAAGAATAAACCAAGAGCTGCAGATAGAGATCAATGGATCAATACAGGAGGTTGAATAATTCAACACTCACTTCTGGCTCATTATTGACTCTGGAATCCAAATGCCTCTTTTACCTTCTCTCCTTTTGTGTCCCAGCTGATAACGCCTTGATAACCTGCCATGTTCTTGGATTCTTTCCCAAACTTTCCAAGCTTGGAACCATCAAAACAGGCAGGCTTTCTCATCATGCTGTAATATTACCTTGTAAATAAGCAGAAATAATTACTAGCCCACGGACACCTCACCAGCCTGCCTCCCCTCCAGGAACACAAAAAGGGCAATTTAGAAAGCAGACAATCGTTCTTTTCCTTGAGATGACACTACTGAGTAAATAGGCAAGGAATTCAGCTTTGGTCTGCTCCAGGCCTGGCTAACTTCCCTCTGTCTAGCTTGTCTTTCTCCCCTTTCTTGGCCAGACCAATTCACACTCTTCATTAAGTGTAGTTTAGAGAGGCCAGGCTCAGTGGCTCATGCCTGTAAGCCCAGCACTTTGGGAGGCCAAGACAGGTGAATGGCTTGAGCCCAGGAGCTCGAGGCCAGTTTGGGCAGCATGATGAAACCCCATCTCTACAAAAAGATACAAAAAATTAGCTGGGTATGGTGGTGCAAGCCTGTAGTCCCAGCTACCCAGGAGGCTGAGGTGGAAGGATCATCTGAGGTGGGGAGGTCGAGGCTGCAGTGAGCTGAGATTGTGCCACTGCAGCTCTTCAGCCTAGGCAACAGAGTCAGACCCTGTCTAAAAATAATAATAATAATAATAATTCCACACGCGGTGGCACATGCCTGTAATCCTAGCACTTTGGGAGGCCGAGGCGGGCAGATTACCTGAGGTTGGGAGTTCGAGACCAGCCTGACCAACATGGAGACACCCTGTCTCTACTAAAAACACAAAATTAGCCGGGTGTGGTGGCGCATGCCTCTAATCCCAGCTACTCGGGAGGCTGAGGCAGGAGAATCACTTGAACCCGGGAGGCGGAGGTTGCAGTGAGCTGAGATCGCGCCATTGCACTCCAGCCTTGGCAACAAGAGTGAAGCGCCTTTAAAAAAAAAAAAAAAAAAAAGAGTAGTTCGAGCCGGGGCAGTGGCTCACACCTGTAATCTCAGTACTTTGGGAGGACAAGGCGGGCAGATCACCCGAGGTCGGGAGTTTGAGACCAGCCTGGCGAACATGGTGAAACCCTGTCTCTACTAAAAATACAAAAATTAGCTGGGGGTGGTGGCACATGCCTGTAATCCCAGCTACTTGGGAGGCTAAGGCAGGAGAATCACTTGAACCTGGGAGGTGGAGGTTGCAGTGAGCTGAGATCGTGCCACTGCATTCCAGCCTGGGCAATGGAGTGAGACACTGTCTCAGAAAAAAAAAAAAAAAAAAAATGTAATTCAGAGGCCTCTGACAAGGCTTTCTAAACTATGCTGGGCAGAATGATTGCCCCTCAGCGTGCCCTCACCAATGCCTATGAGACAAGACTGGACTCAACTACCTCAAAGGCATCCCACAGGCTTGATAGCTTCCCTAGTCCCGGCTTATGCTAACTTCATCTTGCTCCCTCCTGCCCAGTGGGAGCTCCCAGCATGCTTTGCAGTTTAGGTAGTGTTGGTGACGGAGATGGACACAAAGATGAACAACCCAGGTTTCCCTTCAGTGAATTTCTTTCTCTCTTTCTTTCTTTCTTCCTCTTTCTCTCTCTCTCTCTTCTTTCTTTCTTTTCTTTTTCTTCTTTTTTTTTTTTTTTGACAGGGTCTTCCTGAGTCAAGTGCAGTGGCATGATCCTAGCTGATTGCAGTTTCCAACTCCTGGGCTCAGGCGATCCTCATCTCAGCCTCCTGAGTAGTTGGGACTACAAGTGCACACCACCACGTCTGGCTAATTGTTACTTTTTCTTTTTTCAATATAGAGTCACATTCTGTTAGCCAGGCTGGGGTGCAGTGGTGGCATCATTGCTCGCTGCAGCCTCAAACTCCTGGGCTCAAGTGATCCTCCTGCCTCAGTCTCACAATAGCTGAGACCACAGGCACACACCACTCCACCTGGCTAATCCATGCTTGCTTGCTTGCTTCCTTCCTTCCTTCCTTCCTTCCTTTCTTCCAGAGACGGGGTCTTGTTATGTTGCTCAGGCTGGTCTCGAACTTCTGGGCACAAGTAATCTTACCACCTTGGCCTCCGAAAGTGCTGGGGTTACAGGCACAAGCCACTGCATAAAGCAATTTTCCAAACACTCTCTCGCTGGCCTCTCCTTAATTTCTTCAAGATAAAGAGGGAAGGCCGGGCATGGTGACTCACATCTGTAATCCCAACACTTTGGGAGGCCGAGGTGGGGGGATCACGAGGTCAGGAGATTGAGACCATCCTGGCTAACACGGTGAAACCCTGTCTCTACTAAAAATACAAAAAAATAGCTGGGCGTGGCACATGCCTGTAGTCCCAGCTACTCTGGAGGCTGAGGCGGTAGAATCGCTTGACCCCAGGAGGCAGAGGTTGCAGTGAGCCAAGATCGTGCCACTGCACTCCAGCCTGGGTGACACAGCGAGACACCATCTCAAAAAAAAAAAAAAAAAAAAATGCCGGGCGCGGTGGCTCACGCCTGTAATCCCAGCACTTTGGGAGGCCAAGGCGGGTGGATCACGAGGTCAGGAGATGGAGACCATCCTGGCTAACACAGTGAAACCCCGTCTCTACTAACAATACAAAAATTAGCCAGGCGTAGTGGCGGGTGCCTGTAGTCACAGCTACTCGGGAGGCTGAGGCAGGAGAATGGCGTGAACCCGGGAGGCGGAGCTTGCAGTGAGCCGAGATTGTGCCACTGCACTCCAGCCTGGGCGACAGAGCAAGACTCCATCTCAAAAAATAAAAAATAAAAAATTAAATAAATAAATAAAGGATAAAGAGGGAAATAATTACTGTCTTATTTTGTAGCTCTTGAAATTGAGACTCAGAACAGGTGACTGGACTCATTCAAGGGCATATAGCCAGGTAGACTCAGAGAGAGAGAGATCCCAGAGAAGTCCTGCAGTTGAAGAAATGCAGTCACTTAACTCTTTAATTTTTTTTTTCTTTAGAGGTGGGGGTGTCTTGCTATATTGCTGCTCAGGTTGGTCTTGAACTCCTGGCCTCAAGTGATCCGCCTTCCTCGGCCTCCCAAAGTGCTGGGATTACAGGTGTGAGCCACAGCGCCCAGCCTATTTTATTTTATTTTATTCGTTCAAGGCTGTTTCTCAGTGTGAACTATTTCATTTCACTATTCCTTTTTTTTTTTTTTTTTTTGGAGATGAGGTCTTGCTATATTGCCCAGGCTGGAGTGCAACAGCTACTCACAGGCACGATCCCACTACTGATTAGCACAGGAGTTTTGACCTGCTCCATTTTCGACCTGGGCTGGTTCACCCCTCCTTAGGCTACCTGGTGGTCCCTCGTTCCTAGGAGATCACCATATCGATGCCACACTTAGTGCAGACACCTAATCAACATAGTGAATTACAGCCCAGAACTCCTGGGCTCAAGCAATCCTCCCGTCTCAGCCTCCCGAGTAGCTGGGACTGCAGGCACATGCCACTGTACCTGGCTAGTTTTCCGTTTTACCTTCCTTCACATGCTGACTCACCCTCAAGTGGTACCCATTCTCTTTCCTGATGTTTCTACAAAAATCTTGAGATTGAGCTTAATAGTCCAAGTCTGGGTTATCTGGTCATCCCTGAGCTGTGGTGTGGACACGGTGAATTGCCGAGGACAGGGTGGTGTCACGGGAAAAGGAATGGCTGTACCGTGCAGGCAAAAACATCAGAAGGTACCTGGGTTAGTGTCTAGCACAAAGTTGTAAGTGTTCAAAGAACGGTGGCTATGACACTGTTTATGGTCCCTTCTAGCTCTGAAATGCTATGAGTTGTACAACGCTTTGGTTGATACAAAGCCATCTGTAAACGTTGCCAGTAAGGGAAGCACAGGATAACAATTTGAGTTCACATAAGGTCTAGCCAAAATGCCATACAATGAGCTGAAAGGGTGCCTGAAACCAGGTGCAGTGGCTCACACCTGTAAGCCCAGCACTTTCGGAGGCCAAGGCAGGTGGGTCATCTGAGGTCAGGAGTTCTAGACCAACCTGGCCAACATGGCGAGACCCCATCTCTACTAAAAATACAAAAATCAGCTGGGTGTGGTGGCTTATGCCTGTAATCCCAGCTACTTGGGAGGCTGAGGCACGAGAATAGCTTAAACCTGGGAGGTGGAGGCTGCAGTGAGCCGAGATCGTTCCACCGCACTCCAGCCTGGGCGACAGAGCAAGATTCCGTCTCAAAAAAAAAAAAAAAAAAAAGTAAATGCCTGTGGCCTGCCTCCTTTTCTTTTTTCTTTATTCTTTTTTTTTTTTTTTTTGAGATGGAGTCCTACTCTGTCACCCAGGCTGGAGTGCAGTGGTGCGATCTTGCTCATTGCAACCTCTGCCTCCCGGTTTCAACGTTTCAAGCGATTCTCCTGTCTCAGCCCCCCGAGTAGATGGGATTACAGGCGAGCACCACCATGCCCAGCTAATTTTTTGTATTTTTAGTAGAGACGGGGTTTCACCATGTTGGCCAGGCTAGTCTTGAACTCCTGACCTCAGGAGATCTGCCCACCTTGGCCTCCCAAAGTGCTGGAATTACAGGCGTGAGCCACCATGCATGGCCTGGCCTGCCTCCT
Organism: Homo sapiens; assembly: GCF_000001405.40. NCBI lineage: Eukaryota > Metazoa > Chordata > Mammalia > Primates > Hominidae > Homo > Homo sapiens. The sequence continues at coordinate 67,018,410 of NC_000016.10, read as the reverse complement.
TTAGTAGTGGAGCAGGGGCAGTAGCAGTGCCAGAACCAGGGCATGGCCTGGAAAGGACTTCCTGAGCCTCTGGGGCCTGCTACATCCATAGCTCTTTCAAAAGATCCTGCTTCTATCAGCACTAAATCATCTGGCTGGACCTGGGACTGGACCTGCCCTGGGAGCTGAAGGGAGCCATGCATAGCTAGAGCAGAAGTGCGGGCTCCAAAGCCTGACCAATGTGGATGCTTTAGGTTAGGTGGTGATCGTGATCAACCAATCAGAGCATTCTCTGAGGCACGTGTGTAGTGTGAGTGTGCCTGTGGGTACCAAGCCCAGAGGAGGCAGTCATGAAGCTCAGGTTACATTCAGGCCTCATTCAGACTGTAAACCATGGAAATGGTGCCCCCTGGAGGTGTGTGCTGCAACAGCTATTCTGTCGGCCATACCTGGATGCTGGCAGGTGGGGCTGCTACCAGAATAATGGGTTCAACATTCAGGCTGCCTCCCTGCTTCTCACGTGAGACCTCCCACTACCAATGATTGTTTGGGTATAGTTGCATCCTCACTCTTCAGAAAAATATTCTTGTCTCAGATATACTGAGTATTGTGGATATATTGGTCGCCTAGAGGCCAGGCAGGTTAGGATTTCTCCTGGCAGGGAGTATCAGAGAAGCCAGTTGAGTGTCTGAGATCACACAGCAGAGGGAAGAGTTACATTAAAACCCAAGACCCCCTACTCATCAGCAGCCTTTCCTAGCACTGCAGAATCCTGTGATTTGGGAGCAGCAAATCCATGGTGGCACCCCTGCCAGGTGCTGAGAGGCCCAGCAACAGGCCCAAGGATGTGGGGTCTCTAGAAGGCCCCGGAAGCTACCAGCCCTTCCCCCAGGTCAGAGGAGCTGCCTCTTTGGCAAGAGACGTGAATCGGCCACAGGCGCCTCCTCCAGCTTTTGATGAATTTTCCTGCCACTGGTGCTAATTTCCTGAAAGGCCTTTTCTTTCACCTTCAGGCTCCCCCTCAAAAGGGTTCTTGCTCTTTGTCGGCGGGGGATCCATGATGATCACCCAGCAGCTACTTGGTGAGGTCACCAATGTGCTCTGCCAGCAGCTCCTGTGGCTGAAAGGGCTTGGAGTGGACAGGGGTCCTGGACCATGGCTACAGGGGGCTGAGGCCAGAGTCCTGTCCTAAAACAGGGACTGTTCCCAAAGAAAGTCTGGCCCAGGGAGGCAAGTGGTCTGCCTGAGGACACACAAAAGAACAGGCCCAGACAGGAACACACATCTCCCTAAATTCTGACTAAAAGGCGTGGTGAACCCTGCTCTGTCGGCCATGTGATCTCAGCCTCTGAGTTCTTTCTGGGCTCATCTGGGCCCTCCTCCCCTACCTACTGGCTTCCCAAACAGACCCAAGCCTAACCCCTCATGGCAGTGGAGTCATCATTGCACAGACGGCTGGTGGTGGGAGTTGAGAGTGCTGTCTTAACAAGCTTTCTGTGGGGTGGGAGGTCTGTTTGTGCCTCCACCCTGGACTGGACACCTCTTGGGGCTTTTCCTGGGCCCAGTGGGTAGATGCCAAGGTCTCCCAGGTCTGGGGAGGGGCCATGTGAGTTCCCAGACCTGGCTGGGTGGGAGTGTGCTAGGCCAGAGTACACCAGGGGCCATCCTGTGAGTGGGGGAGGTGAGTGATCAGAGCTGACCTCCTGCCTTGGCCTAAAGTTCCTTGGAAAAACAGTACACCTGCCCTTATGTGTCACTAGGTCCTAACCATCTACTTTGGGAACTTGCTTGCTCGATTCCACGAAGGACCCACTGTCTAGTTCTCTGCCACCATCCCCTGGTCTGCCCACTTCCACTCTCTCTTCCTCCAGTGTCTCTGTACTAGGTAACCTCAAAGACCCTCCTGGAAGGTGAATCTGACCAAGACATGCCCCTCCCATGGCTCCCTAGTGCCTCAGCATAGAGTCCATGCTCCCTCCCAGCTTACAGGCCTGGTGCTCCAGTTCTGGGCCATTTCCTCTTTCAGTCTTTCTGTGGGGGCCATGCTGACTGACATAGAGCTGCTGGGACTGAACAAGCCAATTCCTGCCTCCAGGCCTTTGCTCCTGCTGTGCCCTCTGGCTGAGACAGCTTCCCCTCCACTCCCACCTTCACTCCCTCCACTATTCCCTATAGGTCCTTTCAAAGGCTCCTCCAGGAAGCCCTCCCTTTCCATCAGCCTCCCACCCCAAGGTGTCTCAGTGGTCAGACAACTGTGATGAAAAACAGATCCCTGCCCATGGCTACCTTCTGAGTGTCCAGGCATGCCCCCTCTCTTGTCTGAACTGCCCCAGCACTGCCCTGGCTCTCTTTCCATTTGTCTGTCTGGCTGTGTGTCCACCAGCTTCTGCCTCTTTCGTCCATCCCTGACTTTTTTTTTTTTTTTTTTGATAGGGTCTCACTCTGTCGCCCAGGCTGGAGTGCAGTGGCACAATCTTGGCAACCTCCGCCTCCCAGGCTCAAGCGATTCTTGTGCCTCAGCCTCCTGAGTAGCTGGGATTACAGGTGTGTGCCACCACACCTGGCTAATTTTTATATTTTTAGTAGAGACAGGGTTTTACCATGTTGGCCAGGCTGGTCCAGAACTCCTGACCTCAGGTGATCTGCCTGCCTCGGCCTCCTAAAGTGCTGGGACTACAGGCATGAGCCACCATGCCTGGCCTTTTAAAAAATCTTGTCTCACTGCAACTTCTGCCTGCCAGGCTCAAGCCATCCTCCCACCTCAGCTTCCCAAGTAGCTGAGACTGCATGGGCATGCCACCATGCCTGGCTAATTTTTGCATTTTTCGTAGAGATGGGGTTTTGCCATGTTGTTCAGGCTGGTCTCGAACTCCTGGGCTTAAGCCATCTGCCCGCCACAGCCTCCCAAAGTGCGGCGATTACAGGTGTGAGCCACCGCGCCCAGCCAACCCCCTGACTTTCTTGGCTGATTGTTCCATCGTCTCTTACACCTGTCTCTGTCCCTTTCCTCATTCTTTAATGCAGCCGCACCTCATTCCACTGGACTCAAGGTGGTGTCATTGTCCCTATGTTCCTTCATTGTTGCTATGTTCCTTCATTGTTCAGTCTGCATCCCCCAATTTCTGACAGGGGCTCTCTCCCTCTCCACACAGTTAATGACCTTGGTGGAAAGAAGCAATTCTGGTTCTTTAAGAGACATGGTCCACACTTTCCCAAAGAAAGTGGCTCAACAAGACCTGAGTAAAGTTCCAGAGCACGCAGCAGGCTCCCAGCCCTCCAGACCTGAGGGAGCAGAGGAAGAACACACAGAAAAGGCCACTGCATCCAGGACTGGTCCAGCCTCAGCCCTTCCACCCCAGTCCCTTGTGGCACTCATGGGGAAACAGCAGGATCTCTTTGGTCGACCTCACTTGTGGACCTTCCTACTGAACCCTCTCCCACTTCTTGTTTCAGAAACTTCAGCCTCCTGCAGAGGATGTACTGGGCTCAGGCCCACTTTATCCCTTACTCCTGGGCCCCAGTGTGACCAGTTTCAGCTGGAAGGGGGTTCTTTGGGGGAAGGGAAAGCCTTGACGGGTGGCATCTGTCCCCTACAACTCCCTCTTCCAGCGCCCCCCTCCTTTTTTTTTCACCCGATGCCTCCCTCCCTGGACCTCGGGGCTTTCTTTAGCTTGGGGTCCTAGCCAAGCTCCTGGATCTTCTGCCCATGCAGCCTGCAGGCTCCTGGAGGGTAGGACCCATCCCTCTTGGGTCTCCCAAAGCCTCTAGGTGGGTAAGTCAGGTTGTGCAGGGGAGGGACCCAGGGGAGGAAGTTCATGCATTCACTGTCAGTAATGAGTGCTTGTGTCCCTGTGCTGCCCACCCCGTATCCTGCCTACGTGCCTGTCGCGGGGCACGATCCAGCACCGGCCGTGGGTTTCCAAAGCCTGGCTCTGCCGTAACCACCAGTGGGGAACTGCTCCAGCTCGGCCAGCCCAGAACCGGGCCTTGGAGGGCCGGAAGAAGCAAGGAGGGCCATGAGAAGGCAAGAAGGCTTGGGCCGGGCCGCCCCCGCCTGGAGACTGCTGGCGGGCGCCAAAGCGCAGGCTGTCGGGGGCGCGGAAGCCCTCTCAGTGGAGCGCAGCCCACTAGCCCCCACCACCCAGCGGAGGCGAGATTCAGCTCCCGGCGCCCGCACGTCCGCCCCGGCTCTGGGCTGGCGCCAGGCGGCTGGATCCGTGACTGCAGTTGGCGGGAGGCCGGACGGCGCGTCCCCCGGGACTCCCAGGCAGCCAGCGCTGTCGGCCCGGCAGGGAGGGCTGTGGCAGGCGGGCGAGCGGCGGGAGGCTGGGGGCCCGCGGCGGAGGCAGCGCTGCGTGGGCTGCGGTCAGCAGGGGCCCCGCAGAGGGGCCGCGTCTCCTGCGCTAATTGGCCCTTTCCCAGCCGCCTGGGCGGGTAATTGCTGCTTCGCGGGTGGAAGGTGGGGGCGTGGCGAGGGAGAAGCTGGGGCGCTGCATCCGGAGCCAGGAGCCAGGCTCAGCCCCAGGTGGGCGGCCCGGCCCGGCCCGGCTGGCAGGGGGCTCCTGTGTGCACTATGCCTGCATGAGCTTAGCGCCCGCACTCTTTCGTACCCGCGGTGGCGCGGGCGGGTGGATGAAACCCGGCGGTGGGGAGGGCGGCTGGGGCAAGACTCAGAAGTGTCCTCGGGCTTTCACCAAGATCCAGTCTGTTCTGCGCACCGATCCACGCGGGATGGGGCCTGGCAGCAGCTTCAGGAGAGACTCCAAGTGGCCGTGGGAGGACCTGAGTGGGGGCAGGAAGACAAGGTGGGACGATGGGGCAGTAGTAGGTAGCCCTCCCGCCTCTGTCATCCAGCAATGTAACCCAGGGAGGAGCTGACGAGAAGAGGGACACCTTCCTGGGTGTATGGGGAGGGTGTGGAGCCGGGGCTGTGGAAGGCAGGGGCCAACCCAGCATTCAGGCTGCCCACTGGGGTTCTCCCAGGCTTGGATTCCTATGGAGGATCCTAGGGTTTCCTCAGAGCCCTTTATGATTGTCGCATCTGCCACAGCCAGCTTGGACCCGACTAAGCCCTGGCTCCTGCTCAGCTGCACTTCCTCCAGTTGGGGGAGGAGGGCCCTGGGCAGGTGGCCATTAGAGGCAGCTGCCCTCCCCACAGACCCATGTGAGAAAGCATGAGGAGGGGCGTTCAAGAAAAATCATTCATGGTCCTTATTAAAGCTCAGTAAAGCAGACTTTATTCAGGAGCATCGAAATAGGCATAGGGGCCGAGCAGTTAGCTTGTGCCTGTAATTCCAGCACTTATGGAGGCCAAGGCGGTAGAGAGGGTCTCACTCTGTCACCCAGGCTGGAGTGCAGTGGTGTGATGATCATAGCTCACTGAAGCCTCGGCCTTCTGGGCTCAAGCGATTCTCCCACCTCAGCCTCTTGAGTAGCTGGGACTACAGGCATGTGCCACCATACCTGGCTAATTTTTTTAATTAATATTTTTTGTAGGGATGGGGTCTTGCAGTGTTGCCCAGGTTGGTCTCAAACTCCTGGGCTCAAGCAGTCCTCTTGCCTCAGCCTCCCAAAGTGCTGGGATTACAGGTATGAGCCACCGTGTCAGGCCCAAAAATTAAAAAAAAATTAGCCAAGGCTGGTGGTGGCTGTCTGTGGTCCCAGCTATTTGGGAGGCTGACGTGAGAGGATTGCTTGAGCCCAGGAGTTTGAGGCTGCAGTGAGCTGTGATGGCACCACTGCACTTCAGCCTGGGCAACAGAGGAGACCCTGTTTCCAAAAAAAAAAAAAAAAAAAAGAAAAAAGAAATAAAAAGAAATAGGCATAGGGACTGCCACAGTGGGGTTTTGCAGTCAGGCAGCTGGGGACAGAGATTGGGCTCAACTCTGAATACAGCATGGACAAGTGAGAATTTATAGCCAAGGAGCAAGGTGGGGTCAGTGGATGGAAAATTACTAAGATGAAATATCAGAGATAAAGGGGGGAATTGTGGCTAAGCCCATCCAATAGGATTCTTGTTGCAGGCAGGCCAGGGTGACCAGACATCACCTTGGGGATAATAGAGGCTAAAGAACTTTTATTTTTTATATTTTTGAGGCAGAGTCTTGCTCTGTCACCCAGGCTGGAGTGCAGTGGCACGATTTCAGCTCACTGCAACCTCCACCTCCTGAGTTCAAGTGATTCTTCTGCCTCAGCCTCTCAAGTAGCTGTGATTACAGGCGCCCACCACCACATCCGGCTAATTTTTGTATTTTTAGTAGAATGGGGTTTCACCATGTTGGCCAGGCTGGTCTCGAACTTCCGAGCTCAAGTGGTCTGCGTGCCTCTGCCTCCCAAAGTGCTGGGATTACAGGCCTGAGCCACCGTGCCTGGCCGAGGCTAAGGAACTTAATTAGATTATGGAAGATGATCAGATATCGAAGGTGGGGGGCTCTGGTTAAACTGACTTAGAAGGAATCTTGCTAAAAAGTCAGGCCTAGCTGAAAAAGTTCAGGAAAGTCTGAGTAGAGTTTGGTCAAGGAGAGAATCTTTGTCAGGGGAGAAATCAGGGGGAACCATCAGAGGCAGGCCTGGGCTAGCTCCTGGGCTGTGCCAGCAGGCCCCAGGGTGAGTAGCCGAGGACCTCCAGGTCAGGATGTCCCTTGTGGACACTGGAGTGAAATCAGGCTCAGTTGGAACTGAGCTCCTGCTGAGTTCTGCACTGGCTGCCCCTGGACCACCTTCCGGGGGCTGAACTAGCAGCCCTCACTCTGGCTCCTTACTGATGAATGGCTGTTTGGTTGCCTGGGACATCCTCCGGCTATGCTTCCTGAGACCAGAGCTGCCACATCTCTGGTGGTAGCCACCCTTCTCAGGGATTGCTCCAGGTCTGGATGGAGGTGGCAGGATGCCTCAGACAGGCCTGGATCCAACTCCTGCTCTGCCTCCACCAGCTCAGGCCCTTGGGCAAGGCTTTTTAATGTCTCAATGCCTCAGTTTCTTCATCTGTAAAATGGGGATAATAAGATCCACAGTTGTTGTGAGGATTAATGTTTGCTTGGGAGGGGCTTCCGCCCTCCTCCACCATCCCTTTGCTTTGGGGGTTAGATCCTGGGGTATGGGGAATTAGATGTGCCTCATCCCACAGATCTGTGCAGCTTCCATTTGCCCCAGAGACTCAGGAACCTCTGGGAATAAAGGGCCTAATCAACACTAGTTTGGGACAAAAATACTGTGGGACACTATGCCAGTGTTCATAGCAGCATTATTCACAATAGCCTAAAGGTGGAAAGAACCCAAATGCCCATCACTGGATGGATGGATAAACAAAATGTGTTATATACTTGCGATGGAATATTATCCAGCCTTAAAATGGAAGGAAATTCTGATAGATGCTACAGCATGGATGAAACTTGAAGACATCATGTGAAGTGAAATAAGCCAGACACAAAAGGACAAATACTGCATTACTGTACTTATATCAGGCACCTGGAAGAGTCAAGTTCATAGAGACAGAAAGCAGAATAGGGGTTACCGGGGGCTAGGAAGAGGGGGTAACAGCAAGTCATTGTTGAATGGGTACAGAGTTTCAGTTTAAATGATGAAAAAGTTCTAAAGACAGAATAGTGGTGATGGTTGTGCAATGATGTGAATGTACTTAATGATATTGAACTGTACATTTAAAAATAGTTAAAATGGGCTGGGCGCGGTAGCTCACGCCTGTAATCCCAGCACTTTGGGAGGCCGAGGTGGGTGGATCACGAGGTCAGGAGATCGAGACCGTCCTCGCTAACATGGTGAAACCCCGTCTACTAAAAGTACAAAAAAAAAAACATTAGCTGGGTGTTGTGGCGGGCACCTGTGGTCCCAGCTATTCGAGAGGCTGAGGCAGGAGAATGGCGTGAACCCGGGAGGCAGAGATCACAGTGAGCCGAGAACGTGCCACTGCACTCCAGCCTGGGCGACAGAGCGAGACTCCATCTCAAAAAAAAAAAAAAAAAAAAAACCACAAAAAACAAAACAAAAAACAAAAATAGTTAAAATGGTAAAATTTGTCGTGTGTATTTTACCACCAAAAAGCCCACAGTGGCCAGGCATGGTGGCTCATGCCTGTAATTCCAGCACTTCAGCAGGCTGAGACGGGTGGATTACCTGAGGTCAGGAGTTTGAGACCAGCCTGGCTGACATGATGAAACCCTATCTCTACTAAAAATACAAAAATAAGCCGGGCATGGTGGTGGGCATCTGTAATCTCAGCTACTTGGGAGGCTGAGGCAGGAGAATCGCTTGAACTCGGGAGACTGAGGCTGCAGTGAGCTGAGATTTCATCATTGCACTCCAGCCTGGGTGACAAGAGCAAAACTCCGTCTCAAAAAAAAAAAAAAAAACCCCACAAAACAACGAAACAAAACTGTGGGACAGGCTGGGATACACACGGGCTGCAGGAGAGGCCAGAGGAATCTAGATGTGGCACTAAGACCTAAACTGATGGACAAGTGAGCGTGGGGTGTGGCTGTCCTGAGGGGTGCACTTGAGACCATGAAGGCAAAAGGCAAGTGTTTTGTACCCCAGGCAACTTTGCAGTAGCACCCTTTGACTGAGTGTAGCATCCAGGCACAGCCCACTAAGGAACAGGCAGCAATACTTCCTTTCTCTCAGGGCTCAAATTGAGACATCATTCACTTCACACACCCATTTTATAGGTGGAGAAATTCAGGTCTAATCAACACTTCTTTATTGAAGAGACCACCCCTGTGTATAGACTTTGGAGTGGCCCTGGGGGAGATAAGTGTGGGTGGGAGAGAAGATCCCAAACTACCAAAAGTTTGCTCCATGTCACAACCTGCCCTAGGCCTCCAGGCCAATGTGAACAGACAGGCACAAGGTTGAGCAGGATGGATGGTAAATGCCAAGCTGGGTGCAGTGACAGGGGCAGTGGCAGTCTGGGTCGACCTCCCATAAGAAGGAGTCACAAGGAGACATTGAAGGGTGGGAGGATTTGAAGAAGGGAAAAAAAGAGGTTGTCCTGAGGCTGGAGAGCTGAGCACAGTGTGGTGTTGACAGGGCCTGGCCTAACTGGATGTCAACAGTGAAGTAGAGGGGCATCATGGGATGTCAGGCTGGAAAGGGCAGTGCAGGTCCCACACAACAGGCAAAAGCTCTAGCTTTGGCCTGGAGGCAGCAGGGAGCTCCTGCAGTTCTAAACTGGGGTGGGTAGAACTCTTGTCCCCAGGTATGTCCATGGCTAGTCTCCCCAGGGCCTGGATGGTGGGGGCAAACCCCTCTTTGGCTCCTTCCTGCATAGCCACCCTTAGAATTGCCTCTGCTTCTCAGGTCTTTGAGACTGGTACAGACTCATCCAAAAAGCCATCTTCTTCTCCTTGAGCTTCATGCCCACTCTTGTGGTAAAATCCAGCTGCAGGTACTTTTCATCCTTGTTGTAGCGTGGCCAGCAGGGCAGATTCCCATCATTGGGGTTTCTGCCCAGAAATAAAAAAGAGAGGATTACCTGTGTTCCTTTTCATCCTGCTTCTTTCTTTCACCCTTCCCTCGTTTAATTTGCCCTTGGGACTTGGGGTTCCAGAGGGCTTTACGGAGATGATACTTAGAACTTTAATAAAGAGTAGGAAAGTGTGTATTGGGGTGGGCCTTCCAGGCAGAGCAAACAGTATGTGCCAGGTTGAGAGATATAAAAGACCAAGGCTTTTGGAGGAAGCACAAGTCAAGAGTTAGGTAAAAACAGAGTGTGTGTGTGGCCAGGCCTGGTGGCTCATGCCTGTAATCCCAGCACTTTGGGAGGCTGAGGTGGGCGGATCACGAGGTCAGGAGATCGAGACCATCCTGGCTAACATGGTGAAACCCTGTCTCTACTAAATATACAAAAAAAAAGCCGGGCGAGGTGGCGGGTGCCTGTAGTCCCAGCTACTCGGGAGGCTGAGGCAGGAGAATAGCATGAACCTGGGAGGTGGAGATTGCAGTGAGCCGAGATCGCGCCACTGCACTCCAGCCTGGGTGACAGAGCGAGACTGTCTCAAAAACAAACACAAAAACAAAAAAAAAAGAGAGTGTGTGAAAGGGATCAAAGTGGAAAGGAGATGACATAGGAAAGATTTTGAAAGGCCTTTCACGCAAGGTTGAGGAGCTGGGACTTTATCTTGGAGGCAGAGAGAAGCCATGAAGAGTTTTAAACAGGAGAGTGACTTGGTCAGATGTTATTTCAGAAAGACCCCTTGGGCTGGGTATGGTGGCTAACACCTGTAAGACCAACACTTTGGGAGGCATAGGTGAGAAAATTGCTTGAGCCCGGGAGTTGGAGACCAGTCTGGGCAAAATAGCAAGACTTCATCTCTACAAAAAATACAAAAATTAGGCTAGGCGTGGTGGCTCACACCTGTAATCCCAGCACTTTGGGAGCCCGAGGCGGGCAGATCACAAGGTCAGGAGATCGAGACCATCCTGGCTAACATGGTGAAACCTCGTCTCTACTAAAGATACAAAAAAATTAGCCAGGCATGGTGGCAGGCACCTGTAGTCCCAGCTACTCGGTAGGCTGAGGCAGGAGAATGGCATAAACCCGGGAAGCAGAGCTTGCAGTGAGCTGAGATTGCACCACTGCTCTCCAGCCTGGGTGACAGAGCGAGACTCTGTCTCAAAAAAAAAAAAAAATTAGACGGGCATGGTGGTATGTGTCTGTAGTCCCAGCTACTTGGGAGGCTGAAGTGAGAGGACTGCTTGAGCCTGGGAGGTCAAGGCTGCAGTGAGCTGTGATTGCACCACTACACTCTAGCCTGGGCAGCAGAGTGAGACCATGTCTCAAAAAAATTTAAAAAAAAAAAGAAGAAGAAAGACACTTTGAGTGTCATAAGGAGGATGATTTGAAAGGAGAGAGGCCAGGCGCAGTGACTCATGCCTGTAATCCCAGCACTTTCAGAGGCCGAGGTGGGTGGATAGCTTGAGGTTAGGAATTCAAGACCAGCCTGGCCAACGTGAAACCCCACCTCTACAAAAATACAAAAATTAGCCAGGCGTGGTGGCCTGTAATCCCAACTCCTCAGGAGGCCGAGGTGGGAGAATCGCTTGAACCTGGGAGGCGGAGATTGCAGTGAGCTGGGATTGCGCCACTGCACTCCAGTCTGGGTGACAGAGCGAGACTTTAAGAAAATAGTCACAAGGCTAGCCAAAGCTCTCTTTACATGTCACCTGCCCCCTAGGCTGGGCCAGACACCTCCTCTATGCTCTCAAAGTGCCTTGTGCTCCCCCAGTACAGCTCTCAGCGTACCAGATTGTAATTTCCTGATTTTATGTGGTGAGCTGCTGGAGGATGGGGCTCATGTCTGCAACATCCTTGAATTCCAGCTCCCAGTACTGGGGCTGGGCCCAAAAGAGTGCAGTGGTGAATGACTGTGGAATGCTTGAGTGAATGAAGAGTGTGGGTCATGGATCAAGAAGGACACATTCTAGAGACGTTTAGGATCCGGTGACTGACTGAGGAAAGCTGAAGAAGAAGGGGCACCCTGTTTGGGCCGACTGGGCAGTTCCTGTAGGACATGCTGGGGCAAATATCCGAAGCAGCTGGCTTCTTCAGGTCCAGCACTGGGCAGGTAGAATGCCCAGATGTGCTGGGGGGCAGACTCACCCTGTGCGGGCAAAGTTGGCCCAGTATTTCATCATCTGGAGGCTAAGTGCCTTCTCCTTACCCATGGAAAGGCCTGGGGGCAGAATGGGATGTGGGATTTCGGACAGAGCAGGGGACACTGACCTCCCACCCTACTCCTGCTGCTTCTGCTGCTTCCGGAGCAGAAGACTTTCATTTGGGAGAGCATAACAGATTAGGAACTGGTGAGCTCCCTGTGGCCAGCCAATGGAGGGGTGGGTCTGCATCCAGAGGTGGGAGACTGGACACCCAGTTGGGGTATCAGGTGGGACCTTTGCACCTGTGGCGAAGGGGCCCCCAAAGAGGAAGTACATCTCATCCCCATGGTCTGCCCCATCAGTGCGGGGTTTGACGATTATTCCACGAGCGTGGTGCTCAAATTCATACAGGTAGACAGGGAGGCCGGCATCTGTGAATAGGGAAACTGAGGAGGGATGCAGGAAAAGCCTCTGCCTAGGCTTCTCATCCACCCCATGCCTCCCACTCACCTGCACCAAGCAGGAAAAAGAGCTTTGGCTTCAGAATCAAGGGGGCAGACTTGAATCCTGTCTGCACTACTCATTCACTGTGTGACCTAAAGCAAGTTGCTCTACCTTTCTGAATTGTATCAATAATTCCTTATCTTCAGACTGAGAATACTAAAACCTAATTCACAGGATTGTGGCCAGGATCATGGAAGCCTTCCTTTTCCCTGTTCTGAACCTTCCTTTCTTGGCCTCATATTGAAGGGTCTTTGGTGTCTGCATTTTCCAGCCCCCCCCCCTTTAACCTGTTACCCACATGTTCCCCTAGCCCCAGTCAGCCTGAACTTTCAAGGTGCCCCTAAGCCTGTCCTCTCAGCCAGGAAGCCTTCCCTGACCACCCCAGGCTTCTCCTCTGGACTGTTTGAGGTCCTGCCCTTGTTCCTAAGGAAGAACAGTTCCTCTCTTATACTTTTTTTGTTTTTTTTTTGAGATGGAGTCTCGCTCTGTTGCCCAGGCTGGAGTGCAGTGGTGTGATGTCGGCTCACTGCAACCTCCCCCTCCCAGGTTCAAGCGATTCTCCTGCGTCAGCCTACTGAGTAGCTGGGACTATAGGCATGCGCCACTACAGCTGGCTAATTTTTTTGTACTTTTAGTAGAGATGGGTTTTCACCATGTTGGTGAGGCTGGTCTAGAACTCCTGGCCTCAAATGATCCACCCACTTCGGCTTCCCAAAGTGCTGGGATTACAGGTGTGAGCCACCGTGCCTGGCCCCTTCCTCTCTTGTAGTTGATAGCATGCTGCCTCCTCTGTGATATCTTAGAATCCTATACTAGCCCAGAAGTACAGAGAGGGTAGGGGAGCAGTCGATAAGCCCAGTTGGTAAACAGCACACCTGGAGAGTGGACGGGGCCAGTGTGGCCACTCTTGGGGACCCTGCATACCTCGGTGGTAGTGAGCAGTCTGCAGTGTGGCATACACGAAAGTGGCATCTTGAACTATGTCCATCATACGGTTTCGTAGCATCTTCCAGTCATGCTCATTGACATTGTCCAGGTACTCCTCCACCACAAGTGGTACCTGCTCCTTGGTGATATTCTGAGTGAGGAGGCCACACTTACCTGAGGCCTGGGTGCCAGCTGGGCCAGAGGTGGGCCCACCAGTGACTTGGATCCATGCTCAGCCCCCCAGGAGTTTTTGGCCTGGGAGGGGGAGAAAGGGAGCTTCCTGGGAAAGTTTCTGTCTCTGCTGATTGTAACCCCTGATTTTGCTGCATAACTGCCCCTGTGACCCTGAGCACCTTACCTGTAAGCAGTCATCTGATCCCACAGCAAACCCCAGACCCTCCAAGAAAGATCCTTACCCTGGCTGGGAGCCCCTTTGCAAAGAGCAGCTACTAGGTTAAAAAAAACAGGGGGGTCAACCCTGTCCGAACTGAGCACCCCTGCCAGCTGGGTCCCTCACCAACAGGGTGCGGGTACTCCAGAGCATCTTAGTGATGGTTTCCTTTCTCATCGCCTGCCGGTTTAGCGGGAACTTCATGATCTGTTCACAAGACAAGGACCCCAGTGTGGGTCAGGCCTGAGCATTAGGAGGGATTCTGGCCAGAGCTACAAAGGCCCCAAAGGTCTTGCCCATCTAATGATGAGTTATCAGACACAGCACACAGCCCAGGAAGGGCCCATGACTCTCTCTTGTCCCCCTGCTCCCATCCTGCTCATCACTACCACCTGGGCCAGAGCTGAAGTGGTACTGAGTGGGGGTCCATCCTGAGTTGGGGCATCTACCCTGACCCAGGAGCAAGGGAGGGCTTCAGGATTTGCAGTTGCCTAGAGGCTTGGGAATGAACATCATAACCCATCTAAACTATGATCTGAGAATTTGTGGTCCTCAAATCTCCAGCAGGCCATACTTCTCCCTTCTTCCCCTCCATCATTCATGGCCAGTTTTCACTGTACAGGGACTACAGGAGGCTCCCAAACATAGGGCATCCACAGAGGGGCTACTGGCATCTGACCTGGTGCCCAGCACCGTCCAAGAGGCATCCTTCCCTGCCTCCACTATGGTACTCACTTACGTAAGGCAAGAGCCAATTGAACTCCTACTCACTTACATAAGGCAAGAGCCAATTGAATTCCAGGTTGTTGACACCTAGAAGGTAGGGCACAGATGAAACCTTCCCCTGGGTCAGGAGCACCAAAGGGTCATCTGGGATCACCACACCATCCACCACAGGGCTCATGGACCAGATAATCTACAAGGCAAAGGGCATTTCCAGCCAGTCTCCTCAAGTATCCTCCCAGGGTCCCTGCAACCTTGGGTGCCCCTTCAGAGGCTGCTCTAGCCTAGGTTCTTTGATTGGGAAAAGGCTGGGGCTGGCATGGTGAGCCCCAGGAGGATGGGTGTGGGAGGGGAGCAGGATAGGCAGGACCAAATTACGTGGACTTGGGATGGCCGCGGGTATCTGTATAGCTCACTCCTTCACCTCTTGAAAATCTTTGCTAAATTTCACTTCACTGAGTCCTGTTCTAGCCATTCTATTTAAAAGTCCATACCTCCCAAAATGTCCAACCCCTTTACCCTCTCCATTCCTTGCTATTCACCTATCACCTTCTAAGGAGGTGGATAATATATTTATTTATAGGGTTTATTCTCCTTCCCCACTGGAACATCAGCTCCACTAGGGAAGGGATCTTGGCCTGAACAATTCCCTAAGTATCCCAAGTGCCTGGCACAAAGTAGGTGTTAAATAAATACTCAAATTGCAGAATGTGGCCTGTTTACCTCTTCCGGGTCTCTCTGGAAGTTCAGTTGGAGGAATCTCTATGGGGGAGAGGAAGGGATCAGAGTTAAAGGAAGTCTCCCTCGTGTGCTCTTGAGACAGGGTCCCTGGGGAAGTAGTTGGGGGTGGCTGGGTACCAGGATAGGAGGATGGCCCTCAGGCAGCCAGGTCAGGCAGCTGGAATGTTCTACCTACCATCTTGTTGGACACACGCATCACCTTGGTCCCTGATAGTGCCCTCAGGCAGTTTACCAGGATCTGTGTGCTGTTGTGGTTGCATCCAGCCAGGTGGGCAACCTTCTATAGAGAGAAGAAAGGATGCTCAGTGGTGCTTCCATCCTGCCCTTCCATGCTGAGCCCTGGGGAAGGAGAGGCACTCACCTTGGCCACTTTCAGTGGGTTACTAGTGATGAAAAGTCTGAATAACGCGGTGCCACTCTGGGAAATGGCCCGATGGAAGAGACCCGAGGCTAGGGGTGACATCATCTGCAAGAACAGGGAGGAATACACCCGTGAGATGCCCAAGTAGAGACACCTGGGCTGTTCTGGGCATCTGTCTGGCCATGGGCAGGCAGCCTGAGTGAAGCCAGGAAGGGCAAGTAGCTGGGAGGGAGTCAGGAGTCCTGGGGTGATGTCCTAGACCTAAAGCCAGTGGTATTCCTGCCTCTGGTCTGTACAGTGGGCCCCAGTGGGTTCCAGAGGGGATGTGAGATTGGGGGAGGGAATCTGCTGGTGTGGAAAAGTGGTCTCCCTCTACTTTAGGGCTAGAAATGAGGGGTAGGTGGAAGGGACCTCATGGTTTCCCCAGGTTGTTACCTGTGCTGACAGCTGTTAGCCTCTCTCCACTGCCCAAGTTGGGGGAACAAGTACATCTAGGGCCTCCCATCCTGTCCCTTGGATACCTCAGACTTCATATGCCCCAAACCTGCTCCAGCCAATCCCTGTCTGGGTGGCATTCCTTACCCCATACCATCCCCCAGCCCCAGGGGCCTTCCCTATCTCTGCTAATGACCACACCCCAGCTGCCCTAGTCCTGCCCATTTGGCCTCCTGGATCACTCTGAGCCATCCTCTGCTCTCCATCTTTCCTGCCCCTGCTTTAGAGCCAGCCCCATGATCTCTCCTAGGATATATCCTATCCCCATCCCTGCCCCTCCCAGTAGCTCTCCGAGTCTCTGCTCCTGTTTCTTGCCAACCCAGTCCCATGCAGCAGGCTGAGCCATCTCTCTAAATGCACATCTGATCATGTCACTTTGCTGCTTACAATCTTTCCCTGCTTTGGAGAATCGCTTGAACCCGGGAGGCGGAGGTAATGGTGAGCTGAGATCACGCCATTGCACTCCAGCCTGGGCAACAAGAGCGAAACTCCGTCTCAAAAAAAAAAATTTTTTTTTCCTCTGCTTTTTAGTGAATTTTGGATAAAGTTGCTTAATTCTCTGGGCCTTCGTTTCTTTATCTGTAGAATGGAGACAACAGTACTTTTCTTTTTGGACTATTGAAGGAATTACATGGATGACGACACATAAGGTGCTTAGAAGAATGCCTGGCACACAGGAAGTGCTCAGCTGTTGAGTATTATTATGACTGTGGCCAGCAATGTCCTGTGTGATGTGTTCACTTCCCAGCCATATGCCCCTCACAGGGCACCTTACAGTACACCCACATTCCAGGCACATCCCAGGTCAGCAGTCACACAGGAGTCAGGGGCAAAGCCCGTCAACTCATGCCCCTGGCTTGCAGGCCTGGTGTGAGGTCCTAGCCTTGCCCAGGGGGCAGATGGTGGGCTCTGTTCAGGGGATAGAGTTCTGGGGGAATGTGGAGAGGCAGAAGGTGCTGGGTAGCACCTGGATTCACTGATTACCCCAAGCCTCAGCACTACCCTTCCTGGGGCTCAGTTTTCTCATCAGTGCTATCCCTCAACAGAGGAGACATCCTTGGCTATGAGGGGCTGTACCCTTGGCAGGGGCGAGAGCATTTCTGTGGCAGGCACGTTCCTGTACACGCAAATCTGCACATGGCCTGTGCAGTGGAGCATACATTTGTGGGAACGCAGGAGCCTAAGTCTGTGCTCGGTCCGTCTGGGCATTGCTCTCACCAGTCCTGAGATGCTCATGGCCCCCGCCGACTGGCCGAACAGGGTCACATTTCCTGGGTCTCCCCCGAAGGCTGCGATGTTCTCCTGCACCCAGCGCAGAGCCGCCATCTGGTCCAGCAGCCCCCAGTTCCCGCGCGCGTGGCTGTCGTCCGTGCTGGGCGTGTGGGGTTCACTGTCAGGGTCCCGGGCCTCGACAGTCGGGGCGCGTTGGGCTGCCCTCCTGGGCTTCCCCCACCCAGCCCAGCCTTGCCCCTCTAAGACCCAGTCCTGCGACCACACCCCCTTCCTTGGAGTTAGCTCGCCCCATCCAGATGGTATGGAGCGCCCGCCCCTTCCACCGAGCGCCAGGCCCCGCCCCCGCCTCGCGGCCCCACCCCCCCCATCCCCGCCCCAGGCCCCGCCCCTCCCTTCCCACCCAGTCCCCGCCGCTCTGGCCACAGCTGCGGTCCCAAAGGGTACCGGCCCCGCCACCTCAGGAAGCCGAAGATGCCGAGCCTGTGCTGCAGAAACACCAGCACCACTTTCTCGCGGGCGGCCAAGTCAGAGCCCTCGTACGAAGAAGCAGCGCCCACGATGAAGGCGCCTCCCGGGAACCAGACCATCACCTGGACGAAGAAGGCCGGGATCTGAGCGGGGCGGTGGGCGGCGGTGGGACCGCGGGCGCGGGAGACCTGGCACTCACTGGCAGCTGGGGATCCCCGGGCGCGCGCGCCGGCGCGTACACGTTCAGGTACAGACAGTCCTCGCTGAAGCGCAGCCACTTGTACCGTTCCCGCGTGCTGACGTACATCGAGGCCAGCTGGCCCCAGGACTCCTGCAGGCACCTGCGGGCACCAGGTAGCGGCGGCGGCCGCGGGGAGATCGTTTCAATCCAGGGTCCGCAGTGAGAAGACGGAACCCAAAGCAAAATCCAGGCAGCGTCTGTGCGCGTGCGTGTGCGTGCGCATGTGCGTGCGTGTGCGTGTACAGGAGGCCTCCGCCAGCCCCGGGGCCCAGGACTGGGAGGCAGGTTGGCCTCTCAGGAACCATCCCCTCCCTGCCCGGCGCCTCAGTCCGTGGAGAGATTCCTGCTCCTGTTGGTGCTGTCAAGGCAGGAACCTGCCTGCCCTGGGCACCTCCCTGTCTTTCATGCCCCACCCTCCCCTCAGTCTCCCTTCTGCCTCCCAAACAGCTCTGGAATATGGTCCCTCCCCTCCATCCCCATCTCTGGGGAGATGTCAAGGCCACCACCGTCTCTGGTCTGGACAGTACCCCAGCCTCTTCACACTCCTCCTACTCCTCGGCCACACTCTGGCGGACTATGTCACTCCTCTTCTTCATATCTTCCCTAATATGTACAACTATGATATATCAATAAAAACAAACAAATCAACAAAAATCTTCCCTGGCTCTCCACTGCCCTCAGGATAAAGTTAAGATACGCGGAGTACCCAGGCCCTCCTTTCCATCCAGTCATCTCTGTCCCAGCCACCCTTTGCTGTAGATACATGTGGCCCCTTGCCTCCCACCTCCAAGCCCGTGGGCCTCAGTCCTCTCAAGCAAATGCCTTCTGCCCTGCCCAGCAAACTCCTATTCGTGTTTAAGGCCCAGCTTAAGTGGTGTCTCCTCTCCTGGTCACTTCCTCTTCTGTGCCTCCCGACATCCTGTCCACTTATTTTTTTGAGACAGAGTCTTGCTCTGTTGCCCAGGCTGGAGTGTAGTGGCACGATCTTGGCTCACTGCTACCTCTGCCTCTAGGTTCAAGCAATTCTCCTACCTCAATCTTGCAAGTAGCTGGGACTACAGGCACGCGCCATCACACCCAGCTAATTTTTGTATTTTTAGTAGAGTCGGGGTTTCACCATGTTGGCCAGGCTGGTCTCGAACTCCTGGCCTTAAGTGATCTGCCCACCTCGGCCTCCCAAAGTGCTGGGATTATAGGCATGAGCCACCATGCCTGGCCTCCTGTCCGCTGTTGACCATGTCCTGGTTGGAGTTATTTCAGTTGGCTGTTTTTCTCCCCAAGTGACCATGCACTTCCCAAAGGCAGGAATAGAGGTAGATTCATCTGAGTACTGGCACCCAGCCCAGTGCCTTATACTGTGTGGATATTTGGGGTATTTTTGTAGCATGGGCTCTCCGGCCACCTCACCTTTTCTCCTTGCTGGCCCAACCCCTAGGTGGCTATTCTCATAACAGCTGGGCCTGGACCATTTGATTGGGCGCAGGACACCCTGTTTGCCTCGCCTGTTCCTCTGCTCCCTTCTGCTCTTGTCCTAGCCTAGCCTGTTCCCAGAGCATCACCTGCTCCCTTTCACCAGTCCTTCCCTACAGCATTCCAACACTCCTTTGGCAGCAGCTAATGTGGTATTAGAATGCTGTCTAGTAAACCACACCTAGCACCTCACCAGGAAAGCCAGGGCTCTGATAGCTGGGAACTGGGATTATGAACAGCCAAGGCTTCTGTGCCCATCCCACCATCAGAGCCATCCTGCCATGGTCACCAGTGACATCCATCTTGCTAAATCTCTGTCATTATCTTACTTGCCCTGACAGCCCTCAACATGGTTGACCATATTATATTCCCCTTTGCTCTATCTCCTCTCTTTTTTTTTTTTGTTTGAGATGGAGTCTCGCTCTGTCGGCCAGGCTGGAGTGCAGTGGCACCATCTTGGCTGACTGCAACCTCTGCCTCCTGGGTTCAGGTGGGAGATATCAGCTCACTGCCTCAGCCTCCTGAGGCACATGCCACGACACCTAGCTAATTTTTGTATTTTTAGAAGAGACGGGGTTTCGCCATGTTGGTCAGGCTGGTCTCGAACTCCTGACCTCGTGATCCACCCGCCTCTTCCTCCCAAAGTGCTGGGATTACAGGCATGAGCCACGGTGCCCAGCCTCCTCTCTTTCTTTAGAGACAGGGTCACCCAGGCAGCAATGCAGTGACATGATCATAGTTCACTGCAGCCTTGACCTCCTGGGCTCAAGTGATCCTTAACCTCCCAAGTAGCTAGGACTACAAGCACGCACCATCACACCGGATAATTTTTAATTTTTTTGTAGAGACAGGGTCTCACTATGTTGCCCAGGTTGGTATGGAACTCCTAGCCTCAAGGGATCCTCCCACCTCAGCCTCCCAAGGTGTTGGGATTACAGGTGAGAGCCACCTCGCCCGGCCAGATTATCTTTCTCGAACAGCTTTCCTTCTCTGGGCTTCTGTAACACCCCGTGCTCCTGATATTCCTGCCACCTCATTGGTGGTTCCTCCTTCTCTCCAGGCCTAAGCATGAGAGTGCCCAGTCCTCGACCCTCAGTTTTTGTTTTTTTTTCTGACCATCCTTTCTCCCATCATCCAGGCCCAGGGGCTTCACACCACTGATGTGCTGATGATCAGTTTGCCTTCTGTCTTCTCTCTCCAGCCACCTTACCGCCCCTCCACGTGGAACATCTGTCAGCACGTCAAATTTAATAGGCCCCAAAAGGAACTGTGTGTGTGTGTGTGTGTGTGTGTGTGTGTGTGTGTGTGTGTGTGTGTGTTTTAGATAGGGTCTCACTCTGTCTCTCAGGCTAAGTGTGAGTGGCACGATCATAACCTCCCAAGCCCAAGCAATCCTCTTACTTCAGCCTCCCAAGTAGCTAGGACCACGGCACTGCGCCCAGCTAATTTTTTAAATTTCTTGTAGAGACAGGGTCTCACTACATTGCTCAAGCTGGTCTCAAACTCCTGAGCTCAAGTGATTTCCTGCCTCGGCCTCCCAAAGTGCTGGAATTACAGGCATGAGCCACTGCTCCTGGCTCAAAATGAATTCCTATTTTGCCCAAACTTGCTCTTGCTCCAGTTTTCCTCATTTTGATAAATGGTACCCCTATTTCCTTGTCTACTGTGGCCAAAAACTAGTCATTATCAGTGATTCCTCTTCTTTCCTTGTGGCTTATATCCAATTCTCCAGCAAATCCTGCCAATTTTACTTTCAAAATAAATTTGGAGTCTGATACCTTCCTTCCACCTCCCCCGTAACTACCCAGGCAGAAACTACTATCTTTGAAACATCCTCCTCTCCCGCTGCCCACCCCAACCACCACCCCATGGGCTATTCTGAGCAATCCACAAATTCTTACACCTGACACTCCGTTTCCAAACAGCCATTGTTTTGACAGCTCATGGTCAGTTTCTAACAACTGATGCCCAGACTTCTATACAGTGAACACTCTAACCTCTAAATCCCTGATCTCCAGGGTTCTAACAGTGGCCATCCCATGTTCTGTCACCTGATCTTTGGGATTCTAAATAAGTCACAGAATGTTCAGGATAACTGGGATCTTATCGGTGACAGCCAATGTTCTGACAAGGAACGTTCTGGTATTTTAGTAACTGCTAGTCATGTTCTAACAGTGGACAACCTGCTTTTATTTTTTTTTTTGAGACAGGGTCTCACTCTGTGGCTCAGGCTGGAGTGCAGTCAGTGGTGCACTCATGGCTTACTACAACCATGATCCCTTGGGCTTTGATCAAGTGAGCCTCCCACCCCAGCCTTTAGAGTAACTGGGACCACAGGTGCTCACCACCACCCCCAGATATTTTTTTAAAATTTTCTGTAGATATGGGGTCTTGCCATGCTGCCCAGGCTGGTCTTGAACTCCTGGGTTCAAGCAGTCCTCCTGCCTTGGCCTATCAAAATTCTGGTATTACAAGTGTGAGCCACTGTGCCCAGCCAACAACCTGTTTTTAACAGCTAGACACCTGGGGTGGTATTTGTATCTTTTTATATCAGCTGATACCCAGGTTCTCAGACATTTTTCTAAACCCTGTGCTTTAACCAACTGATGCTGAGCATTGTTAATGATTGCCACAGAATGTTCTGGACAGTGGATTACTCAATAGTCTGAATAAACAGTAAATACACTTGTTCTGGGTAAATCGCCAAGCCCAGTGCTTCAAAGGGCAGTCATTGTTCTAATTATGCTTCTGTGACTCAGGGCTCAGCCCCCAGAGAGAGGGAAGAGCTCCGGACTGGGTCAGGGGGGTGATGTGAGAGTGAACACTGCCCCTCAGACACATTTAGGAAAACGCAGCTCCCCAGCAGGTGCTGGAGCACGGTCGGTGACAGCCTCCCCCTTGCCTGGAGCTCTCCTCTAAGAAACCAACAACAAGTCTAGGCGCAGTGGCTCATGCCTGTAATCTCAGCACTTTGGGAGGCCGAGGCATGTGGATCACGAGGTCAAGAGATCGAGACCATCCTGGCCAACATAATGAAACCCTGTCTCTACTAAAAATACAAAAATTAGGTGTGCATGGTGGCACGTACCTGTAGCCCCAGATACTCAGAGGCTGAGGCAGGAGACTCGCTTGAACCCGGGAGGCGGAGGTTGCAGTGAGCCGAGATCGTGCCACTGCACTCCAGCCTGGCGACAGAGCGAGACTCCATCTAAAAAAAACAAAAACAAAAACAAAAACCAACAGCAGCATTGTCAGTGATGTAAACACCATCAGGACCAGTTTGCTCATGATACGGGTCTGAAAACTGAGGCCCAGAATGGGCCCCAGGCCTGCCTGTGATCACACAGTGAGTTCTTCTCAGTGAGCTGTGCAAAGCCCCACCCAGATGCAGGCATAGGCCCATTGCCCCCTCCCAGTGGACAGGCCTCTGACTCTTACCCAGGCGGGTAGGTGGTAGCATCTCTGATTCCTTTCCAGGGCTCCGGGGGTTCTGGAGGTGCAAACCTGAGGATACCTAGAGGAGGTCTGGAGAAGGGGACTCCTAAAAAGACTTGGATGGGTGTCTTCCCCACATGCATCTGTTTTCCTTGCAGGGTTCCATATTTGGTGACCACTTGAGGCCTCTTGGTGTGCAAGGCACCTGGGAAGAGAAGGGAAAAGGGTCACCTCTGCTCAGTCACCCAGCCACAAATGGGACCCTGGCTCAGCCACTCAGCCACAAATGGGACCAAGGCACCTGGAAAGAGAGGGGAAAAGGGTCACCCCTGCGCAGCCACTCAGCCACAAATGGGACCCTGGCCCATCTGTCATGGGAAGCAGTGGCTGCTTTTCATAACAATTGATCATAACCATTGTGTGTCTGTCCACTTCTTCTTGTGCTTCTCTCAGAATTTTTTCTCTCCTTTAACGTTTCGTTTATTTATTTATATTTATTTATTTATTTATTTATTTATTTTTTGAGATGGAGTCTTGCTCTGTCGCCCAGGCTGGAGTGCAGTGGCGCAATCTCGGCTCACTGCAAGCTCCGCCTCCCAGATTCACGCCATTCTCCTGCCTCAACCTCCAGAGCAGCTGGGACCACAGGCGCCCGCCACCACACCCGGCTAATTTTTGTATTTTTAGTAGAGGCGGTGTTTCACCATGCTAGCCAGGATGGTCTCGATCTCCTGACCTCGTGATCTGCCCGCCTTGGCCTCCCAAAGTGCTGGGATTACAGGTGTGAGCCACCACGCCCGGCCCTCATTTATTTATTTATTTATTTATTTAGATGGGGTCTTTCTCTATCGCCCAGGCTGGAGTGCAATAGCCCAATCTTGGCTCACTGCAACCTCCACCTTCCAGGTTCAAGTGATTCTCCTGCTCCAGCCTCCTGAGTAGCTGGGACTACAGACACACAGCACCGCGCCTGGCTAATTTTTTTTTTTTTTTGAGATGGAGTTTCGCTGTTTTTGCCCAGGCTGGAGTACAATGGCGTGATCTCGGCTCACCGCAACCTCTGCCTCCCGGGTTCAAGCCATTCTCCTGCCTCGGCCTCCCGAGTAGCTGGAATTATAGGCATGCACCACCATGCCTGGCTAATTTTGTATTTTTAGTAGAGATGGGGTTTCACCGTACTAGCCAGGATGGTCTCTATCTCCTGACCTCGTGATCCGCCCGCCTTGGCCTCCCAAAGTGCTGGGATTATAGGCATGAGCCACCGTGCCCGACCTCATTTAACATTTCAAATCCCTATCAGTAAGCATATAAAAGTTCATGTCGGCTGCGCGCGGTGGCTCACGCCTGTAATCCCAGCACTTCAGGAGGCCAAGGTGGGTGGATCACGAGGTCAGGAATGGTGAAACCCCGTCTCTACTAAAAATACAAAAATTAGCTGGGCGTGGTGACACACACCTGTAATACTGCTACTCAGGAGGCTGAGGCAGGAGAATTGCTTGAACCCAGGAGCGGAGGTTGCAGTGAGCCGAGATCGCGCCACTGCACTCCAGCCTGGGCAACAGAGTGAGACTCCATCTCAAAAAATAAATAAATAAATAAATAAATAAATAAATAAAAATTTATGTCTATTATATGGGCTATTTCTCTGCGTCATTTAATGGCAATAAATGCATTATTCATTTTGATTTCTGTTTGTCTGATATTAATATAGCTACACCTCTGTCCTTTTTTTGAGATGGAGTCTTGCTCTGTCGCCCAGGCTGGAGTGCAGTGGCACGATCTCGGCTCACTGCAAGCCCCACCTCCCAGGTTCATGCCATTCTCCTGCCTCAGCCTCCCGAGTAGCTGGGACTACAGGCACCCGCCACCATGCCCGGCTAATTTTTTGTATTTTTAGTAGAGACACGGTTTCACCATGTTAGCCAGAATGGTCTTGATCTCCTGAACTTGTGATCTGCCCGCCTCAGCCTCCCAAACTGCTGGGATTACAGGCATGAGCCACCGCGCCCGGCCTACGCCTCTGTTCTTGTTGTTAACATTAGCCCAGCATGTTTCTAGGAAGAAATCATACACGCATATATGCATTCTTACTCATATGCATACTCGCATCTAATACTCACATGTACATGCTAATTTATGATATAGGTACATGTGAGCACAGCTCATCTACAAAGGAACATGCAGAAAAAGGCCAGGCGCAGTGGCTCACGCCTATAATCCCAGCACTTTGGGAGGCCGAGGTGGGCAGATCACTTGAGGTCAGGAGTTCGAGACCAGCCTGGCCAACATGGTGAAACCCCTGTCTCTACTAAAAATACAAAAATTAGCCAGGCGTGGTGGCGGGCACCTGTAATCCCAGCTACTCGGGAGGCTGAGGCAGGAGAATCGCTTGAACCCGGGAGGCGGAGGTTGCAGTGAGCCGAGATTTTGCCACTGCACTCCAGCCTGGGTGACAAAGTGAGACTCCGTCTCAAAACAGACAAACAAACACTCCAAGAAACATGCAGAAACAGAAGAGTAAAATGCATGTCCATATACATACATACATATGCGTACAAGTGCAGTTGTACATAGGTGACAACAAATCTATCTACAGCATACTTATTACACGCACACACAAGCACACATACACAATGCAAGCAAACTTACACCATAGCCAGCTCTTGGCATAGATATGAAATAGGCCAAGTTGAATCCGACTTCCCGTGGATACTCTTTTCTTCCTCTTCCAGGCTGTCATCCTGCCCCACTCCTATTGCCAAGAGTCGTTGAAGCCTCACATCCAATGTCCCTTCCTGAAGTGCCCTTGTCTATTTGCCCCCTCCTCCTTTTATCAAAACCGAATTGGGCTGGGCACGGTGGCTCACGCCTATAAGCCCAGAACTTTGGGAGGCCGAGGCGGGTGGATCACCTGAGGTCAGGAGTTCAAGACCAGTCTGGCCAACATGGTGAAACCCCATCTCTACTAAAAAAAAACCAATAATAATAATTAGCCAGGCCAGCGGCACAAGCCTGTAATCCCAGCTACTTAGGAGGCTGAGGTAGGAGAATCTCTTGAACCCGCGAGGAGGAGGTTGCGGTGAGCAGAGATCACTCTATACTCCAGCCTGGGCAACAGAGCAAGACTCCATCTCAAAACAAACAAACAAAAAACCAAAAAACAAACAACAAAAACCCAAACTAAATTGTTCTGTGCTCCGGTCCTATGGAGCTCATTCTGTAAAGTGACAGAAAGCAGACCTGATCCAAGTAATTAGCGAACCTATCTGTGCATCAGAATCACCTGGAGGATCATTGCAAAAATATGTATTCCTTGGCCCCACCCCACACTCTCTGATGAGAATCTCAGGGTTGCAAACCTCCCCAGATTTTGATGCAAATGGTTTTTGGAATAGGATTTGGAATTGATGCAATAGAGCACACCTTCACACTCCCAGCTGCAGGTGGCCAAAAATGCCTCTCTGCCCATGCCCCCAGGTCTCTACAGGTCTCACATAAGCAATATCTGGGCAAAAAGAAGTGACTGCAATGGAGACCCTTCAAACATGGAGGCAGGCCAGCAGCGGCAAGGGCCAGCTCAAATCTCCCGTTTGTGCAGCCTTTGCAGTTTACAAAGCTCTTTCACATGGGCTTCTCCACTGGACTTGGGAGGAGCTGGGGGAGGCCCAAAGACCCAGAGGGGGGCCGTGACCAGCCTGCAGTCTCACAGGACACAGCCAGGAGGCCAAGGTCTAACCCATTACCTGGATTTGCCCTGAATCCAGGGTCCACTCATGGTGGAATAGCCAATAGCTATAATTTACTGGGCCTTCATTATAGCCTGGGTGCTCTGCCAAACACTTTAAATTATCTCACCTCATTTTTTTCTTTTTTTCTTTTTCTTTTTTGTAGAGACAGGGTCTCACTTTGTTACCCAGGCTGGTCTTGAACTCTTGGCCTCAAGTGATCCTCCCACTCTGGCCTCCCAAAGTTCTGGGAGTACAGGCATGCATGAGCCACCACGCCCAGCCTCACCTCATTTTTCTGAAAACCTTATAGGGCAAATGTTATTGTTACAAAACTATACAAATGTGGAAGCTGAAGCTCAAAGGGGTTATATAAGTTGGCCAAGGTCACACAGAAAAGTATCTTACATCAGAGCAGTGCCTTAAACCATGTTTTTCTGTCGGCTCCCTAGCCTCCAAGGGGCACCTAGCCATGTAGCAGAGTGCTCTAGACCCCTGAGCATGAGCTGCCATGGAGTGGTCCCCATCCCAGCTCTGCTACCCAGAGGCAGCATGTAAGCACCTATGAAAACAATATTCCACCTTACTGGTGGTCATAAAGTGCTAACTAAAACCAGGAGTTACAACTTAGACCTAATAAATTTAAAAGTGATGGCATCTAATTCTGGTGAAGATACAGTGAAAAGGACATTCACATATACTGTTGGTGGAGGATAAACTGATACAATGCCTTGGGAAAATAATTTGGCGAAATGTATACAAAGCCATGAAAAGTTCACTTGCCAGCTGGTGTGGTGGCTCACGCCTGTAATCCCAGCACTTTGGGAGGTCAAGGCAGGTGGATCACTGGAGGTCAGGAGTTCGAGACCAGCCTGGCCAACATGGTGAAACCCTGTCTCTACTAAAAATACAAAAATTAGCTGGGCGTGGTGGTGCGTGCCTGTAATCCCAGCTACTCGGGAGGCTGAGATAGGAGAATTGCTTGAACCCAGGAGGTGGAGGTTGCAGTGAGCCAAGATCGCATCACTGTGCTCCAGCCTGGGAGACAGAGTGAGACTCCATCTCAAAAACAAAACAACAACCAAAAAAGAAAAGAAAAGAAAAGAAAAGAAAAGTTCACATGCCTTCACTCAGTAATTCCACTTCTGGGTCTCTCCCCTGTGAAAATAGTCAGAAACACATGAAAACAAAGACCTTTCTGAACTAAATTTATCTATACCATAGTGAATACTGGAAGCATCATTTATATCTGGGGACCAAGCAAGGCCAATGTAACTACAGACTCAAACTTTAAACTGCTTTTGGTAATAACTTAAATTAAAAAAAAAAAGAAAAACCCCAGAATATAAAATTGTGTTTATTCATTCATTCTTTCTTTTCTTTTCTTTCCCTTATTTTTTTCTTTTTTTGAGACAAGGTCTCCCTCTGTTGCCCAGGCTGGAAGGCAGTGGCATGATCATAGCTCACTACAGCCTCCACCTCCCAAACTCAAGTGAGCCTCTCACTTCAGCCTCTCGAGCAGTTGGGACTGCAGGCATGCACCACACCATGCTTGGCTAATTTTTAAATTTTTTGTTCAGATGGGCTCTAGTTATGTTGCCCAGGCTGGTCTTGAACTCCTGAGCTTAAGCAATCCTCCCACATCAGACTCCCAAAATGCTGGGATTATAGACATGAGCCACCCCATTTGGCTTAAAATTGTGTACATTCTAATAGTACAGCTATAGATAAATACACAATGAAAAGGTGAAAAGAGGTTGGGCATGGTGGCTCATGCCTGCGGTCCCAGCACTTTGGGAGGCCGAGGCAGGTGGATCATCTCAGGTCAGAATTTCGAGACCTGCCTGGCCAGCATGGCGAAACCCCATCTCCACTAAAAAAATACAAAAATTAGCTGGGCTTGTGGTGTACGCCTGTAGTCCCAGCTACTTGGGAGGCTGAGGTGGGGAGAATTGCTTGAACCCGGGAGGTGGAGGTTGCGGTGAGCGGAGATGGCACCATTGCACACCAGTCTGGGTGACAGGGCGAGACTCCGTCTCAAAAAAAAAAAAAAAAAAAAAGAAAAGATGAAAAGAAAATGCGCCAAAATGTTAAAAGCGGAGTAAGCAAAGTTTCCTTCAAATTTAAAATAATGGATATATGTATATATGGGCAAAATTTATTTATGATAGAGGTCAGACTAGTGGTAACTTTGAGTATTGACTGAGAAGGAGTACATGGGACGCTGGAGATGGTTTTTTGTTTTTTTTTTTGAGATAGAGTTTCGCTCTTGTTGCCCAGGCTGGAGTGCAATGGCACGATCTCGGCTCACTACAACCTCTGCCTCCTGGCTTCAAGCGATTCTCCTGCCTCAGCCTCCTGAGTAGCTGGGATTACAGGCATGTGCCACCATGCCTGGCTAGTTTTGTATTTTTAGTAGAGACGGGGTAATAATATTGGTTAGGCTGGTCTCAAACTCCTGACCTCAGGTGATCTGCCCGCTTCGGCCTCCCAAAGTGCTGGGATTACAGGTGTATCCTTGTAAGTTAAAAAAACTTTTTAAAAAATGTTTTTTAAAAATAGAGACAGAGTCTATTTACCCAGGCTAGGTCTCACTATTTGCCCAGGCTGGTCTCAAACTCCTGGGCTCAAGTAATCCTCCCACCTCAGCCTCTCAAAGTGCTGGAATTACAGGCATGAGCTACCATGCCTAACCCACTGGAAATGTTCTAGATGTTGATCTGGATAATGGTTACCATATATATATATATAATAATTAGTATAATAGATATAATTATACAGTGAAGATGTGTGCACCTTGCTGTATACATCTTATACCTCAGTAAACTTTTGTTAATGTATTAGATTGTTTTCACAGTAAAAAGTGTAGTACTCATTTTAAAAAGAAAGATATTGGGGAGAAATTTGAAGGTGGTAAAGAGGTTCATGTAGCAGAGAGGGGGCAGAGACAGGCCTCCTGCTTAGGAGAAGGAAAGAAGGATGGAAGGAAGGAAAAAGGTGGGAAGGAAGAAAAGATGTGGCCATGTTCTCAGACCCCTTCACCTGTGCCGGGAGGCAGGAAATACAGAGAAGCCCTGAGGTTCAGGGAGGCTAAAGGACTTGTCCAGACTCCCAGCTGGTAGATGGTTTAGTGTCCTGAAACCCTACCCTCCATTTGCCCAGGCCTTGTCTAAGTGCTCCTGCCCTGCTGTCCCCAGGAGAGGTTGAACTGGGGCCTGTCCCTCCATCCCTTGTGCCCGTCTTGCCTGACACTCTCGGGAAGGGGTGGGGGTCTTACCCAAGGCCGTCTGCGCCATCAGGCAGAGGGTGAGGCTCCAGCACAGAATCCACCTCATGCTCCAGCCAGCTCCTGCTGTGGGCAGGAGTGATGGCAACACTGTGGATGGCAACACTGTGGATGGCATGGTAGCCGTGTCTACAGTGTGTGAGCACACTTTTATCTGCTCTTAATCCCTGCCAGCAAGTACTGGGGCGGGAGGAATTGTAACCAGCTTCTGACCAGCCCACAGCCTTGTCTCTGCCTTGGGCAACAGGTCACGCTAGATGATCTTGGCTCTTCAAACTGATCAGCCTGCAATCTCCGCCCCGTTTGCTCATCTGTGCAGTGGCTTAAAGCTGAACATGTGTGAGTCAAGGTCTAAGCATACAGTGGGTGCCAAGATTGAAGTAGAACACCTGGTTACTTGGCCCTTCAGCCAGGGCTTCCTGTCTGTGGATTTAAGGGTCTTGGGCCTCCCTGCTCCCCAGTGCCTCGTCTAGCCTCTTCCCTGCCTTTCCTCGCACATGCTGACCCTTGGCTGTCCTCACAGTTTCATAGTCCACATGCGGAAGCTGGACCTGAAAGCAACCGTAATGTGGGAGCCCAGAGGGGCACCCGAGGAGTGAGCCCAGAGCCGGGTGGTGGGAATGAAGATTCCCTGGAAAAGATCTAATCTTCTAAGTAAAGGATGAGGAGGAGTGGGCCAGGCAAAGAAAGATCCTGTTTGAAGTTTGGAGCCACAGGAGCAAGTGTGGGAGGTGGAAGCAAGGAGACAGCAGTCCCATCTTCAGTCAAAGGTAAGATGGGGCTGGGTGTGGTGGCTCATGCCTGTAATACCAGCACTTTGGAAGGCTGAGGCAGGTGGATCACCTGAGGTCAGGAGTTCGAGACCAGCCTGGCCAACATGGTGAAACCCCGTCTCTACTAAAACAAAGAATACAAAAATTAGCTGGGCGTGGTAGTGTGTGCCTGTAGTCCCAGCTACTCAGGAGGCTGAGGCAGGAGGATGGCTTGAACCTGGGAGGCGGAGGTTGTAGTGAGCCGAGATCGGGCCACTGCACTCCAGCCTGGGTGACAGAGTGAGACCCTGTCTCAAAAATAAATAGGCCAGGCACGGTGGCTCATGCCTGTAATCCCAACACTTTGGGAGGCTGAGGCAGGCGGGTCACGAGGTCAGAAGATCGAGACCATCCTGGCTAACACCCCGTCCCTACTAAAAATACAAAAAATTATCCGGGCGTGGTGGCACGCGCCCGTAGTTCCAGCTACTCAGGAGGCTGAGGCAAGAGAATTGCTTGAAACCAGGAGGCGGAGCTTGCAGTGAGCCAAGATGGCGTCACTGTACTCCAGCCTGGGCGACAGAGTGAGACTCCATCTCAAAGAACAAAAAAAAGGTAAGATGTTTCCTCTCTCGTGTACCCCCAAAGTCTGGGGTCCTGGCCCATCTTTGTGAAAAGAGGGTCTGTTGGGCTTCTGTGCTGGGGAGGGGAAAAGGCAGGGGAACAGAGAACTTCTCCCTTGGCCCACAGCCTCTTGCTCTATAGGCCTGACAGATGGTTAAACCTCCTTCTTTCACAGTCAATTTTCTGAGTTCTTCGGAGATGCTCTTTATTTGGGACTCCTCTCCCACAGTTCCCATCCTTGTGACCCTTCCTCAGTCCCAAGGAATGTGGCATTCACTGCCCAATCATTGCTGCCTGGGCTCTGTGCTCCTCTAATGAAGGCCCAAGATGACCCCCCACCCCTGCCTCTGCCACTTATCCTGTGGGGTCTACATGGGCAAACCTCCAATATCCCTTGCCCCACCTCAGCAGAGGTGTGGCCCATCCCATTGCAGCCCCTTCTGCCCCACTCACGATGGCGGGGTGGAGTCAGGCTCTGGCTGGCTGAGCCTCCTATGGTGGAAAGCACCACTCATCTTCCCCATGGTCTCATGCCCACAGGCTTGAGGGGAAAGAAGTGGGGTGAGAACTCACAGCGAGGTAACAGGTCTCTACAAAGAAAATCTCTCCCCTAACTCCTCCCCAGCATAACGTGTTAACTTGTGGTGGCTCACGCCTGTAATCTCAGCACTTTAGGAGGCCAAGGCAGGAGGACCGCTTAAGG